>NC_000008.11:17132829-17435860 GCF_000001405.40 Homo sapiens | reverse complement strand
CCTGACTGGCTTCTAGAAAGGATTCTTTTCAGTGGAAGGCTCTTCATGCTGCTGGAGCCTTAACAGGTTTGTGTGAGAGCACGAGCTGGGAAGCGTTGACTTGCTCTGCACATTAAAGAAGCAGAACCCCGTCTCTAGTAAAAATACCAAAAATTAGCCGGGCGTGGTGGCAGGCGCCTGTAGTCCCAGCTACTTGGGAGGCTGAGGCAGGAGAATGGCGTGAACCCAGGAGGCGGAGCTTGCAGTGAGCTGAGATGGTGCCACTGCACTCCAGCCTGGGCAACAGAGCGCGACTCCGTGTCAAAAAATAATAATAATAATAAATAAATAAATAATAAGAAGCAGAATGTGGAGTTCCCAAGGCAGTCTTGGTGGGAAAGGAGCAGAGAAGTGAGTATCAGTAGAAAAAGCCAGTGAGGCTGGGCATGGTGGCTCACGCCTGTAATCCCAGCACTTTGGGAGGCTGAGGCAGGTGGATCACGAGGTCAGGAGTTTGAGACCAGCCTGGGCAACAAAGTGAAACCCCGTCTCTACTAAAATACAAAAAAATTAGCTGGTTGTGGTGGTGTGCACCTGTAATTCCAGCTACTCAGGAGGCTGAGGCAGGAGAATTGGGTGAACCTGGGAGGCAGAGGTTGCAGTGAGCCAACATCGCACCATTGCACTCCAGCCCAGACGACAGTGTGAGACTCCATCTCAAAAAAAAAAGAGAGAAAGGAAAGCCAGTGAGAGGGAAGGCCCAGTGAGGGCCAGTGAGAAACCCCCAAGGGTGAGTGCAAGAACACCTCCAACAGCTGAATGCCAGATGTTGGGGGTGAAAATGTCATAGATTTCCCCCTATGTTGCAGAGGTATGCAAAATGGAAACTCTTCGTTTCTCTGCAATTGAACTAGATTTCGAGTGACCCTTTCCGCTTGGTAGTGACAAAAGTAATCTGAGTAAAGGTCAGCTCAGACACTTAGGATTTAAAAGTCAGCGAATAATTGCTGTCTTCACAATCAAGTCCACTTCTTCCTCAGCTCTTTTCTCCCTCCTGCCCAGGAGGTGATGTAAGTACCAGAAGGAAAGGATTTTAACTGTCATCCATGTCAGGGAAGAGAATGGTTTATCCCCAGTCGTCTTTTATCTTTCTCTGGCTGCTACTGAGCTGAAACTTGTCCCCCCAGGCCTCTGGGTGCATGACCCACTGCTTATGCCAAAATGACCACTGTTCTCCCAAGGACTCTGATTACCTGTTCCATGCAAACCACCTGTGTCCTCCTCGCTGGGGCATAGAAATCAGACTCCTTCACATCTCTATTAGTCTGTTTTACATTGCTATAAAGGAATTCCTGAGGCTGGGTAATTTATAAAGAAAAGATGTTTATTTGGCTCATGGTTCTGCAAGCTGTACAGAAAGCATGGCACTGGCATTTGCTCAGCTTCTGGTGAGGCCTCAGGAAGCTTTTACTCAGGGCGCAAGGTGAAGGGGGAGCTGGCGTGTCATATAGCGAGAGAGGGAGCAATAGAGAGAGCAGGAGGTGACAGGCTCCTTTAAACAACCAGCTGTTGCGTGAGCTAAGAGAGCAAGAACTCATTCATGACCAGGGGGAGGCCATTCTTGAGGGATCCACCCTCATGGCCCACCTCTAACACTGGAAATCTCATTTCAACATGAGACTTGGAGGGAACACACATCCAAACCCTATCAATGTCCACTAGTCTAGGTGTCATCCCCATCCTCCTCTCAGGGTCCACAAGCAACATTCTGCCACTGTCCCCTTATCACCCTGGAGGTCCATGAGGCCAGCTGTCAGGGTGTCTCACTCAGAATTTGCTGGCCGGGATGGATGCTGAGTTTCTCCCTGAAACTCACAGTCTTCCCAGGTTTATCTACTGAGAAGGAAGGCCAAGTCCTTTTTTGTGTTGGCTTCCGTAAACCTGTATTAGATTTGCAGTTTTCTTCCCCACTTCAACATGGCCTGGGGGGAGGTGGAACCAGGGGTCACAGACACAGGCAAACTCACTCTTTTGTTCTCCTCTCCTCTTTCAAGTTCTTTCCCCAATTCAAGCAAAATATTTTATCTTCTTGTGTGGCTGGAAACGGGCTCTTCATCTTTCTCCTTCGCAGGGATTGTTTATGTGTAAACATTGTGTCTTCTGCCTTCAGGCATTGGCTCTTGATAATAAAAGCCATGTTTTTGGAATTCAGAAAATGTTTTCCTCTTCAGGTGCTGTGGCTCTCAGCTCAAGTCTCTGCTGTTCCAAGGCTTTTTGTCTGTAGCTTCTCTCTGACTACAGTGTAGATGAAAGATGTTACAGGTGCCGGACCAGTGAGAAGAAAGGGGACGATCAAAGGAAACATAAGGAAGGAAAACTTTAACTGGCATTTCAAACATTATTCACTACACTAATATGTGTTTTTAGGTTGGTATTACTGTGTGGGATGAAGTGACCCTTCTATGGAACCTAAACATCTTCAGTATAGTCTATATTTTTGCAAATATTTGGTTTGAATGGTCTTTTATTGGAAATCTAGAAAAAAGCTTGGGTGTAAGTCTGAGATGACATAGTACAGAAGAGCAGCAATGGAAACCTGGAGCCCACATTGACCTTGAGCATATAAGCTCCCCCACACACATCTAAAAATCTGCAGACATGTGGACTTACCTGTAGTATAGACTGTGCACTCAAGCTCATTCTGTCTCAGAGTGAAGATTTCCTTGGTGACATCTGGGTTAAATAAGAAATGGCCAAAAAATATTAGGTAATTATACTAGTCATAGCAGAAGTAGGAATTGTGGTGGTAGGAAAGTTCCTGAAGAATCCAGTGTGCCCTGGCTGGGGAAAGAACAACGTGAAACAGGACCAGGACAGGAGGCATCTCTTCAGCAATGCTGTCGTAGGGACCTAGACAAGAGAAATGGAAACTGATATCCTGACTCACCTAATACCACCTGTTACTCATTATCTACAATATAAATTAGTGCTCTCAAGGGCCTCAATTGGTAATCAATCAATGTCTGGTTTGCTGACCTTCCAGGCAAGTGGTATCACTGGACATCTGTGTAGATGCGTTGCTATGAATGAATACTTTGGCATTGTCTGAAAGAGGATAGGATAAGTGTATTAGACAGGGTTCTCCAGAGAAACAGAACCAATAGGATATATTAGTTTCATATATATCATATATATAAATGAAATTTATTTTAAGTAATTAGCACACGCGATTGTAGGGGCTGGCAAGTACAAAATCTATAAGGCAGGCTTGCTGCAATTCTGGCAAAAGTTGGTGTTGCGTTCTTTACTCCCAAGGCAGTTTTGAGGCTGAATTCTTTCCTTTTTGAGGGGTCCTCAGTCTTTTCTCTAAAGACTGTCAACTGATTGAAAGAGGCCCATCCATGTTATAGAGGGTAATCTGATTTTTTCACTGATTTAAATGTTAAATACGTTTATAAAAATACTTCACAGCAACAACTAGACTGGTGTTTGATCAACAACAGGGCACCACAGCCTACCCAAGTTGACACATAAAATTCACCACCACAATAAAGGTTTTTATTTTCTTTGGAGTAGAAACATGTGAGTAGGGCAGACTGGGAAGACGAGGACAGGGTTAACATGGCCTAGTGTTTGTCCCCCTCTGGTTACTCAGGTTTCAGCAGTAATGGAAACGTGGGTGAGCCCCAAACTAGGACAGCTTCCTGAGAAATTCTGTGGACTCTGGGCTCAAGCAGAGCTGCCCTGAGGCTGAGAGATTGCAGCGCTGCCCTGAGGCTGAGAGATTTAAGGTGTGACCCAGAGTTGGGAAGAGAGGCATCCTCCCCACTTCTGTAGAAAAGCCAGCATGGCGCTGGCCCTTCAAAATGGTCAGTCTGAAAGTTCCAGAAAACAACACTCTTGGCATGGATGTTAATCTTCTCACTGAAGGGCCCAGTGGCACTGGCAAGGATGCGGTCTCCCCAGCAGGAGTTTTCATATGGCAGAATCTGAAGTGGAGCGTGAGGTGAACAGGTGTTCCCGGCCCTATCTGAGCAAGCCTCTACGAACGCCTAGACATGCCTGCGAGGAGCTTTTCTGGAGACAGGAATTTGTGTGGTTTTTGGTTGTTTGTTTTTGTTTATTTTTTGTTTGTTGGTTTTTTTGAGACAGGGTTTCACTCTGTCACCTGGGCTGGAGTGCAGTGGTGCCATCTTGGCTCACTGCAATCTTCATCTCCTGAGCACAAGCCATCCTCCCACCTCAGCCTTGCTGAGTAGCTGGGACTACAGGCGCATGCTACTATGCCTGGCTAACTTTTTGTATTTTGGGTAGAAATGGGGTTTCACCATTTTGCCCAGGATTGTCTTGAACTCCTGAGCTCAAGCGATCTGCCCGCGCTGGCCTCGCAAAGTGCTGGGATTACAGGCTGAGCCACCTTGCCTGGCCAGAGACAGGAGTTTCTGAATGAGCAAGTGGAAACAACGGGCCTGTGGAAGCCATATCCACAGGTTAGAAAGACCTCTAAATTTTGGGTTATACTATCCTTTACAGACTGTGAATTCAACTGGTCTCAATAAAATTTTTGTGGATTTCATAAGAATTCTTACAAATCTTGTTATCTATATCCATCTAATATGCTTTGGTTCTGTGTCTGCACCCAAATCTCATCTCCAATTGTAATCCCCACGTGTCAAGGGAGGGAGGTGATTGGATCATCGGTGCCGTTTCCCCATGCTCTTCTTGTGATAGTGAGTTCTCATGAGATCTGAAGGTTTTGTTTGTTTGTTTGTTTGTTTGTTTTTGAGACGGAGTCTCTCGCTCTGTTGCCCAGGCTGGAATGCAGTGGCACCATCTCGGCTCACTGCAAGCTCCGCCTCCCGGGTTCACGCCATTCTCCTGCCTCAGCCTCCCAAGTAGCTGGTATTACAGGCGCCCGCCACCACGCCCGGCTAATTTTTTGTGTTTTTAGTAGAGACGGGGTTTCACCGTATTAGCAGGGATGGTCTCAGTCTCCTGCCGTCGTGATCTGCCCGCCTCGGCCTCCTGAAGTGTTGGGATTACAGGCGTGAGCCACCGTGCCCAGCCTGGATCTGACGGTTTTATAAGCTCCTGGCTCCCTTGCTCGCACTTTCTCCTGCTGCCATGTGAAGAAGATCCTTGCTTCCCCTTCACCCTCGGCCATGATTGTAAGAGGCCTCTCCAGCTATGTGGAACTGTGAGTCAATTAAACCTCTTTCCTTATAAATTACCCGGTCTCCGGTAGTATCTTTACAGCAGTGTAAAAACAGACTAATACACCATCTACAAATTGAACTCCACCTAATAACTAAAGTCAAGAGTCCAGGGTACAGGGTGAACAAAACCAGCTCTGTTCAGGTGTACTGCATAATTGTATCCATGAATGCATTAACTTTATACTTGCCCCAAATCTGTTCTTCGGTCAAACTGATGTAGCTGTGTTAGTTTAACTTAAAACAATAAGTGATTTAGTTTTTATGAGCAAGAGCATGTGACTTGGTGTAAGATAACCAGGAATTTGAATTCTTCTACCACCTTGACAACTTTGTGACTTGGATTAGTTAATTACTTTTTTCATCTCAGTTTCTTTCTCTACTTATGAGTCTATTAGGAGCCCTGGACTATAGTAAGGACTCAAAACATAGCAGTTGTTAATATTATTGCCTACTTCATCCACTACAATTTCCATTATTTTCCCTTAAACTTTAGTTGACATCAATGAAAGTGAGAGTTAAATATCTGCTGTGGTTCTTAACCTGGGTGGGCATTTGGAACCAAAGGACAGGGCAGGGGGTGGGGTGCTGTTTTTGGCTGTCAAAATGATTGGGGATTTCTGCTGGCAATAATATAATAATAATAATAGTGCCCAGAAATCAAGAATAAGAAACAGTCTGCAATTTGTCGGTCACCTTGCACAATGAATTAACTGTCTCACCCAAAATACCCCTAGGGTCCATTAATGAGAAATGCTGTGTTTTCATTTCTGCCTATTTTGAGCTAGAAAAGAGAAATGAAATGGAAGAGGAGCTGAGCCCAGCAAGAAGTGTTTGTGAGAGCTTACATGTGGGAGGTACTCTTCTATCTGCTTACAATTCATTACTCTTTGATTTCTCACAACTCAGTTATTAATTCCCATTTTACAAGTGAGAAAACTGAGGCACAGAAGTTAAGCACAGTGCAGGCCTGTACAGCTGAAATGGGGGAGCCAGTATTCAAGCCCAGGCAGTCTGGCTCCTGAGCCTCTGTGCTCTCAAGAGTTGCATTACAATGCTTCTCAAGTAGGTGAAATAAAGCATAACAAAAAGCAAAAATAATTAAATGACATAAAACACTCACTGTGGGTATTGGGTATAAATAGTTTTAGAGTTTCCAACGATAAATGAAAATTCTTTGTTTTTTTTTAAGCCTAAGAAGATTAAAATAAAATTATTTTCCTTGGTAATACCTCCCATTTCCGTTTGTGTGTGTGTGTGTGTGTGTGTGTGTGTGTGTGTGTGTGTGTATAAATTTAAGGTGCAATTTTATTACATGGATATTTTGTTTAGTGGTGAAGTCTGGGCTTTTATGGTGTCCATCTCCCGAATAATGTACATTGCATCCATTAATTTCTCATCATCCACTCGCCTCCCACCTCTCCTATGCTCCAGAGTCTCCAATGTTTATCATTTCACATACTATGGTATGTGCACACATTATTTAGCTCCTACTTATAAATGAGAACATGTGGTATTTGTTTTTCTGTTTCTGAGTTGTTTCATTTAAGATAATGGCCTCCAGTTCCATTCGTTTAGCTGCAAAAGACATTATTTCATTCTCTCTATGGCTGAATAGTATTCCACTGTGTATATACATCACATATTCTTTACCCATTCATCCATGAATGGACACTTAGGTTGATTCCATATTTTTCCTATTGTGAATAGTTTTGTGATAAACATACAGGTGCTTATTTTTAAAATAGTTTTGTGTTAAACATGCAGGTGTCTTTTTGTATAATAATTTCTTTTGCTTTGAACTATTATAGAGAAAGCAATTTGAGGAATTTATTAGTAATCTCAGTGGTAACATAGGCACTTTGTTACAATTTGCAAGAGGTGTCTCCTCCTCTCAGTGCAGTGAACACTCTGTGTGTGTGTGTGTGTGTGTGTGTGTGAACATGTATTTTTATATACTCTATTTATAAAAATAAATGTTTATTGAAGGAGTATTCATTCTCCATAGCATTCTAATGAAAACTTTGATATTAATTTTTTTAGAAAATAAAAATATACTTTATTGATTGAAGCAGAAAATAAAAGTACACTTTATTGATTGAAGGAGAAGACAAAAGAGTAAAGGTAATAATGGACTTAAAGCAATCTGCACTTTCATTACATTCTATGATGACCTCAATTTGCAGACTTTGAACTTTTACTTATCAACTAATGAACACACATTTAGAGTTGTTCCATGGTAATCTGGCTGGCCAACTGACATATTACTTTAAACTAAATTGCTTCCTTGGTTTGTCCAGAAGTGTTCATGCAATTACTTGAATATTGAATATATTCTTGCATTTTGCAAATATTTTTAATAATTGGTAACAGAAAAATGAGACTACTTTTATTAGTCTGTTTTCATGCTGCTAACAAAGACATATCTGAGACTGCACAATTTACAAAAGAAAGGGGTTTAAATGACTGATATGGTTTGGCTCTATGTCCCCACTCAGATCTCATCTTGTAGCTCCCATAATTTCCACGTGTTGTGGGAGGGACCTGGTGGGAGATAACTGAATCATGGGGGTGCCCCTTTCTCGTGCTGTTCTCATGATAGTGAATGGGTCTCACAAAATCTGATGGTTTTAAAAATGAGAGTTTCCCTGCACAAGCTCTCTCTGCCTGCTGCCATCCATGTAAGACATGACTGGCTCCTCCTTGCCTTCCACCATGATCGTGAGGCCTCCCCAGCCGTGTGGAACTGTAAGCCTCTGTCTTTCTTTTGTAAGAACGTCCTTCTTTTGGCTGGGCGCAGTGGCTCATGCGTGTAATCCCAGCACTTTGGGAGGCCGAGGCAGGTGGATCATAAGGTCAGGAGATTGAGACCATCCTGGCTAACATGGTGAAACCCCATCTCTAATAAAAATACCAAAAATTAGCTGGGCATGGTGGCAGGTGCCTGTAGTCCCAGCTACTCGGGAGGCTGAGGCAGGAGAATGCCATGAACCCGGGAGGTGGAGCTTTCAGTAAGCCAAGATTGCCCCACTGCCCTCCAGCCTGGGCGACAGGGCAAGGCTCCATCTCAAAAAAAAAAAAAAAAAGAACCTCCTTCTTTTGTAAACTGCCAGTCTCAGGTATGTCTTTATCAGCAATGCGAAAATGGACTAATACAATGACTTATAGTTCCATATGGCTGGAGAGGTCTCAGAATCATGGTGGAAGGCAAGGAGGAGCATGTCACATCCTACATGGATGGCAGCAGGCAGACAGAGAGAGAGATTAGGCAGGGAAACTCCCCCTTATGATATTGTCAGATCTCGTGAGACTTATTCGCTATCACAAGAAGAGCATGGGAAAGACCTGCCTCCATGATTCAGTTACCTTCCACCGGGTCCCTCCCACAACACATAGGTATTGAAGATGAGATTTGGGTGGGGACACAGCCAAACCATATCACTAGTGATACGACAATTGTGGCAGATATAAATAATTAAATTTAAGGCATTTAGTTTTAGTTTCAATCACAAACTTTTTGAATTTCCATTTTTCGACTGTGTATTAAATAGTGAGGAAAAAGAAAAAAATTAATAAAATGTGCACAATTCTAAAAATAGATTGTTGATGTTTATGAATCATAGTCAAAGTGTGCTGATGATGGAAATGGAAAAATATTTAAAATTAAGGATTGGGAACTAGCACCGAAGACACTCCAGAAATTGGATGCTGTAGGGATGCTCACAGACCCACTGCCAATAAGTTGGCTAGCAGAAGCTTCCTCTTTCAAAGCCCAAAGGAGTCAGGTGTTTGATGTCATTGATAAATACCTCAATACAGTCACCGAGCATTGTCACAGACTTCTGTTCAAACCTAGGTATTTTTTTCCCTAGCGAGCTACTCTTCCTAACATTAATGCAAATTTCTTTTGTTTCATGTCAGGGTCACTAGTAACCCAAGTGAATGAGAATCAGGGTAAGAAATTACTTTAGAAAACTATTTTTCTTTACGTATTTAACCTACTTTTTGGGATTTATAGGCATTATGTATCCTGCAAAGAGACAAATACTATTCATTATACCACTATTAAGGATATTGTAATTTAAAAACTTTTCTAGTAATGGAAGTTCTATTGCCCAGTTTATTATCCATTCCGTTATCCTACTTTGGTTTTCAGGGCTTCTGGACATACAAAGGTGAGTTACTAAATATAAGGTCATGGGGAAATCATTGTTGAGTGAGTCCCTTCTTGTTTCTCTTCTCCTTTATTCTTTAATTCAAAACTTTTAAAGTTTAAAACAATGATTTCAAAAGTGGACAAGAATACTGTCAGTTAAACTAGAGTAAGATCCATTTTTCTCAATATTCTAAAAAAGTTTATATAATTATCTCTATTTAATGTTTTGCTCTTGTAAATTTTCTTAAAAGCTTTTGTGTTCAACTTTTCCAAGACCAAAATGAATGAAAAAATGCTAACAAACATGACCATGAAATTCAGGAGCAGTAACCTAAGGAAATGGGTCCTTCATTGACACATTATTGTGTTGACATGATTATATCTATATATAACTATAAAACAGATATATGTATTTATATTTGATATATATATGGATATAGGATTACATGTGTGTGTGTATATATATGAATATGGATATACATATATGGATCTATATATGGATATAGGGTTACATACTTATGCATAAGAACTGGCTTGATCTTAAGTTTTAGAAACAGACCTTCTCCTTCTACCTTAGAAATAAGAGGAGCCACTTCTTATATATATATGTAACCCCATATCCTGGTAGGATATTGTTTCACAGTCTGCACAGACCATGTAATCTAAAGAGCTTTATGACTCTTTTAGCCTAACAATGTAAAGATAAAGAGTTGTTATTAGTCTTCAAGAGAAGCCACCTCTGATGGCACCCCTCCCACTTGAGAGCTGCCCAGTCCACCACCGCTCTGGAGTTTGTAGAAGTGCCTCCTCTTGTTTCTAAGGTAGAGGGGGGAGGTGTGTTCCTAAAATGCAAGGTCAAGCCAGTTCCTATGCATTTCGCTGTAGACATATTATAAATGGGAGTCAGATAAAGTGTAAGTAGTTGCAGGATTACTACCATTGTTTGCAGGAGGACCCAGGAACAGCCATTGTTTGTGAAGTTGGAGCAGTGAACAAGCTTTTTACAACTTGACTTTTGCAATATAATTCATTTATAAGTTGATTGTTTCTCCTTCTTACTGTTATAAGTCCATTTTGTGCTGCTATAATAGAATGCCTCAGACTGGGTAATTCATAAAGAACAGAAATTTATTCTCTCACAGTTCTGGAGGCTGGGAAGTCCAAGATCAAGGTGCCAGCAGGTTGGGACCTAGTCTCTCTGTTTCTGAGATATTGCCTTGAATGCTGTGTCCTCCGTAGGGGAGGAATGATGTGTCCTCACATGGCAGAAGACCAGGAGAGAGAGACAGCCCACTCCCAGAAGCCCTTTTCATAGCAGCATTGATCCATTCATGAGAGGGGAGCCCTCATGACCTAAGCACCATCATTAGGCCCCATCTGTCAACACTGTTGAATTGAGGATTATGTTTCTAACACCTGAATTTTGGGGATACATTCAAACCACAGTATCGATTATCCTTGCAAAATGGCTGAATGATTAGGAACGAAACACTGAAAATAAACGTGATCTACCCTACCAAAAAATAATGGGATTTGTGCCATGTTAAGTGCTTTAAGAATGTCTTTGCAGTGGCAACAGTCAGTAGCTACTGCCCAATCCAAATGCAAACATAGGTGGTTCTCAGCAAGTTAGATCCAGATCAAATGCTTATTTTATTTCACCATTTTGAACAAATCTTCTTCACTGCTTTTGTTTACAGAAATATTCTCTCTGCCAAAGAAGAGAAGAAAGAATAGTCTTGCAGAGCCAGCATTTGAAATTACTCATTATCTCCACAAGAAAACCCTAATATAACCCAAGAATAACTTTTAACATCTGTTTATTAAAAATCTGAGAGTGTCCTGCTGAAAAGATCCATATTCATATACATTTTCCCAATATTTAGAATCTATGTCAAAATTAAAAAGATGGTGGGATTAAGGTAAGGCTTTATTAATTATGTAAATTCTATTTTCTCAAATATCAAAGATATATTTGTTACCCAAATACCAAAGATGCATTTCAGATTTATTACGAAAAGTTAAATTGAGTAATTTTAATAGAATATTGTCTTTAAAGCACCATAAAACATTCCTTTAAATCCAATTGGACTCATAGAAAAATCTTTGGGGTTTTTGTTTTTTGGTGTTGTCATAAAAGCAGCCTTGCCAAGAACTTGACAACTCAGGAGGAAACACCCTCCTCTTTTCTTTTTCCAGCTATTGTTATACATTTGGGATATTTGCTTTTATTGTTTCCTCATGGCAAATATGCCTGATTTTGTTCTTGAAAAATAACTGCTCAGAAAGACTATTTTTGAGTTGAAATTTTAGGAGGGTCTTTCAACTAATCAGTGTCTAATTTGTGATTTGTTAAAAAAGGTATTCTCTACAAAAATTTTTCCTTTGACTCATGACACTATGATGCGATTACTGATTATGATTGGTTTTTATTTTGAAATGCCTTTTTAAATTTTTTTTTTGAGATGGAGTCTTGCCTCGCTCTGGCACCCAGGCTGGAGTGCAGTAGCAGTATCTTGGCTCACTGCAACCTCCGCCTCCCGGGTTCAAGCGATTCTCCTGCCTCAGCCTGCCTAGTGGCTGGGATTACAGGCACCTCACACCACCAGCTAATTTTTGTATTTTCAGTAGAGATGGGGTTTCACCATATTGCCTGAGCTGGTCTTGAACTCCTGAACTCAAACTATTCGCCCACCTCAGCCTTCCAAAATACTGGGATTACAGGCATGAGCCACTGTGCCCTGCTTGAAATGACTTTTTAAAAATACTTGTTCTTTATAATTATTAAAATATGTAACGTGAATATTTGTAAAATATTTTTTAAAACATAAAATTAAAATCAACCACAAACCCACCACTCAGATGTAAGTGTTGTATCTATTTATTCCTTTTTCTATTTTCTCTCTCTCTACACACACACACACACACACACACACAATTCTGAAACACAACTTAGGTCATACTATATATAACACTTTTGTACCCAGGTTTTTGGCTTAAAATTTTGCCATGAGCATTTTTCTAAGTCATTAAGTATTCTTTTTTTTTTTTTTTTTTTTTTTTTATGAGACAGAGTCTCGCTCTGTCGCCCAGGCTGGAGTGCAGTGGCGTGATCTTGGCTCACTGCAAGCCTCCCGGGTTCATGCCATTCTCCTGCCTCAGCCTCCTGAATAGCTGGGACTACAGGCGCCCACCACCACGCCCAGCTAATTTTTTGTACTTTTTGTAGAGACAGGGTTTCACCGTGTTAGCCAGGATGGTCTCGATCTCCTGACCTTGTGATCCGCCTGCCTCGGCCTCCCAAAGTGCTGGGATTACAGGCATGAGCCACCGCGCCCGGCCGGTCATTGAGTATTCTTTGAAACAATTTTAACGGCTATATCATATTGTATATATGGCCACACCATACTCTATGTAATAATTCAATTTATTTTTGCTATTGTTTGTAATTTTTCACTATTCAAAATGTGACAGGAAGTCCTAAATGGACTACAGCTGGGACTCAGGTGCTCCCATATTGTTAGGTTAGGAAAAATCCTGCCTCCCCCACCACCCCACCACGGGTCTATTGGAATACAATTATTTTCACAGGAGCTGAAGAACTTCCTGAATTTATAAAAACTTGAACCCTGAAGAGATATTTGCAATTATCTGAAGAACTAGACAGTCTGTAATGCAGGCTGCATATGATCTGCCCCACAAAGGTCCTGACTCCACCCAAAGAGTGAGATAAACCCATCACAACTGAAAATGGGAAAACCAAGAAAAGCAAATTCTAGCATCAGGTTTTCATGTCAGAGGGAGAGTGGTGGCTCTGGGTACAATGGGCTTACTGATCTTAGAATGCATCCCAGTGACGCACCTCGTGGGGAATGGCAATGTGCATGAATGGAAGGCGTATTGATTCTGACACTTTGGTGAGCCAGAAACTCTGCTGTGGGGCAAACCCTTACTTAAGAATGTCCTAACTTCTCAAGAATATCTGCAGTGGGCAGATCTCTGGCACTGGGGTACAGTGGCAGCTTTGCGATTTCACAGGCATTGAGGAGAGCATGTCTTCAGCACTGTTAGTGGCTATAACCACAGTGAAAGTAACAATATTGGCAATGGCAGTGACCAACCATAACGGAAGCTAAGTCCCAGTCAAGAATTTGCACAGAATGGAGCTGTCATGGTGGGCCCAGCTTGGATCACCATGATGGGAAAAGAAAAAACTCTTAAACTCTAGGAAGTGAACATCATTGGATGGGGAATTCTCCAAAATGAGTGTGAGTTTGATTCTTGAGTCATGAGCTGAGGCAGCCTTTTAGCTTCCCTGACATCACATGCTGCAAATTTCCTGCAGCTACAGTGGCAGTAGAGAGGAGTAGCATATTTTAGGTCTTTCTGTGCTTACTGCCATGGAATCCTGAGCCAGCTGACAAGACAGCAGGGACCCACCAGGATTGGCTTGTGTATACATGTTGGAAATATTTATTAGGGAATATTAGGAAGAACAGGACTTTATCATGAAGATGGAGGCTTCGGGCTGGTGAGATTTTAGATATTAATATTCATGTGACTGTCTTTATACTCATAAATTCATGAAATCTGAAGTATTTAGATTTCATAAAAGCTGTATTGCGATATGAATCTGTGTCAGGTCAGAATCAGTACAAGGAATAAAATCCACTCTAAGTACTTACATTAGTCAGCTAGGGCTGCCATAACAAAATGCCACAGACTGAGTGGCTTAAACGGCAACAGTTTACTTCTCACAGTTCTGGAGGCTGAGAAGTCCAAGATCAAGGTCCAGCAGGGTGCAGTTTCTGGCAAGGGCTCTCTTCCTGGCTTGCAGACAGCCACCTTCTTGCTGTCTGCTCACATGACTAAGAGACAGAGCGCTCTGTTGTCCCTTCCTCATCTTATAAGGGCACCAATTCTATGGGATTAGGACCTGACCCTTATGACATTATTTAACCTCTATCACCTCCAAGCAGGCCATATCTCCCAATACAGTCATATTGGAGGTTAAAGTTTCAACAGATGAATGTTATGGGAACACAAACGTTCCATCCATAACAGTATTTTAAACCGACAGAATTTAATGCAAGAGATTAGGTGCTTACAAAATTAATGAGAGGGCAAGAAGAAGAAGAAGAAAGCTTAATAATAAGAGGCGCCATAAAATGGATCATCCCGTCTGTATAGTTATTGAGAATGTCACTACATCACTGAAGCAATGCCCTATGGTGAGTATTTACATGGGACACAAGTATTTTCATACTCTGGGCTCTTTTGAAAGATCCATCCCTAAATATTTTCCTTGTTTCTCATTGCCAATCTCAAATTTTGTTCCTTCCAAGTCCCGGGCATTGAACAAATGCTGCTCACCCACCTTTAATTGGCATCAGTCTGTATATGTGGCCATCTATCCTTCAAGGCATTGAAGTTTCAAGAAAAACTGCACAGTTCTGCCCACCTGGAGAAGTTCCGTCCTCTCCATCCTTGGTGGCCACTCCTGAGCAGAGCTGTAGTGCTGCAGCATTCCACTTCCGGCCGCTTTGAGTTTATGGTGCAGAAACGTATATAAACCAGGCTGGAACTTTTTCTTCTTTTGTGAACTACGTGCATTAAATGCCCTATAACACTGTAAGTATGAATTGAGGGAGAGGTGGCATTGATCGACACTGGAAGAAGACATGGGAATCTGAACCACCTTCTCGTGAAACTCAGTTGGACCTTTAGCGTATGCTTCAGTGGGAGCTCTCTCTCTCTCTCTCTTTATTGTTTTTGAGACAGGGTCACCTCTGTCACCCAGGCTGAAGTGCAGTGGTGTGATCATGGCTCACTGCAGCCTCGACTTTCCAGGGAGATCTCTTATGTCCCACTTCCTTCTGATGTTTGAGTGCTTCTGGGCTATGCAGAGGATGCAGGCATCCTCTGCATCTTTTTAACATGAGCACAACAGACCACCTCATACCCATTAAGATGGCTGCTATAAAAAAAAAAAAAACTAAAACCAAAAATCCTCCAGAAAATAACATGTATTTGTGATGAAGCAGAGAAATTGGAACACTTCTGCACTGTTAGTGGGAAGGTAAAATGCTGCAACCACCATGAAAAACAGTGTAAGATTTCCTCAAAAAACTAAAAATGGAATTACCATATGACCCAGCAATTCCATGTCGGGGTGTATATTCAAAAGAATTGAAAGCAGGTGTCAGTGAGATTTCTGCACACCCATGTTCATAGCAGGATTATTCACAATAGCCAAAATGTACAAGCAACCCAACTGTCCACTGGAGAATGAATGGATAAACAAAATGTGCTCTATCCACACAATGGAATATTATTCAGCCTTCAAGAGGCAAACAATTCTGACATATGCTACAACATGGATGCATCTTAAGAAAATTGTGCCAAGTGAAATAAGCCATTCACAAAAGGACAAATACTATATGATCATACGGTATTTATGTGAGGTACCTAGAGTTGTCATATTCATAGTAATAGAAAGTAGAAGGATGATTGCCAGGGGCCAAGGGTAGGGAAAAATCAGGAGTTATCGTTGTGTGGGTACAGAGTTTCAGCTTCGCAAGATGAAAAGCGTTCTGGAGATGGATAGTGGTGATGATTGCACAACAATGTAAATACGGTTAACACCACTGAACAATACACTTAAAATGGTTAAAATGGTAAATTTTATGTATATTTTACCATATTTTGAAGTACCTTAAAAGTTAACACAAGGGCGCTGTATGGCTGTGGTGGGCCATGCAGTAACCAACCATGAGTCTTCAATTAGAGCTTGCAAGAGGCTCCATACCAACCTCTATCTGCTGCAGTCACCTTGAGTATATCTGGATCTGCTGAGGTCAAAAGGCCACTGTGGTAGATCCGTATCCACTACAACCCAAACCAGCTGGAGAGCCTTTTTGTGCTCTGGGCCCTGTGCAGAGCTGGTAGCCTTTCTGGATAGCTCAGGAATAGGTTACATCATATATTAGTAGGGGTGCAAAGTGAAGCAACTTGCCTTTCACTTTGGAGAGGCTATTTTAACATGCTCCAGACTACTGCAGATCTCTAGAAATTCACTGAGATGTCAGGACCCTGAACTTTCCCAGAGTGCATCTCCCACCCTCTGATATGCATGTGCCTTAGTTAGACATCTACCACTTTCAGTTCAACAGGTCCAATCAGCATGTTATTATCAATGTAGTGGACCGTGTAGTAGCCTTAGCATAATGTACTGATCAAGGTCCTCGTGGAAAAGTTGTGACAGATGAAAATAAACTGCTTATGATCATCTCTGCTCATTGAAATGAACAGACAAGAGTTACTTTGGAAGAACTGCATCTGGTGGGAATGTTCAAATGAATTTTGACATGAACCTCAAAGAATTTGATAGACGTGGAACAGCATGAGCGAAGACATAGAAATAATTTGCAAGTGCAGGATATAGAAAGGGATTGGTTGACTAATTGATACATTTAAAAGTATGTATCTAGGCTGCGTGCAGAGGCTCGCACCTGTAATCCCAGCACTTTGGGAGGCTGAGGGGGGAGGATCATGAGGTCAGGAGATCGAGACCATCCTGGCTAACACGGTGAAACCCTGTCTCTACTAAAAATACAAAAAAAAAAAAAAAAAAAAATTAGCCGGGCGTGGTGGCGGGCGCCTGTAGTCCGGCTACTGGGAAGGCTGAGGCAGGAGAATGGTGTGAACCCAGGAGGTGGAGCTTGCAGTGAGCTGAGATCGCACCACTGCACTCCAGCCTGGGCGACAGAGCGAGACTCCATCTCAAAAAAACAAAAAAACAAAAAAAACAGTATTGAGCACCTACTAAATGCCAGTGACTTACTTGGCTGAGTTTGTAAAAGACAGCAGTCTGAGCCTTAAAGGACAGAGTAAGGAAATAATTCACAAGGCAATTATAAACCACTTGAAGGTTTTTAAGCTGGAGAGTGATATGGTTAGGGTGGTTTTCATGAAGATTAATCTGGCAGCAGAGGCTAATATTCCAGCCAGGAAGAAGCAATATGTTATGACCTAGAGTCTGAACTAGAGCTGAACTAGAGGATCTGAACTAGAGTCATGACAGTGAAAAAGGAAGAGAAGGATGGGATGGAGAAATGCTGTAGAAGAGGAAAATGCATCTGCCCTGATATGGAGGCCAGTAGGAGAGATGAGCCAAAAACAACTCCAAGGCTTTGAGCTTGAGTAATTGAGATCAATGAAAGAAATAATGAAATCGAGAGGAGGAGTTGGTAGTAGGCAAGAGATAATAATAAGGCTGATATTATTACACTGAAACACCTTGAGGGCAGGGACTGTGATTGTTTTGATCATACTTTTGTCCGCAGTGCTTGGCATTAGATGAACACTCAATAAATATTTGTCATGTAAAATGTCTTATGCTCAATTTCAGTAAATTGACACGTCCACCCTTAACAAGGAAGTATAATGATCCCTCATTTTTGCTATTAATTCTATTTTCATTTTGACCTACCTAAGGCATGTATAAAAATATAGGAAATACTATGATGAATACCCATATATATGCCAACTACTCAACCTGAGGAACAGATTTTTTTTTTTTACAGATATTATCGCTACAGATATTATCTGTCTTAGTCCATTCAGGCTGCTGTAACAAAATACCATAAGCAGAATGGCTTATAAAGAATAGGAATTTATTTATCATGGTTCTGGAGGCTGGGAAGTCCAAAATCAAGGTGCTGGCCAATTCAGTGTCTGATGAGAGCCTGCTTCTGGATTCATAGACGGCTGTCTTTTCACTGTAGCTTCACATGGTGGAAGATGTAAGAGGTTTTTCTCAGGCCTCTTTTTAGAAGGGCACTCATCTCATTCATGAGGGCAGTTTAGTGAATCCCAAAGACCCCACCCCCCAAAGGTCTCATCTCTTAATATCATCATCTTGGCACTTAACATTTTAACATTTGCATTTTGGGGAAACACAAACACTCAGACCACGGCATTTTTATTGTCCGCATCCCTCCTGAAGGTTCCACTTCCCAAAGGTCCCATCTCCTGATACCATCCACTTGGTTGTTAGGATTTCAACATACGCATTTTGGGGAGACGCAAACATAGCATTATCATTATTCCATCTTATAGGCAAGAAGCTTAAAACTGAGAGTGGTTAAATAACTTGGTTCAGGTCACACAGCTAACACGTGCCAGAGTCGTGATTTGAATATAGGTCTTTCTGCCTTCAGAACCCATGTTTTTCACTTTATCTGGTTTGTGACATTAGGGTTATTGATGGGACATCCAAGTAGAGGTACTCAGCAGGTAGACAGAAATATAATATGGCTTGTAGGAAGAGAATCCAGGACTGGAAATACTGATACAGGAATTATCTGCATCCAAGTGATGGTTGAAAGGATAGAAGTGGGAAGGGAATAAGAAAATAAGTGTCCTGGGTGCATGTGGTGACTCACGCCTGCAATCCCAGCACTTTGAGAGGCCGAGGTGGGTGGATCACTTGAGGTCAGCAGTTCGAGACCAGCCTGGCCAACATGGTGTAAACCTGTCTCTACTAAAAAATACAAAGATTAGCTAGGCATGGTGGCAGATGCCTGTAATCCAGCTACTCGGGAAGCTGAGGCACAGAATTGCTTGAACCTGAGAGGCAGAGTTTGCAGTAAGATGACATTGTGCCCCTGCACTCTAGCCTGGGCAACAGTGAGATTCATCTCAAAAAAAAAAAAAAAAAAAAAAAAAAAAAAAAGGAAATGAAATAAGTGTTCTGAAGACACAGTCTTGAACTTGAGTTGTATGCCTTCCTGAAGGCAGAACAAAATACAGGAGACTACTTTGCTGTTTTAATTATTTTTAAATGTTAAAATATTTTATTATAAAAGGTTTTATTCTTATATGTAATCAACATATAATTGCACATATTTATGGGATACAGTGTGATATTTTGATACACATATACACTGTGTAATGAGCTAATCAGGGTAATTAGCATATCCATCACCTCAAACATTGATCATTTCTTTGTGGTGAGAACATTCAAAGTCCTCTTTTCTAGTTATTTTCAGATATACAATAAAATATTGTTAACTATAGTCACCATACTATGGAATAAAACACCAGAACTTATTCTTTCCATCTAACTGTAATTTTGTACTCACTGACCCATCTCTTCACATACCCACCTCTCCCCGATTTTCCCTAGCCTCTGGTAGCCAGTATTTTACTCTGGACGCCCATGAGATCAGCTTTTTAAGATTCCACAAATGAGTGGGATCACACGGTATGGGTCTTTCTGTGCCTTGCTTATTTCACTTATAATGTCCTCAAGGTTCATCCATATTGTCACAAATGACAGGGTTTCATTCTTTGTGGCTGGATAGTATTACACTATGTATCTCTACAAAATGTTCTTTATCTATTCATCCATTGATGGACAGTTAGGTTGATTTCATATTTGGCCATTGTGAATAGTGCTGCAATAAACATGGGAGTGCAGATATTTCTTCAACATAGTGATTTCATTTCCTTTGGATAAATACCCACTGGTGAGATTGCTGGATCGTACGGTAGCTCTATTTTTCATTTTTTGAGGAAGCTCTATACTGTTTTCTATAATGGCTGTACTAATTTACAGTCCTGCCAACAGTGCATAAGGGTTCCCATTTCTTTGCCTCCTTGCCAGCATTAGTTATTGTTAGTCTTTTTGATCATAGTCAGTCTAATTGGGGTGAGGTGATAGCTCACTGTGGTTTTGATTTGCATTTTCCTAATCATTAGTGATACTGAGTATTTTTTCATAGACCTGTTAGTCATTTGTAGGTCTCATATTGAGAAATCTCTGTTCAGTTTTTTTTGCCCATTTTTAAATCAGACTATTTGGTTTTTCTGCTGTTGAGTTGTTTGAATTCCTTTTATATTCTGGATATTAACCCCTTGGCAAATGCGTAGTTTGCAAATATTTTCTCCCCTTGTGTAGGCTGTCTCTTTACTCTGTCGTTTCCTTTATTGTATAGAAGCTTTTAAATTTAATGTAATCCCATTTGTCTCTTTCTGCCTTTGCTGCCTATGCTTTTGAGTTCTTATCCCAAAAATCCTCGCCAAGACCAATGTCTTGAAGAGTTTCCCCTATGTTTTATTCCAGCAGTTTCACAGTTTTGGGAGGAGGCTATTTTAAAGCCTTGACTGTTCACAGAGTAAACACTCTTTTCATGCTGCCCTAGAATTTCCCTTTTGGCTGCTAGAAAAAGGGCAGAGCTGACTGCAATCCACTGAGTGCTTTTCCTCCACATCTTTGTTATAGGGCAAGGCCAACAGAGACATTGATACATTGCATCATTGAGTTCATAAAAATCCTGAAGAGAGGCCGCTTTTACTTTTTGCCAGGCAGAACCCCAAATGCAGCTCTGACCCTATCATACTGAGTGACTCCAGATGAGGCTGAGTTTATTCAGAGATGTGTTCCCTCCTCCACTTATAATATGGTCCATTTGGGTTTAATTACGCTGAATAGGATCGTATTGAGTTTGTAATAATTAGCAATACCATCCCTAAGGAAACAGGGTTTGGTCTCACTGCCAAATCAGAAGTTTGCCTTGCCTCAAGAGAAATATAAGTATTCTGGAAAAAGTCTTGCAAGTGTTTTTGATAAGAATTCAAATCTCCTCAGGCCATTGAATATCACAGGATTTTGGGAAAATGCCCAGTTAAAATCAAGGTTGTATTTTAAAATTCTGTTAGCAAAAGTATTTGCAACTGAATTATCTATGTGATAAAAGTTGCATAAGAAGAATTCTCTAGAAGACGTTTGGTAACTTGCAATCAAGTAGTTTAGGTCTTGCTTATGGTTAGGTGTCCCTAGAGATCTTTAAAGGCATTACCAACTCCCTCTTTAAAAAAATCACAAACACAAAGGTAGAGACAGTGCATTATTTTGACTCTCAAATTCCCTTTCCACTTCAACATAGTATAGGCTAGGCTCAATTCAGCGTTAAAGTTCAGTGGCTTTATGTGACAACAACAACGAAAGTGTTCTTTTCACTTCCAAAAGAATCAGCTGTGGCTTTCCAGAGTAGTTCTTCTAATAATGTAAACTAATGGTAAACTTGTTCTAATTGCCTCCCAAAGCAGTAGGAGGATGAAATGGTAGAAGACCTGTGAAAGAGGGATCTGGAATTTTAAAAATAAATTCAACACCGTATTAATTATTTGCTGGAAGGCTGCAATGTGTCCAGGTATTAGATAAAAAAACGGTAAGCAGAGTCTCTACGGAAAAAAAAAAAAAATCACAATCCAGCCTGAAAGATGAGTAAGAGCGAGGAAAAAATTGAACAGAACTATGTAGAATTCTATAAAATTTCACTTATGGTGGAGCATTGTACTCTTAGGGCTGCAAGAAAAAAAAAATGGAGGGCGTTCTTCCTCTCTTTGGCTTTTCCCAAGAGGCCTAACGCTAACAATGGCACCAACTACTGTTAATACCATCAATAGGGAAATGGTACCGCATAATGGATGCTTTGTATCTCTATCTCTCAGTTCAGTTGGAGCTAAATAAAGAGGGCAAATGAGCACCCAACACTGTGCCAGGGGAAAAGTGTCGCCTGCAACAGTGAAGTCGCAGGTGGATGTGAGATGCCTGACTTAGGAGCGCGCTTACCAAGGCGCTAACACTGCTGCTATTATTTCCACCCGCACCCCGAGCGCTATGCCGGCCGCGCCTGGGATGAAACACACACATTGAGCCTACAAGACCGTCCTGGGTCTAGAGTGTCTGTGGCAGCCTTCTTTTCTGCCCCACCCTGAAATCCTAGCTATCCCAGGACGCCCTAGAAGGAAGCCCAGGGACGGTGTGGAGCAGCCTGTACTCCCCATCTCTCTTCCAGGAGGCCACACCCAAAACAAGGCCCTCTTTGTGTCTCGGAGAACAGTGGCCGTATAGTGCTCCGCCGGCTGCCCCTGTTAAGAGAGAGCGAGCAGCCCTCGCCCCGGCAACCCCAGGCAGAGGCGCGTCGCGGCGGCGGCGCAGGTGGGCGCAGGCGCGGAGGTGGGCTCTCTAGGGCCGCGCGGGAGCCCCGGGTCCGCACGCCGCGCGCGGAACACCTGGGGGCGGAGCCAAGACCGCGTCCCGCCCACTCCCGGGCGCGAAGCCCCCTCCCCGCGCCCCTCCCATCGCGCCGCAGAGGCGCGCAGGTGCGTGAGGCCGCGCCCGCCCGGGACCCTGCAGACGTGGGCCAGCCATGGAGCACATCCGTACGCCCAAGGTTGGTGACACCAGCGCGGGCGGAGGAGGGACGGGAGGAGATGGGGGAGGAGGAGGAGGGATGCTGAGCGCGCGGGAGGCCGACTGCTTTGAGGGGCACCGGCGGAGCCTGGACCGCGGGCGAGGGAGGAGCAGGCATTGCCTGAGCATCCCGGGGTGCCTGCGAGCCCGGTCGTTCTCTTGCTGCCTCCCAGGCCTAGCCTTAGCTGCTGCTGGGTCTGACCTCTTGGTTTTGGGGGAGCGCAGTGGACACAAGGGTGAACGGGAGGGAACCTCAGTTGTCTGCTAGTAACTGGGTGTAGATCAACCCTTCTTTCTCCTGGCACGAGGCTTTCTCTTTTAGCTGTTGGCCGCTCAGAGTAGTTGAAAGGGAAATAAGCCTTTCGGTGACAGGTGCAAGGAAAACGAGCTAAATGCAGAGGGACTCCTGCGCTTGGAAGCTTGTTAAATCTAGGGTGTCAGGCCCACCCGGCTCGGCCTTCCCAGTCAGCATCCTCATCCTGAGCGTAGCAGCTGCAAGGGGCCTTACACAGAACGGATAATCAATATTCATTGTAGGTTGAATGATGGTGTGTTCTTGCCTTTTCCAGTCCGTTTTGTTCGTTAGAGAAAAGGATGCAGCTTACGGATTCGTCACGCACTGTTGTGTTTTAACAACACCAGCTTTTGCTAATTAACAAAAGCAAATGGTCCCTGATCACTCCAGTAAATTAACATTGGAAACGTTGATCGCTGTACCAAATCTTCCTCCTCAGTTGTACTGATAATCTAATTTAGAATGAAAATGATGATCGACGTTACTGCATGATAAAAACCCTAAACGAGTGAAAGAATATGCTTAAAAACCCTATTGGCTGTCTGTTGTTACTACCACCACAGCTCCTTGCGTTTTTGCAGGATGAACTTCCATTCAAAATGTAGGCCCCTGACAGGTCAAAGCTAGGTCAGAGTGGCCATAGCTCAGGTGGTTCCAGGGATCCCACACATTTAAGAGGGGTGGGGGCAATTGCTTTATGGCCAGCAAGAATTGATTCCTAAATTTTGGAATAGTTCCTGAGTACCTTTTTGTAAAAGCAGATTAAAATGATCTCATGTCATTGGAAGAAGAAATCTTTTAGTTTGCTGGAGAATGTCAGTTCCGACAGTAAATTTAAATTGTATTGATTTTGCACTAGGGAATTAAGTTGTCGCTTCACAATCATGAAATTGTAAACTTAGAAGACAATGCTACAAACCACAGAATAGGTGGCTCAAAGCTTTCAGAGTTTAAGTGGTACTAAATAATTTATTCCAGAAGGGTGAATTTAACTCATGGACTCTGCCCTTGCCAAGGGCATTCTTCCTCCTTCCATGATGAAGGGAGCCGTTTGTAAAAGTGATAGCTGTTGTGGATATTGATAGCAAGAATGATACAGTGACATGGCAGTGGATGCCACTTTGTTAGAGAATATGAATTTGGGGGAGTCAAGGCCTTTTCTGTTCTATATACAAAGCCACCTGGTACAAAGTCACGTGTGAACCTGAGTTGCAAGCAGTGTTCTTACTCTTAAAATTGGTGTTTATGGATACCCTCTAAGCAGTGCAGTACTTGAAGTCAGAAATCCTTATTTATCTGGAAATGGAAACAAATTGGGGGAAAATGGAAAATTGTCTGAAGTGTTACTGAATTGGGTGAGTCATTAACATTTGGGATAAAGCTGGTGAAAAAAATAAGAAATTACAGAGGTTGGATGGATCGGATTCATTTATTCATTTATTTTATTCTACAAGCATTTAGAACCTTTCATGTGCCAGGCTCTGTGTTAAGTGCTGGAAGCGTCCAGGAACTCACAATCTCTAAGGGGAGGCAGTTGTAAATATGTCAGTGTATGATAGAGACATGTGCAAGGTGCAGTGGGTAGAGAGGGAGACTGAAGAGAGGATCAGCTCTGCCCTCAAGGTCAAGGGAAGCCTTCTTAGAAGAGCCGTCTTAACATGGAAGGACTTAAGGAGGACTAGGAGCATTTTCAACAGTGGTCATGTACTTGTATAAATATATATTGTAATAAATAATTACAACCCTAAAGAAACTGAAAACAATAACAATGGTCAAAGATAAATGATTCCTTGAGGTTAAATAACATCCTCCTTTTGTTTTACATTTTTAAGGGCAAAATTAATTTTCACAGTCTAAATGAAAAAGAGAACAACATTACTTACAGAGCTTGCAGAGTTAAATATATAATTGTTACTGGTCATATTCATCTTTATTATTTGCTTCCATTATACTTGGTGAAACTATAGGTAAATTTCCTTCGATTTCATGGTTTCATGTCTTGGGTTTGCAAGGAGTGTATACAAAGTTTGTTTTTCTGGCCCACTGTGGGTTTATAGCAATATTTACTGTGTGGGTAGTAGAGTTTTAAGAGGAAAAGAATTGTATGCATGTATAATGTACAGTTGCTTTTCTGTTACAATGGAAGTCATTCACTCGCTGTAGACTGTGTAATATCCATGACAGCCTCTGTGTTCTGCTTTAGTCTCTGGAGTGCAGTTTAAGGAGACAGATGCACGTGCATAATCTGGAATGCTTTGCACATATTTCTTTCTAGGGGTGCATGTATGTTTAACTGAAGCCTTTAACAGAGCATATGCTAAGCAGAGTGCTTCCCTTCCAGAATGGTTCCTCTAGAGGGGAAAAAAAAGTTCCAAGGACAGGCTGGTTTGCAGTTGGGTTAAAGGGGGGACACCAAGTATTACCTGTACTCATCCCAGTGAACTTCTAGGTTTCTACTTCACTGTCTGGGTTTCCTTACCACTCTGAAAACTTGCTGGAAGCTTAGGCATAATTTGGGTTCAAGTGCTGCTTAATTAAATGAAAAGACTTCAGGGCTCCTGGAAGTAGCTTGAAGTGTTTGTAGGATTTAGTTTGGTACTAGATTGAGGCAAATGTGTCCAGGATCCTGGTAAGTGATTTCTACTTTATATGCTTTGGTCTTTCTGGAAGGCATTTTTCCCACATGTGTAAATTTGAGTTATGAAATAGAATACGTGATAACCTCCAAAACAGACCTTGCAAATGTCTTCTCTTCCTTGGTACACCTACCCCCTAGTCTGACCCTGACTGGTCTCCTGATTTATTTTTTTTTGCTCTTTTCTAATCCCTTTCTCACAGAGGGGCCTGGATGATGCTTTTATGTCTCAAATTGATCATGCTACTTCCCTGCTAAGTTTCCTAGGTGGCTTCCCTTTGTACCCAGGATATAAAGTGAGAATCCTCAGAACTGCTCGTAAGGCCCTTTGTAGACTGAGCCCTTCCTACTTCTCCAGCCTCGTTTTGTGACAATCATCTTCTTATCCACAACCCTCTGATCACAACTTGTCTTCACAGAGTTCTCCAGTGGGACCAGTTCTTTTCTGCCTCGGGACTTTTGCACTGCTGTTCCATCTGGGGGACGTTAGTTCTCACTCTTCACCTGGCTAAATACCTCATCTTTCTAGTTTCAAATTGTGATTTCTCAGGCTGTTGTCCAACTCCCCCATCTAAATCAGATCTGCCTGTTGTATTTTATCATAACACCTTGTGTTTTCCCCTTAGGTTCCTCATTACAATTGTTAAATTTATTTGAGTTATGTTCATTTAATGTCAAGCTCCCCTGCTTGATGGAAGTCCTGTAATGGTAGGGATTATATTTTGTTCACCCTTTGTATCTATAGCACCTAACACAGTGCTTGGGACCAACTAAGCATGCAGTAAATAAATTCAGAATTGAATTAGTGAAGAATGCATAATTAATTCATTACTTTTTGTTTGTTTGTTTGTTTTTGAGGCCGAGTCTTGCTCTGTGGCCCAGGCTGGAGTGCACTGGTGTGATCTTGGCTCACTGAAACTTGACTCCATCTCCTGGGTTCAGGTGATTCTCCTGCCTCAGCCTCCCGAGTAGCTGGGGCTACAAGCACGTGCCGCTACACCTAGGTAATTTTTAGATTTTTAGTAGAGACAGGGGTTTCACTATGTTGGCCAGACTGGTCTTGAACTCCTGACCTCAGGTGATCCACTTGCCTTGGCCTCCCAAAGTGCTGGGATTGCAGGTTTGAGCCACTGTGCCCAGCCTCATTACTTTATTTTTAAGAATTTGCTTTATTAATCCAGGCCTCTTGTGCATTGTACAGTTGTATACAATACTACTTGACAGTGTTGTGGATCTTATAGTATTAGTGTGAAATATTTGTGGATGTCAGTGTATCTGACATAATATGTGAGATATATATGAAACATATTTTGCAATTATATATATTTAATGAGATAAAATTCAAATAATGTAAAATTCACCATTTTTATTAAAATGCACAATTCAGTGGTTTTAGTATATTTACATATTGTGCAGACATCACCACCATCTGGTTCTAGAACACTTTTGTCACCCCCAAAAGAAATCCATTAGTAGTTAGCCCATTAGTAGTTAAACTTGATGATGCCCATCAAGTTACCCATTAGTAGTTAGGCTTGATGATAATATCTTATACTTCTCTACGTTGAATATTATCTCATTGAATTTAGACTTTTGCTCATCTCTTACTCTTTTTTGGATGCTGATACACATCTGCTGTTCCTGTCAGTTTGGTACCATCCACTATTTAATCAGCTTGCTTTCTGTTACCTCATTCATTGTCTTATCCAAGAGCAGAAGTGACTTCTTAAGCCACTTGCCCCCATCTCTCAGGATCTTGATCCTAATAGCAGATTCAGTAGTTCTCTCAGTTTGATGTCATCTAGCAGTTGATAAGTTTGTCCTTCATCACGTCGCCAAAGAGCTCATCAAAGAAAGAAAGGAAGTCTTCTGAAATAATGACGGTGAATCCATGATGTTCTTTTTTTTTTTTTTTTTTTTTTTGAGACGGAGTCTCGCTCTGTCGCCCAGGCCGGACTGTGGACTGCAGTGGCGCAATCTCGGCTCACTGCAAGCTCCGCCTCCCGGGTTCACGCCATTCTCCTGCCTCAGCCTCCCAAGTAGGTGGGACTACAGGCGCCCGCCACTACGCCCGGCTAATTTTTGTATTTTTAGTAGAGACGGGGTTTCACCGTTTTAGCCGGGATGGTCTCGATCTCCTGACCTCGTGGTCCGCCCGCCTCGGCCTCCCAAAGTGCTGGGATTACAGGCGTGAGCCACCGCGCCCGGCCTCTCCATGATGTTCTTGCTGATTGATGGTTTCCACTTTTTAGGTTCATACAAAGGTCCATTAAATAACTCATTTTAGAACCCTGCCAGAATTAGTGTTGAACTCAACAACTTATAATTATACAATTCTGTTTTCACCGTGGGCAAATAGTGATCTCATTTTCAAGTTCTGTCTGTGATAGACGGACATCAGCAGATCCATGAGGTTTGCCTTCTCTTGATCATTCACTGTCAGTATACTGTCAGCTCCAAGGGTTATCTCTTCTTTTATCTTCCTTTAGCAAATAATAATTTTCTGGTTATAAAAGTAATATGGACTACATGTAGAAATTAGCCACTTTTAATATTTGGGTACATTTTCTTCTGGTGTTTTTTTTCTTTGCGTGCACTAAACATTGTTTGCTTAGAAATTTAGGATCACCCAGTTCAATTTTGTAGTTTGCTTCTTTAAACGTACCATATTTCAGTGTTCAAAACATACTTTTAGAAGGTTATGTGGGGCTTTTTTTTTTAATCCTATGGAAATGTCATTATATTTACCACTTCCCCATTTTAGGGCTATTATAATAATGTCCTGATGAACATCTCATTATTATCTGCATGTGATTTCTTCCCTAGAATAGAACCCTAGATGGAATTACTGTGTCAAAGAAGATGAATAGTTTTATAGTTGGTATATATTACCAAATGACTTTCCGAAAACGTTATGTCATTTAACACTTTCATTAATAGAATATAGACTATGTTTCTTACTATACCATTCCATTGCTTTCTTATTTAAGGTTATTTTTTGCTAATTTAAAGGGGAGAATAGCACTTCATTCTTTTAGTGTATTTTTTTTTACCAGCGAGGTTGAAGTTTTTCCAAAAATATGTTTACTGACCATTTTGTTACTTTTTGAATTATCTATTTATATTTTCCCCATTTTAATAATGGGTGATTTAGTGTGTGTGTATAGTGTGTGTATTTCAATAGCTTTATTGAAGTATAATTTACCTAGCATAAAATTTACCTTTCTAAAGTATGCAATTTTGTGATTTTTTGGTATATTCACAGAGTTGTACCACCATCATCATTATCTAATTTCAGAACATTTTCATTACTCCAAAGAGAAACACTATACCCATTGGCATTCAGTCTCCATTTCTCCCTCACCCCACCCAAGGTAACCACTAAATATACATTCTGTCTCTATATATGTTTGTTTTTCTGGACATTTTAAATTTAATCATACAATATGTGGCCTTTTGTGACCTCTTCTTTTCACTTAATGTTTTTAAGGTTTGTCTAAGTTGTAGCATGTATCAGTACTTCATTTCGTTTTATCTGTTCTGTGGCTAATCCTGCATTTTGTTTATACATTTATCAGTTGAGGGAGATTTTTTGGCAATTATGAATAATGCTGCTATAAACTTCGGTGATAAGTTTTTGTGTGGACGTATGTTTGTATTTCTCTTGGATAGAATTTCATTTCTCTGAGAACAGAATTTGGTGAATCGTATAGCAACTTTGTGGTTATCATTTTAAGGCACTGCCAAATTGTTTTCCAAAGTGGCTGCACTATTTCAGAACCCCGACAATAATGTGTAAGGGTTCCAGTTTTTCCATATCATCACTGACACTTGTCATTGTTTTTTATTTTAGCCATTCAGGTGGGTGTGAAGTGGTATCTCATCCTGGTTTTGATTTGTGTTTTTCTAATGACTAATGATATTGAGCATGTTTTCGTGTGCTTATCAACCATTTTCCTGTCTTTTTTGGAGAAATGCTTATTCAATTCCTTTGTTTCTTTCTTGAGTTATTTTTATTAAATTATTGGGTTGCAAAATTATGTAATCTGGATACAAATCCTTAGTCAGTTATATGACTTGTAAATGTTTCCTCCCGTTCTGTAGGTTTTCTTTTCACTGTTTTGATGTCTCTTGAAGCACAAGAAGTTTTGAATTTTGATGAAGTCCAACTTATTTTTTCTTTTGTCACTTGTGCTTTTTGTGTCATATCTATGTATATTTTCTAGAAAGCCTTTTTCTGATTATAAAAGTCATACATTACAGAAAATTTAGTTCAAAGGAGCAGAAAGAAAATAGTAATTTTGCATAATTTCAGATATTTGCATAAATCCAGAAATATTTGCATAAATCCAGAAAAAATGCTGTGTATATATTAACATTTTTCTTTACATATATAAAACAGTGTAATTTAAAAGAAAATCATGTCCATTTTCTCTGTGGTGTGTGTGTGTGTGTGTGTGTGTGTGTGTGTGTGTGTGTGTGTATAGTTTTGGGGAATGAGAACCTGTTTTTTAATATGTCAAAATATTTTTCTCATTTTATTAAACCTTCTGAAAAGTGATTTTTTTTTTAACCACATAGTCCACATTATGATGATGACCATACATTATTTAGTGTCTGGAGGCAATTCTCCATGGCCTTTTGCAGTTTTGCACTTTTGTTCTATACTATCTTTTCAAGGATGATTTTATAGTGAACAGCCTTGAAAGAGAGGAATAGCTTCTTCCTTAGTAGCAGAGGGCATATTTATTTGCTGTCCGGGGTAATAAAGATAATGTCATCCTCACAAAGGATTACTTGCATCCTGTTTATGTGATGGGCATTTCTTAAACTCTGAGTCTCTAAAGTTCCTCATCTAGGACTCAGAGCCCTGCTCTGTGCAGCATCCATATGGACTGCTCCATATTGCCCCTTAGACTTGGGAGGGGGAGCGTGGAGAGTCAATATGAAGATAAAGCTTCTCCCTCCTGGTGTACAGGAATACGAATGTCCTTTGTCTCTGACCCAGAAGTCTTGTGTCTTCTGCCAGCATATGAAACACTGGGAGGCTACTTGTTAGGTTGTAAGCAGGTTCAAATTTCAAACACTTCCTAGTTCTTGACAGTGAATCCCCTAGTATTTGATATTTAATTTATCTCTATATTGTCACTATAATAAATAACTGATAGGCTGGGCGCAGTGGCTCACGCCTGTAATCCCAACACTTTGGGAGGCCAAGGCGGACGGATCGTTTGAGGTCAGAAGTTCAGGGCCAGCCTGGCCAACATGGTGAAATCCTGTCTCTACTAATTTACAAACCTGTCTCTACTAATATAAAATACAAAAATTAGCCAGTCATAGCGGCCAGTGCTTGTAATCCTAGCTACTCTGGAGGCTGAGGCAGGAGAATCACTTAAACCTCGGAGGCAGAGGTTGCAGTGAGCTGAGATCGCGCCGCTGCACTCCAGCTTGGGCTACAGAGCAAGACTCCGTCTCAACAAAACAAAACAAAAACAAAACAACAACAAAACAAAACCAACCACCAACAAAAAAACCTGATAAACATCAATGTATTTAAATTGTTGGGTAAGTCTCTATTACCTGAGATTAAGTTTCTCAGGTATCTTTTCTGGTTTCATTTCTATATATATTTTAAAGATTTTTGATGCTGTTTGTATGTTTTCCTCTAGGATTGTGTCTGCTAGTATGGCAGAGGAATACCCTTTAAAAAATTCTTGAGAATTGTAGATGAAGTATGGTTTCTCATCAATTTATGTTTGTTTACTGTTGAGATTGAATTTATTTTTTGCAATTGTTTGTAACAAGAGCAATACAATAATAGTACTGATAGTACTGATAAGATCCATAATATCTATAAGATTCATAGTACCTGGATCTTATTAAGAAAATAATTTGTATATCTAATAGGTACCTCAATTTCACTATGTCCCAAACTGAACTAATTCCCTCTCGCTTCACACCCAATTTTCTCCTCTTGTACTCTTTCCAATCTCGGCGATCCACCGTTCCAGTGCTGGAGCCAATAACTTTGGAGTTATCCTTCAATCCTCTTTTTATCTCCTCCCATATCTATTCCAATAGTAAATCCTCACCTTATCCAGGTTATCCCACCTCCGTTCCTACCACCCTATTCTGAAATACTGTCAACTCTTGCCTGGTCCCCTTTCCATTTTTGCCACTCCCCCACCAGTTTATTTTTGCCAGAGATACTGTTAAATATAATTTGGAGCTTGGACTTCTTTCGTGGGTCTCCTCACACAGAAAGCATCTAAACTGGAAAGGAAACAGTCAAATTATCCTTGTTTGCAGATGATATGATCTTATATTTGGAAAAACCTAAAGACTCCACCAAAAAAAGATTGGAACTGACAAAGAATTCTGTCAAGTTGCAAGATACGAAATCAAAATACAAAAAGCAGTAGCGTTCATGTATGCCAACAGTGAACAATGTGAAAAAGAAATCAAGAGACCAATCCTATTTATAATAGCTACAAATAATATAAAATACCTAGGAAACAATTTAACCTAAGAAGTAAAAGATCTATAAAAGGCAAACTATAAAACGCTGATGAAAGAAATTGAAGAGGACACACAAAAACTGAAAAGATATTCCATGTTCATGGATTGGAAGAATAAATATTGTTAAAATGTCCATACAACCCAAAGCAATCTACAAATTTACAATCCTTATCAAAATGCCAATGCCATTCTTGACAGAAATAGAAAAAATCATAAAAGTTACATAGAGTAACAAAAGACCCAGAATAGCCAAATGTATTCTGTGCAAAAAGAACAAAACTGGAGGAATCACATACCTGACTTCAAATTATACTACAGAGCTACCGTAACCAAAACAGTATGGTATTGGCATAAAAACAGAGACATAGACCGCTGGAACAGAAAAAGAAACCCAGAAACAAATCCACACACCTACAGTGGACTTGTTTTCGAAAATAGTGCCAATGACATATATTGGGAAAAAGACAGTCTCTTCAATAAATGGTGCTTAGAAAACTGGATATCCATATGCAGAAGAATGAAACTAGACCCATATATCTTGCCCTACCAAGTTAAAAAGCTTCTTCACAGCAAAGGAAACAACCAACAAAGCAAAGAGACAACCCACAGAATGGGAGAAAATATTTGTAAACTATCCATCTGACAAGGGAGTAATAACCAGAATATATAAGGGGCTCAAACAACTCTATAGGAAAAAAAATCTAATAATCTGATTTAAAAATAGACAAAATTTCTAAATAGACATTTCTCAAAGGAAGACATACAAATGGCAGGCAGGTATATGAAAAGGTGCTCAACATCAGGAACCATCAGAGAAGTGAAAATCAAAAGTACAGTGAGATACTGTATCACCCCAGTTAAAATGGCTTTTATCCAGAAGACAGGCAATAACAAATGCTGGCAAGGATAAGAAGAAAAGGGAACTCTCATGCACTGTTGGTGGGAATGTAAATTAGTACAATCACTATGGAGAACTGTTTGGAGGTTCCTCAAAAAACTAAAAACAGAGCTAAAATACAATCCAGCAAGCCCACTACTGGTTATATATGAGTATGTCCAAGAGATACCTGTGCTCCCATGCTTATGGCAGCATTATTCACAGAAGTCGAGATTTGGAAGCAAACTAAGTGGCCATCAACAGACGAATGTATAAAGAAAACGTAGTACATATATACAATGGAGTACTATTCAGGCATAAAAAAGGAGGAGATCCCGTCATTTGCAGCAACATGGATGGGACTGAAGGTCATTGTGCTAAGTGAAAGAAGCCAGCTACAGAAAGACAAACTTCACATATTCTCGCTTATTTGTGGGAGCTAAAAATTAAAACAATTGAACACATGGAGACAGAGGGTAGAAGGATGGTTATCAGAGGCTGGGGAAGGTAGTGGGGTCTGGGGCAGGTGAGGGCGGATAGTGGCAATTGTTAACGGCTACAGAAAGTAGTTAGAAAGAATGAGTAAGACCTAGTATTTGATAGCACAACAGGGTGAATAATAATTTAATAAATAATAATAATTTAGCATTTTAAAGTAACTAAAAGAGTATAACTGGATTGTTTGTAACACAAAGAATAAACGTTTCAGGAGCTAGATACCCCATTTACCATGATGTGATTATTACACAACGCATGCCTGTATCAAAGTATCTCACATACTCCATAAATATATAGACCTACTATGTGCTCAGAAAAGTTAAAAAAATTTTTAAAAATAATTTTCCAGAATTTTATTGATAGACTGAATTTATTATGTCTTGTTTATATCAGACTACTTTCAAAAGAATTTGAGACCTTTGTAAAGTATACATGATTTAAAAAATAACCCTATAAAATATGTTTTGTATTGTCATTCCATAGTTCCTTAAGATAAGGTACTTATCCATAAGATCCATAATATGCATAAGATTCATAGTACCTGGATCTTATTAAAATAATTTGTATATCTAATAGGTACCTCAATTTCACTATGTCCCAAACTGAGCTGATTCCCTCTCGTCTCACACCCAATTTTCTCCTCTTGTGCTCTTTCCAATCTTGGCATTTCACCCTTCCAGTGCTGGAGCCAATAACTTTGGAGTTACCCTTCACTCCTCTTTTTCTCTCCTTCCATATCTATGCCAATAGTAAATCCTCAGCACTCTACTTTTAAAATATATCCAGGTTATCGCACCTCCATTCCTACCACCCTGTTCTGAAATACTATCAACTCTTTCCTGGTCCCCTTTTCATTTTTGCCGCTCCCCCACCAGTTTATTTTTGCCAGAGATACTGTTAAATATAATTTGGAGCTTGGACTTCTTTCGTGGGTCTCCTCACACCCAGAGGGAAATTCTATACCTTATCTGCCCCTTCTCCCTCTCAAATCTCATTTCCCACAACTACCCCACTCCCTGTTCTTGGACCTCACTGCTTGACCACTACTCCCTGGATACCCAGGCACACTCCTTTTTCAACACCTTTGCACGAGATGTTTCCTGTGCCTGGAACTTGCTTTCCTTAGATGTGCAGATGGTTTGCTCCCACACTTTTTTAGATCTTTGCTCAAATGTTATTTTATCAAGAAAGCCAATTTATCATCACATATAAAATAACAATCCTAACTCACCTCAACCAACATACTTTACCTCTTTATATTTTTCTCCATAGCATTTTTTCTGTAACATACATACACACCTACACACATACACATACCACACACATGCATACATTCCGTATCCCCCGAATTGCAAAGGTACCTGGCAGCTAGCTGCATTTATATACAACACTGAATGAATGAATATGGATTATTAGGTTCTATAACAGACCGTGTGTTCTGTACACCCAAGCCTCCATGCAAGACCACCAGACTTCAACTTTTGCTAGACCTGTTAAAAGTGAGGATTTCATGAAATGTGGGCGATTTTTGAGGAATGTTTAATCACAACTTCTGTGATTACTTGGCTTAGACAATCTATTCTTACTTGGAAAACTTAAAAAAGAAATACTGCCACATCTACACTTTTAAGTGGATTGCTTCATTCCAGCAAACTTATCTTATCAGCCTTGTCTTTTGAGTAAGAGCGTATTTGATTACAGTGACTACCTCCTCAACAGCTGTTAAATATTGTGCAATAAAAGTCTGACAATTAGATAAGAATCCATCTTTAAACCGGTCTAAATCAAAACAGTACTGAGGTTTGTTCTTTTGATAAAATCAAATTGCAACGACAAGAAAAACCAAGGGTAACGCTTGATAATGTAGAGGTAGCCCATTACTCTAGAGGCAGGGAAGCACACAGGACTCCAGAGGGCCTGGAGATAGCATTGTAAGGCCGCTGGGATCCTAAACTGCATTTTCTTTCCTGTTCTCAACATCAAAACGCAAAATGGTAGAGTTGTTAAGAACACACACTCTGGGGCCACAATGCCTGGTTTTGAATCCTCACTCTGCCTCTTACAGCTCACTAACTTATTTAACTTTAGTTTCCTCATCTGTGAAATGGGGATAACAACAGTACTCACCTCTTAGGGTGATTTTGAGGTCTAAGCGTCTTAATAAATGTGAATCTAGAATGGTGCCTAGCACAGTAGCTATAGTGTTATTTCAGAATTTTCTTTTATCAGTACTATCGGTACTATTGTTGTATTGCTCTTGTTATAAATAATTGCAAAAAATAAATTCAATCTCAACAGTAAACAAATAAACATAAATTGATGAGAAACCATACTTCATCTATAATTCTCAAGAATTTTTTAAAGGGTATTCCTCTGCCATAATAGCAGATACAATCCTAGAGAAAAGCATACAAACAGCATCAAAAATCTTTAAAATGTATATAGAAATGGAACCAGAAAAGATACCTGAGAAATTTAATCTCAGGTGATAGAGATTTACACAACAATTTAGATACATGGATGTTTATCAGTTTTTTGGTTTTTTTTTTTTTGAGACAGAGTCTTGCTCCATTGTATATATGTACTATGTTTTCTTTATACATTTGTCTGTTGATGGCCACTTAGTTTGCTTCCAAATCTCGACTACTGTGAATAATGCTGCCATAAGCATGGGAGTGCGGATATCTCTTGGCCATACTGATTTCCTTTCAGGTAATGTGATTCCTCCAGTTTTGTTCTTTTTGCACAGAATACATTTGGCTATTCTAGGTCTTTTGTTGTTCTATATAACTTTCAGGATTTTTTCTATTTCTGTCAAGAGTGGCATTGGCATTTTGATAGGGATTGTATTGAATTTGTAGATTACTTTGGGTTGTATGGGCATTTTAACAATATTTATTCTTCCAATCCTTGAACAGGGAATATCTTTCCATTTTTGTGTGTCCTCTTTAATTTCTTTCCTCAGCGTTTTATAGTTTGCCTTTTATAGATCTTTTACTTAAGTTAAATTGTTTCCTAGGTATTTTATATTATTTGTAGCTATTATAAATAGGATTGCTTTCTTGATTTCTTTTTCACATTGTTCACTGTTGGCATACATGAACGCTACTGTTTTTCGTATTTTGATTTCGTATCTTGCAACTTGACAGAATTCTTTGTCATTTTGAATCGTTTTTTGGTGGAGTCTTTAGGTTTTTCCAAATATAAGATCATATCATCTGCAAACAAGGATAATTTGACTTTTTCCTTTCCAGTTTGGATGCTCTTTATTTTTTTTTTCTCTTGTCTGATTGATCTAGCTTGGACTTCTAGTACTATGTTGAATAATTGTAGTGACAATGAGCATGCTTCCTGTGTTCCAGATCGTAGACAAAAGGCTTTCAGTTTTTCCCCATTCAGTATGATACTAGCTGTGAGTCTGTTGTATATGTCTTTTATTATGTTGAGGTATGTTCCTTCTATCCTCAACCCTCGGAAGTTACCAGAGGCTTGCAAATACTATCATCCATTATTTTAAATTGATGATGCCCTAGCTCTGATTGCTTGAGCAAACAGACGTGCAAAAGGAAAACTAATAAAAACTCTACACTTTCACTTCATATCCCCTTCTTTTTAACTTTTTTGTTGCATCTCTTGATGTCTTATTGTACTATGCCTTGAAAAGTTGTAGTTACCATTTTTTATTGGTTCATTTAATCTTTTATTGGTTATTTAATCTTTCTACTTAAGAGTAGTTCACACACCATAGTTCTTTAGGTTGGGACGTTCTTTGTGGTTATCGCTTTGAATACACTTTATATTCCCATTTCTTTCTCTACCTCCTCTTTAAGGCCAGTAACTCTTAGATTTGCCCGTTTGAGGCTTTCTGGATCTTGTAGGCATGCCTCATTGTTTTTTACTCCTTTGTGTTTTGTCCCCTCTGACTGTGTGTTTTCAAATAGCTTGTCTTCAAGCTCACTAATTTTTTTCTTCTACTTGGTCAATTCTGCTATTAAGAGATTCTGATGCATTCTTCAATATAGCAATTGCATTTTTCAACTCCAGAATTTCTGCTTGATGCTTTTTAATTATTTGAATCTATTTGTTAAATTCATCTGGTAGAATTTTGAGTTCCTTCCCTGTGTTAACTTGAATTTCTTTGAGTTTCCTCAACACTGCAATTTTGAATTGTCTGTCTGAAGGGTCACATACCTCTGTTTCTCCAGGATTGTTTCCTGGTGCCTTGGTTCATTTGGTAAAGTCATGTTTTCCTGGATGGTCTTGATGCTTGTGGATGTTTGTTGGTACCTGGGCATTGAAGAGTTAGGTATTTATTGTAGTCTTTGCAGTGTGGGCTTGTTTGTTGTCATATTTATTGGAACCTTCCAGGTATTCAAGAGCCCTCGGGCTTTAAGCGAACGTCGGTGGTGGCCTGCAGAAACCCCATGTTTTGCAGACTCACGGAGGTACTGCCTTGATGGTTTTATATAAGATCCTGAAGAATTATTTGGATTATCAGAGAGATAGTCTTTTTCTCTTCCTTTATTTTCTCCCAAACAAATGTATTCTCTCTTTGCTGAACTATCTGGAGCTGGGAGTGGGGTGACACAAGTACCCCTGTGGCCACCACCACTGGGACTACACTGGGTCAGACTTGAAGCCAGCACAGCACTGGGTCTTGCCCAGGATCCACTGTAACCACTACCTGGCTACTTCCAAAGTTCACTTAAGGCCCTAGGGCTCCACCATTAGCAGGTGGAGAAGCCAGTTAGGCATGTGTCCTTCCCTTCAGGGTGGCGAGTTCCCCCAGGCCCTGGGCAGGTCCAGAGATGTTGTCTGGGAGCCAAGGATTGGAGTCAACATCCTTAAAAACGTACCTCATGTTATATTCTACTGCAGGAAAGCTGGCCCTCAAAACACAAGACAAAGTCTGTCCTGCTCTTCCCTCTCCTTTCTGCAGGCAGAGGAGCCTCTTCCAGTAGCCACCACTACCACTGGTCCATGGGGTTTCTGCAGGCCACCACCGACGTTCGCTTAAAGCCCAAGGGCTCTTCAGTCAGCTTGTGGTGAATTCTGCGAGGCTTGGAGCCCACCCTTCAGGGCATTGAGCTCCCCTCTAGCCTAGGGCAGGTCCAGAAATGATGTCAAGAGCCTTGGCCTGGAATCAGGGACCCCAAGGGACCACGTGATACTCTATCCCGCTATGGCTGAGCTAGTACCTGAGGTGCAAGACAAAGTGCCCTTAACTTTTCCCTCTGTTTTTTTCAAGCACAAGGAGTCTCTCTCCATAGCCTCCACAGCTGCAAATGTGCTGGGCTCCCCTGAAGCCAGCACGCCTCAGTCTCACCCAAGGCCCACTGTGTACTACCTGGGTATCACTGCTCATTATTCAGGGCCCGAGCTCTTTTGTCAGCAGATGATGAATGCCGCTAGGACTGGGTTCTTCTCTTCCATTCGGCAGGTTTCCTTCTGTCCCAAGGTGTGTCTAGAAATGTCATCTGGGAGCTAAGGCCTGGAATGGGGGCCTCACAACTAACTCTGCCTGGTATCTGATCCTTTTGTAGCTGAGTTGTTAATGAAGGTGCAAGACAGTCCTTTTTACTCTTTGCTCTCCTCTCCTCAAGCAGAAGGAAGGAGTCACTTCCAGAGGCACTGCCTGGGGTTGTGAGAGGGGTGGCACAAGCATTCCCTTAGCCACCCCAGCTTGTGTCTCCCTAGGCCACACGCTACCCCAGTCCGCTGACTCTAAAGCCAGCCCAGCATTAGGACTTGACTAGGAGTTGCAGTCCTGTGTCCCGGATTGCCTTTCAGATTTACCGAGGACCTGGGAGCACTTTAGCCTGCAGTAGTGAGGCTTGCCAGAATTCAAGTTCTGACCACTGGGATAGGCAATTTCCCTCTAGCTAAGGCTGGTCCACATACTCCCTGAGCCCAACACATCTTTGCTTTGCTATGGTAGGGCAGCACTGAGTTGAATGCCAAGTCCTCAAGTAGCTATGCTCTCCTTCCCGCAAGTGCACAGATTCTTTTTCCACGTAGGAGAAAGAATCTGTGAACTTAGTCACTACCAGGGGATGGGGGACAGGTTGCCTCGGCAATTCAAGACTGTCTTTGTTACCCTTGTCAGTGCCTCTTTCAGCAATACAAAGTTAAAAGCAGGTACTTTAATAGCTCACCTGATTTTTGGTTCTTATGATGGTGCTTTTTTGTGTGTAGTTGTTAAAACTTGGTGTTCTTGCAGGCAGGATGATCTGTGGAGGCTTCTATTTGGTCATCTCTCTTTCCATCCCCATAGTTTGTCTGGAATTTTTTTTTTTTTATAAACCGTATGTTGGTATGATCAGCCATATCTCCTGATGGATATTATTATATTATTTAACATTGAATATTTTATTCTATATCATGTACATAAATATACTTATTTCCGGTAGTTTAATCTTTGTTCTTTGTCACCTTCCCCTATCATATCTGTTAAGATTGAGGTCATAGACTCTAAATACATTTCCCAGTATGAGAAGAATGTTGTATTTAAAAGTATACTGGATGGCTCCTTTGTAATGTGAAAGATTCTGCTTTGCTTTTTCTGGTTTCTATGCTTAGGTGTTTACATCTGTTTAAAAAAGCAAACAAATATACTTGTATACTTGGATACTTATGTGCAACACCACAGCCAACCCAGTTTAAACAGTGGGCAAAGGACTTGAATAGACATTTCTCCAAAGAAGATATACAAATGGCCAATAAGTACATCAAAAGATAGCCAACATCACCAGCCATTAGGGAAATACAGGTCAGAACCACAATAAGATACCACTTTATACCCATTAGGATGACTATTACTTAAAAAGAAAGAAAGAAAACAACAAGTGTTGGCAAAGGTTGTGGAGAAATTGGAACCCTTGTGCATTGTTGGTGATAATGTAAACTGGTACTGCTGCTGTGGAAAACCCTTTGGTAGTTTCTCAAAAAGTTAAATGTAGAATTATCATATGACTCAGCATTTCCACTCCTGGGTATATACCCCAAAGAATTAAAAACAGGGACACAAACAGATACTGGTATGCCCATGTTCATAGCTGCATTATTCACAATAGCCAAATGGTGGGAACAATCCAAGAGTCCATCAACAAATGAACAGATAAACAGAATATGATATGTACATGCAATGGAATATTATTCAGCCTTGAAAAGGAATGAAGTTCTGATACATGCTACAATATGGGTGAACCTTGAAGACATTGAAGACAAGTGAAATAAGCCAGACAAAAAAAGGACAGATAATGTATGATTCCACTTACATGAGGTATATAGAATTCTTAGAAATGAAAAGTAAAATAAAAGTTATGAGGAACTGAGGGTAGGGGAAAATAAGGGTTTTTGCTTAATAGTTAGAGAGTTTTTGTTTCAGGGGTTGAGAAAGTTTTGGAAATTGATAGTGGTGATGGTTACACAACAGTGAATGTACTTAACGCCACTGAATTATACGCTTAAAATGCTTTAAAGTATATCTTTTATGTGTATTTTGTGACATTTAAAAAAAATACATTTCCTGGCACATAACCACTGCTCAGTAAATACTTACTGACTGAATGAATTTGTCGAATGAACTAATACTTAATTTGGCAAATGTATATCAACTATTAGCATGACAGTGGGTGGCATTGTGGGTCTGATGTCAGACACTCAGTTAAAATTCTTACTCTGCCACGTATATATATTTTTGATTTTGGCATAATTAAAAAACTAACATATTTACATATTATAAAATTCATCATTTAAAAGTATACATTTAAGTAGTTTTTGATGTATTCACAACATTATGTAACCATCACTACTCTCTATGTAATTTCTGAACATTTTCACCACCCCAAAAAGAAACCTGGTATTTACTAGCAGTCATCCCTCCTTTCTCTCTCCCTACACCCTGGACAATCTCTAGAGATTTGCCTATCCAGGACATTTTATATAAATGGAATCATACAATTTATGGTCCGTTGTGACTGGCTTCTTTCAGTTAAGCGTAACTTAAGATTTTCAAGGTTCATCCGTGTTGTAGCATATATCAGTACTTCATTACTTTTTATTGCTGAATAATATTCCATTGCATGGATATACCCCACATTTGTTTATGCATTCATCAGTTGATGGATATTTGAGTTGTTTCTACTTTTTATTGGGAATAGTGCTGCTATGAACATTTATGTATAAATTTCTTTGTGTGTGAAAATATGTTATCAGTTCTCTTGGGTATATACTCAGGAGTGAAATTGTTACATCATATGTTAATGCATGCTTAATCTGTTGAGAGGCTAACAGTTTTCCAAAGAGGCTGCAGCATTTTATATTCCTAACAGTGATGTATGAGGGTTCCAGTATCTCCATATCCTCACCAACACTTGTTGTTATCTCTTGATTATAGCTATCCTAATGGGTGTGAAGCGGTATCTTGTGGTAGTTTGAGTTGCATGTACCTGGTAGCTAATTATGTTGAGCATCTTTTTATGTGCTTATTAGCTATTCATATGTCTTCTTTGGAGAAATATCTGTTAAGATTCTTTGTTCATTTTTTATTTTATTATCTTCAACGTTTGTGTTAAGTCCCAGGTTACATGTGCAAAATGTGCAGGTTTGTTACATTAATAAACGTGTCAGAGTGGTTTGTTGTACAGATCATCTCGTCATCTAGGTATGAAGTCCAGCATCCATTAGCTTTTATTTCTGATGTTCTCCCTCCCCTCGCAACCCCTCTGACAGGCCCCAGTGTGTGTTGTTCCCCATGATGTGTCCACGTGTTCTCATCGTTCAGCTTCCACTTACAAGTGAAAACATGCAATGTTTGGTTTTCTGTTCCTGCATTTGTTTGCTGAGGATGACAGCTTCTAGCTCCTGTTTGTTTTTTAAATTGGGTTATCTGTCTTTTTAATGTTGAGCTGTAAATGTTCTTTATGGATTTGGGGTACTAAATAATTCGATATGTGACTTGCAAATATTTTCTTTCATTCTGTAAGGTGTCTTTCTCATTGTTATCTTTGAAATACAGGTTTTTAATACTAATGAAGTACAATTTATCTATTTTCCTTTGGTTGCTCATACTTTAGGTGCCATATCTAAGAAATTACCTAATCCAAGGTCACAGAGATTTACACTGTTTAGGTCTTTGATCTATGTTGAGTTAATTTTTGTATATGGTGTGAGATAGAGGTCCAAATGCATTGTTTTGCATGTGGAAGTCCAGTTGTCGCAGCAGCATTTATTGAAAGTAATTTTCCTACTCCATTTAATTGTCTTCATACCCTTGTTGAAAATTGATTCTTTATAGATGCTTGGATTTATTTCTGGACTCTCAGTTCTATTCCTTTAATATCTTTGTCTATCCTTAGCCAATACCACACAATCTTGATTATTATAGCTAGGTATATGATCTTGAAAGCTTTGGTTTTCTCACGTATAGCTTGTTAGAGACTAAACAGAATACACTTAAAGCACTAAATAACATGGCACATAGTACATTTTAGCTGTTTTCAAGTTATTTTTATAATCATCCTCATTGCAAAAGGATGTGGCCACAAGTTTGTATGCTGAAAGAACTTCCATGAAATTTGAGAATAAAAAGAATTTTCTAAATCCAAACATTTCATTTGACCTACTCATTCACCTCCCTGCTGCACAATGAGTTTCAATATTTTTTCCTCTGGAGGAACTCTGCAAAGAATGCCTCCCTGTAACCCAACTCTAGTTCACACCCAGACTTTGGAGCATATTGTTCTTTAATAAAAACATTGATCTCGTCAAACACATGGATTTTAGGAAAGGTGTCAAGTTTCGCTCAGGAAGCCTCTGCAGTGGCCTATGAGGCAAAGCCTCAGTGACATCGCCCTAGATTCCTGAAAGAGAGTCTTTTTGGAATGAAAGTATGGAGAAGAAAGTGGGAAACACACTTTGGCTTTTTAGTGGAGGAAAGTAAGAGGGTTACATTTGTGCTGCCATGAAAGCTTTAAAAAGGGATGCAATTTTAAGGCACTGTACACCTTGAAACATTTATATGCTTGTGAGGAATGATAAAGACGTGAAACTGTAACCTCCTATGTAAGTCTACTTGAGCCATTATTTATTTATTTATTAGTAAATTTTGACATTTCCCTATTGAACTCACATTATTAACTGATTAGGTTTGGTTATCACTTCTGTCTTACATCTGGAGGAAAAACAGCATTTGGAATGCTTGTTTTCACAGATGTACATATATTTTCTCATCCTTATTTAAAGCTTATTTTTATTGCTTTTTTTCCCATTCTGAACAGGACAAGCTGTGAAGTACGCTTGAAATTAAACCTCTTGACCAGACACCCAAGATTCCGTGACTTTGTCCGTGTGATGGTTCAGTTTTATATTCTCATACTGCACTCAGAGGGAGTCCAAGAAGCTCATTTTGTACCATATTTCTTAGGCCAGGAAAAGTCTAAACTATTTTTCCTAGTGCCCTTTCCCCTGGTGGACAGCTAGTTGAAGCCTCTGGGAGTAAAAGTACTTCCCAGGACATAAACCCAACCCTTCCTCCCACAACCATTTAAAATGGTTTAAAAATAACCCCCACTTAATGTTTTGTGGCAGGCTATGACAACTTTATAAAAATTGTATGTTTACTTTTCTCCTCTTTTTCATTTATTAAAACACTGCTTATCATAGATTCCCGGAGAAATAAATTTATTGCCAAGCTGTGAAAGTAAATTTTACTCCTTAGGGCCTGTAGCAAAGCACACATTACTTAGAACAAGGTACAGTTGATCTGTGCAAGTTGCGGTGAACTGTTCACCCAGTTTGAGTAGTGGTAGTTTAAGGAAGGGATTCTGCCTTTTAAGCTAAACGGATACATTTAAAGACCCTATTGATGCATATATCCTTTCACTTGTACATTCTGGAAGTATTCCTTGAGTGCTTTCTCTATGCCAGTTTTAGGCCCTGGAGATCCAGTGGTAAATAAGACAGACAGTGGCCCTAGTTTCATGGAACTTACCGTGTAGTAAAGAATTTGTAAAAATTCTTTAGTAAAAAAATAATATTGCAGTTCTTTAAAACAATATATATGTCATCACTGTAAGCTAAGATTTTGGAAAATCTCCCATTTTTAAAAGATTTTTTCCCAGATCCTGCCACCCTCCCCCTGTAAACCTTCCAGTTGCTTCCTACCCTACTCAGAGTGAAAGTCAAAGTCATAACGTTGTCCCGGCAGGCCCTACAAGGTTTGTCCATCTACTGGGCACCTCATCTCCTACTTGTTTCCCCTCACAGATGCTGATCCAGAAGTCCTCACGTCCTCGTAGACCCTTGACCACATCTACCTGTTCCTGCCCAGGGTCTTGTCATTTGTTGTTCCCTCTGCCTGGAATGCTCTCCCCAGATACCCCCATGGCTGGCTTTCTCACTCATTCTGGTTCTCTACTGAAATATCTAATTATGTTATTAGAGAAGACTTCCCTGGGCACCTGATATGGTCTGGCTCTGTGCCCCCACCCAAATCCCATCTTGGATTGTAATCTGAATTGTAATCCCCACGTGTTGGGGGAGGGACCTCACGGGAGGTGACTGGATCACAGGGGTGGTTTCCCCTTACTACTCTGGTAAGCGGTAGTGAGTTCTCATGAGAGCTGATGATTTCATAAGGGGCTCTTCCCCTTTCATTCTGTACTTCTCTCTCCTGCTCCCTTGTGAAGAACGATGTGTTTGCTTCCTCGTCTGCCATGATTGTAAGTTTCCTGAGGCCTCCCCAGCCATGCAGAACTGTGAGTCAATTAAACCTCTTTCCTTTATAAATTACCCAGTCTTGGGTACTATCTTTATAGCAGTATGAGAAGGGACTAATACAGTATCCTGCTGGCCCTCCTCACTCAACTGCTTATCCTGCTTTAATTTCCTCTCTAGGAATCTTCTGGCACACATACGTGGTGATACAGTTCCACCATATCTTATGCCAAATTGTAATCCCCAATGTTAGCGGTTGGGCCTGGTGGGAGATGGTTGCATGATGGGGGTGGATTTCATATGAATGGTTTAGCACCATCGCCTTGGTGCTGCTCTTGTGATAGTGAGTTCTTTTGAGATCTGGTTGTCTAAAAGAGTGTGGCACCTCCTCCCTCACTCTTTCTTGTTCCTGCTCCCACCATGTGAGAAGCTTCACTCCCCCTTTGCCTTACACCATGATTGGAAGCTTCCTGAGGCCTCCCCAGAAGCAAAAGCCGCTCTGCTTCCTGTACAGCCTGCAGAACCACGAGCCGATTAAACCTCTTCTCTTTATAAATTACCCAGTGTCAGTTATTTCTTTATGGCAGTATAAGAACAGGCTAATACATGAGGGATTTCTTTTTTTTTTTTTTTAACATATTCCCTGTTTCCATGCTTTCCCACCTTCAAGCAGAAGGTACAAACTCCATGTGAGCAGTGACTTTATCTTCCCAATTCATGTGCCCCCAGCACTCAGAACACTCTATGTCTGGTACAGAGTAAAGGTGCACAATAAATATTTGTTGTATGAATGGATAAAGGAAACGGTTTAATGTGACTTGGTGTCGAAGCTTCAGTATCTTTCAATATCTTTCAACAAACATGTTTTTTTTTCTCCTCCAGTATTCTCCATTTTAGTTATATGGCCCTACTTTTCACATTTGCAGATGAAGTTTTGTTTTATTTTTTCCCCGTCTCTGCTCTGTTTCCTGTATGTGCAACATCTTCCACAGCTGAATCTTTCCTAACTTCCTGTCTGAAAAGTCAAATTCAATAATAAAGCATTCTGGGTTAATCATACTTAATTCTACCTATAAGCCATCACATAATTTATTTTTACCATAGTACTGTTAATTTTCATTCATTGAACAAATACTTAGCATCTGTGCTTGGCATCAGGCTACAAAGATAGGCAAAAACATTAGTGCCAATCTTCAAGGATCCTGCCACCGAGGGTTGCTGTGATGTTCTGAAGTGTGATCATTGTTGTTTCAGGAAGCCAGTAAGCCAAGGACCGTGTGTCTCTTTTCCTTTCTTCCCACAGTTCTAGTGTGAGTGTTTGCCTAGCATTGTTCATTGTGCTGCAGGGAATATTAGGAATAAAATAACTTGGGTTCCCATGAGAATATGATTGTGGTAATGGTTAGAGTGTACAGTAAAGATAGCGTGTAATGAAGTAGTGTAGGATAAGTAGAAACCAAGTAGTGATCAGAGAGGTCACAGCAATTCAGAGGACAGTGAATGATCCCAGTGGACTGGGGTAGTTGAGGAAAGGTGTTATTAAGGAGGTGGATCTTGGGTGTCAGGCTGGAGGTGAGTATGTTGCACTTGGTGAGTGGCAGTGTCCTTTTCTTACTGTTCTTGGTGACCTCAGAGTGCACTGTGGCAGGCAATCATGCAGCTTTGCTTATTGGGCCTCAGAAGAGGCCTCCACATCATTGGGTCTGCAAGGCATTCTGCTTTATACTCATTTCCCAGAGTGGGAATGATGGACACTTTAGGGCCGGACTGTAAGAGGAGAAAGAGAAAAATATGGTGCCAATTATGCAGTCTGTCCTTGGGGTCTTCGAAGCCGAGGAGTGAGGCATGGGAATGTGTAAATGAGCTGGAACCTGGCCTTGGCCTGGGTGGACAGAGTGTACCCCTTTGTCCTCTGGCACTGGTACTTGCCAGGGGTTGGTGGGAGGGAGAGCATGAGACTTGGGTCTCTCTGTGCCTGGGCTTTCTCCTCCCTTTGGTTAGTAAGTTCTATTTGGCACAACTTGCCCTTGGAAAAATATTTCCCCATAGTTCCCAAAGAGCTATATAAGTAGATGGTTTCGTCCTTTGCTGTTAGTGCCTTTGTCAAAAATAGGTCAAATTCAGAATCATTTTAGAATTTTAGAAATATCGTTAAAGGAAAATCATAATCAAATGAGCCTCTGACTTCCTGTATTGCTTCAAAGCAAGGTCTTGTTCTCCCTATACTAGTATATGTTTTTAAAATGACTTTATTGTTTTGAACCCAACTATCTTTAGTAGGTCATTCCATACATTTACTCTTTGGGATACAAAGCATCATGTATTCACTGAGTTACAAAGAACCAGCATCTGTCCTGAATTTATTTTTCTTTTAACCTCTTTTTTCTTCTTTTCCTCTTCTTTATGCTTGTTGAAAATGGTATTTTTGGTTGGGGTTATTTTAAGGTGGTGTTGAAATAAATCCTGGGACTTTGCTCTTGTTCAACAGTGCATGTTCTTTTAAGCCTACATATCCAGGGTCATCCTACCAAAATAAATTATATGGGCCCTTTGCAAAATTCTCAAGTGCCTGAATTTTTATTTATGAGCGTTGGCTGCTGGCATAATGTTTGTAATTTCTCCTGAGCAAAAATGGGCACTTTTTTCTTGTTCTGCCTTTTCTAAGAATTTCTATCACTCTTACTTCTTACGTAGCTTGGCTGTGTCACTATTTTAGCTTGTATATTCCCTTAGGAGAATTTTTAAAATTTCCTTAAACGTCAGTCAAATCTGCTGTTTTAACAAATGTATAGGTAGATGGAACTCAACAACCTGCCCATTTATAAACACTCAGGCTTATCCAAAATCATCAAGAATTTTTTTTACCTTGACCTAAACTAGATACAATAATCCTTATCTGAATAGGAAGTTTGGGTGATTTATTTTTCTCCTTTTAAATGGAAATTTCTCAAAGCATATTTTTCTCTGATCAGTATAATTTTACGTATAGGAATTAGAGATTTTAGGTGGCTCCAAAATCTGTAGAAATGTGTGTATCAAGTACCCCAAGTACCTCCCATGTGGAGGAAGGACTTAAATTTTCTGTCAAATTGGGAAATAGATACATTCTTCACTTGGGACACCGATATACTAACAATCCTTCTGACATGCTTAGAATTACAAGATCTTTATTCATTTTTAATGTCTTTCTCTGCAACCAACATAACAAAACAGTCTAGATATATTCATTTATCCTTTCCCCCTTACTTTACAAAGTTGTATCAAGATTACTGGGGTGAATTTTTCTACCAGTAGCTCCCCTGGGTCTGTCTAAACTTCTTGGATTGTGAGTCTATTTGAAACTGGGTCTTAGTCTTCAAATCTGTACCTCCGTACTTCACGTAACCTGGCTGAAACTGGCTCTGTCCAGAGTTTGAAGTATGATGATATGGGCTCTCCAGGCTAAATAGATATTGGTAGAGGAAGAAACAGATGCTGGTACATCAGAATACCTGGGATATCTGGGATATCGGAATACCTGGGATATCTTCACATGCATAGATGCTGGTACATCAGAATACCTGGGAAGAATGATCAGTGATATCTATCATATGAGACTGGTGACTGCTTTGGGAATGAAAGGAGGAACCTGTTTAGCCGGTAAGGTGGGGCTAGGTTGTGGAAGGCCCGGTTAGCAGCAGTGGGGAGATACTGTAGCTCTGAACAGAGAGTGACATGATCAGGGTGTATCTAGAGTGACTACTGTTTGAGTGCCATCCTGGGGACTAGACTGTGTGGCAGGATGTGCTGGGCTTTGGTCACCCATCATCCACTCTCCCAGGCTCCCTCTGAGGAGCCATGCCTGCTCTATGCTCAGTTTGTATGTTTTTTTGGTGTGTGGCGTACTGCCAATCCAGCTACCCAAATCATGTCATTTCATGACCACACTGAATGGTTTAGGGGTAAGCGTGTGACCAAGTGAGATGCAGTGATACTTGGCTTGGGCTCCAAGAAGGGCAGCTGGCGCTTTTCTTCATGGCCATGGATGTGGCAGGAGATGGGACAGGGGCAACTGGAGCCATCATGAGCAGAGCCTGCTGAGAGCCAGCAATGAGGGCCCAGCCAAGAGTTTGAGGGTGAGGAGCTGAGTGTTTTCAGCCCATCTCCCCTTCTGAAGCCAGCCCTATCACTGACCTTTGTAGACGTATGATCCAATAAAAGCCCTTTTGGCTCAAGCCATATGAGGTTGAGATTTCTGTCTCTTGCTCCTATAAGAGTCCTAGGAGATAGAGGTGGAATCAGATCATCTGTGGGCAGTATTACCAGTTAGGAACTTTTTGTTTTGTTTTTGAGACAAGGTCTCACTCTGCTGCCCAGCCTGCAATGCAGTGGCATGATCACGGCCCACTGCAGCCTTGACCTCCCTGGCTCAAGTGATCTGCCCTCTTTAGCCCTCTGATTAGCTGGGACTATAGGCATGTGCCACCATGCTTGGCTAATTTTTAAATTTTTTTGGTAGAGACAGGGTCTCACTGCATGATCTGGACTGGTCTCTAACTCCTGGGCTCAAGCAGTCCTCCTGCCTCAGGCTCCCAAAGTGCTGGGATTACAAGTGTGAGCCACTGCTCCTGGCCAGGAGAGTCTGATAAATAGTCTGGGTGCCTGGCACAGAGCAGGCACTCCACAATTTAGCAGATTTAATTAATTAAATTAAAAGGGCTTAAATTGATGGGCAGCAGCTGTCTAATTTTCACAAGGTTCTTTCACAAGTAGCTTGCTTTGTATTGTATTGACTATTAGGCCATTCTCACATTGGTATAAATAAATATCTGAGACCGGGTAATTTATGAAGAAAAGAGGTTTAATTGGCTCATGGTTCCAAAGTTTGTACTGGAGGCATGGTGGCATCTGCTGCCGGGAGGCCACAGGAAACACAATCATGGTGGAAGGTTAAGAGGGAGCAGATACTTCTTACATGGTAGGAGCAGGAGCAAGACAGAGACAGGGTAGGTGCTGTACCCTTTTAAACAACCACATCTCCTGAGAATGAACTCACCATCGTGAGGACAGTACTATATTAGTGTGTTCTCATGCTGCTAATTAAGACATACCCGCGATTGGGTAATTTATAAAGGGAAGAGGCTTAATGGACTCACAGTTCTACATGGCTGGGAAGGCCTCACAATCGTGGCGGAAGACGAAGGCAGAGCAAAGAGACTTCTTACGTGGTGGTGGGCAAGAGAGAAGGCTTATGCAGGGAAGCTCCCTTTATAAAACCATCAGATGTCATGAGGCGTATTCACTATCACGAGAACAGTCCAGGAATGACCCAGCCCCATGATTCAGTTACCTCCCACCAGGTCCCTCCCACGGCATGCGGGGATTGGGAGAGCTACAATTGAAGATGAGATTTGCGTGGGGACACAGCCAAACCATATCAAGTACCAAGAGGGATGGTGCCGAGCCATTCAGGAGAAACTGCCCCATGATCAAATCACCTCCCACCAGGCCCCACCTCCAACACTGGGGGTTACAATTTGACGTGAAATTTGGATGGGGACACAGATCCAAACGATATCAACTATATTAACTATGTTTTTGAAATAACTTAGTTTCACAGCAGAATGCAGTTTTTGAAGAATTAATTGTTTTAGGCAGCTTGAGAATAGGATTCTTTGCATGCCTCCCAGATATATCCCTGTGTGTGCATCCCACCAGCATTTTTTCTTCATTATACCAGAGGTATCTAAGGGATTTCGTGAAAGGTAGAGTCTCTGTTACTTCTGGTTATGTGTCATATATTTTCTTGGATTATGCTCAATTCTTCTCTAATCTCTGATGTTTGAATAAAATAGTCCTGGGAAAAGACTTTCAATGGTTTTTTAGCTGTAGAAAGATTAAATACTCCTTTTGGAAAAACAGTTGACGTTCTTTATTTCTCTGTCAAAAGGCTGAATTTAAAAACTCCTGAAGCTTCATGGTTGCCACCTTTTGTTTCAGTAACTTTATGTAAATAGGAAAAAAGTGCTTTCTTTTTAAATTGGAAAAACCAAATGCCCTTTTTCTGTAATTATAAGAGATCATGGCAATTCTACATTGTTTGGAGAATTTGCTATAGCTTCAGTTTTTCTTCTTGTATGTCAGAGTACTTTGCCAGCTATAATTGGGTAGTTTATATTTTTTGCATACTCTATTGTTTCTGTGAGTTTCACACAGGAGAAATGAAGTTGTGGACATGAGGTGGGAGCAAGAAGTAAAACTCTGAAGTCTGTGTTATGGATATGTTTGTTAATAATTATTTATTTATTTATTTTTTAGAGTTAGGGTCTCACTCTGTCATCCAGGCTGGAAGGCAGTGGCACGATCATGTCTGACTATAACCTCAAACTCCTGGGCTCAAACCATCTGCCCACTTCAGCCTCCTAAGTAGCTGGGCCTACAGGTGCCTGCCACTATGCCTAGATATTATTTTATTTTGTGTAGAGATGGGGATCTCATCTTGTTGCCCAGGCTGGTCTCGAACTGTCGGCCTCAAGTGATCTTCCTGCCTCAGCCTCCTAAAGTTCTGGGATTATGGGTATGAGCCACTATGCCCAGCCAATAACAATTATTTTTTAATAACTAGTGAGATGTATGCTTTTTTCCCCTCTCTCACACATGCAGTTAGTTACAGATGGGATCATTTGTCCAGGAACTCTGAACTCCAACTTGAAACATCTTTTTTTAGCAACCATTATACAGACAGTGACACCTGTCATAAATAAAAATGACTTGAGAATTTCTATATGGTAGATGTTTCTATAATTACTGCATTGCTGGTTAGAAGTGGGGCTTGGTTCCTGCATGGTTCCTCCAAAGCTGCAGGAGGCCTTTGAACCTTTCGATTTGAAACATGCTGGTGCACACTTCAGAGCTCCGCCCAGAGAATCCCTCGACCACCGGGAGAACCGAGTCTTTCGGGGATTTGCCCCTCCAGACAAGAGAAATGAGCAAGCAGGGAGGTCACATGGCCAGCCAAGCTGGTCTGTACCAGATACCAAATCTTTTAGCTGTAGCTAGAGCATTTAACTTGTTAAACATATTCCTCTCTAACTGAAATCTCAGGGACGATGGAGGAGAGACTGTTGAGCCAGGATGTTTTTCCTTCATTTGCAATATTAGACCCAGACTGAAGTGGTCAGGTATGGGAGAGATCCAGGGAAGTGGACACTTCTGGTTTGAAATCTGGCTCTGCCACTTTCTAGATGCGAGGCTTGGGCAGTTGATTGATTTTTCATGCTCTTCATGTCTTTGTCTCAGCTAAGGTTAGAAGTAGCATGTGGATAATACCTAGCACAGTATCTGATGCGCAGTAGTTGTGTGGTCAGTGGTAAAAGTATTTTCGTTGTTGTTATTACCCTTCCTCCTCTTGCTCCCTCTGCTTGAGGGAAGGGTTAAAAGGAACGCACCACAGTTACGCTGCCTCCTTTGCCATAAGCTTTTCTGAAAAATTCATCCTGGATTGCCTGGATTTGGCATCAGCACTTAGTTAAGTAGGGACTGAGAGGGTGGGCACTGTTTAAAGGTAAAACTGATGCCCAGAACCATCCTCCCAACCTTGGTATCTAAGAGCGGCTCCCTTCCCTGGGACCTTCCACACCCCCCAGGTGGTGGATGTGTCTTATCTGAGCTGCCAACAGGCCCTGGGATCCCGGCCCCCCCATATCTCGGAGGAACACCAGCCGCTCTCAAGACATTCTGTCCTGACAGTTTGGTGCCCTGTGAGTGCTTCTTACAGCCAATGCCCTGCACCCTCACTGCATTCTCCTAATCACTGTGCTAATTACTGCACAATGTAATAGAACTACATTAACTGTTGTGTATTTTAAAGTGCAATATTAATGTTCATTTTTGTGCTTGACACCTGCACATTTTGTGGCTCATATAACATTTCTACTCACAGTGGAAGAACATTGAGAAAAAAAGGACTCTGTCTGAATTTTTAGCTTCTCATTACTGTAGTGGTCTCAAATTTTGTTTCTGCACAAGGTCTCCTTATCACTCAGGCACTTTCTGACCAAGGGGTGGGTATTTCATTTGAGACACTAAGATTGTTCTGCATGCCGTGTAGCGTGAATATCAACATTAAAGATTGCAAAAAGAAAAGAAGATGGATGGACGGATGGATGTGCTAAATAGATTTTAAAATAAAGTCAAATGAAAGTCTTTATTTTTGAGTACAGCAAGACGCTTCATCAATTCAGTTTTAAATCCAAATGATACTTAATTATGAGAGACAGAAATAACTCAGGAAATGTTACCAAGTGCTCTAGGGTTTCTAGCCAGTGATTTCCTAACTCCCCAAGAGAAGCAAAAAAGAAGAAGAGCTCGAGATGGGGAAGGAATCTGGAAAATGAAAAAGAGCCACTGTGGCTGGGCAGCTTGTTCCTCCAGGCTGGTGGGCTTGGTGCCCTCGGCCTTGGGATGCTTATCACAGTCCTTTGGGACCAGAACACTGGATATCAGTGCAGCCTCTGGGCCAGCTTCAGAGGCTGTTAGAGCATCATTGCTGCTGTGGCTGATGCTTCCTTTCCTCAGTAAGTCACAAAAGTCGTGTTGGCCATCCAGGTTACCGAGTGACTTAATTTCCAGAAAATTTAATATTGAGTCATTATTGTATGCATTTTCACTGTTGCCATTTTGTATCCTCGTAGGTAGTCTATGAAGTACCACTGGGTCACAGCTGCAGTCTGCTAGAAAGGAGAGAGACATTAAAGACCCTTTAGATCCCTTATAGAAGTCAAAATGCAGGGATAATGTCTAAACTGCCTGCTCCCAGCAGTTCAATTTCAGAACCAGAACCAGAGCCCAGGCCTCTTGACTCACAAATACTTTTCTTTTCATGTTGGTAGAGTTAGAAAATGTCATGATACCAATTTTAGCACAACAAACTATTTATCTAGCTGCTTTTCTTAGATTAGAACATAAACTTGTCTTTGGTTTTGGCTGCTGCAGAGATTTTGATTTCTCTCTGTTAAACAGTCCCTGGATCTCTTCCCCCAGATGACTGACAGTGATCTGGAGCCTGATTTATATGGTTTTGAGGACTTGGTCTTTGGCCTGAGAAAAGCCGGTAGCCAGTGCCACTGCTTTCTGTCCTTTTCAATGACTGGCACCCCGGCCCTGCACTTTGGATTCCTCATCCTACGGAGCAACTTTACTTACCCAAATAGTCTGAGATGATTCTGGAACCCTGAATGTTCAGCACTTCAATATTTGACCTGCAGGATAGAAAGACCCACATTCTACTAAGATTGAAATTCGAAGGTGGCACAATAGAGGATCACTGAAGAAAGGCTCTGACTCTCGGTGATTTATGAGGTCTTCCTGACGCCCAGGCAGTGAAGGGAAGGCCAAGGAGGACCTATGTTGGGCCGCCAGTGTGGCCTCCTCAGACCTGGAAGTGCGGTGGTGGGGCCCAGGGTTTTGACTGAGCGTTTTCAGCCTTGGCCTAGAAAAGATGATGAAACCCTTTTTTCCCCTCAGTCTAACCCCAACAGAGGAAGAACAGGAATTCAAAAAAGCCATTAAACTGGGGCATAGTCTTTTCCATTGAATCTATAAGATTCTTGAAGATAGACAAAGATGCTACCTTGTTCACCCTTTTGCTTTTTTTTGCGGAACCTGACACAGTGCCACACATAGGCATCTTTTTGAATGGAATTAGATGTTTAGTGTTCTGTCTCTTTCATTAGTTCTGAGAATACCCGAAGTCTGCTAGTGTCAATCTTTGGGCTCTTGTATCCATTGCCAAGCTTTTTGTTTTTGGGTTTATCTAAAAGAATAATATTGTGATAGTGGTTTGTGAATATAGTTTTACAGTATAATTTTGTCTTAAAGCATTCTATTTTCAAGTACTAATTTCATGTATAAGATTTCTTACAATAATTATTAACTGTCTATGCTAAACATATTAATTTTGAATAACAATTCTACAATGACCTCAAAGGCATTTACAAGTGCTCACCACAGCCATGGTGAAGGATGAACGTGGCTTTGAAGTTAGACAGACCTTAGCTCTAGCACGGGTGTCCTGCCCTTTGAATTTGAGGATGTTTTTGCCTGTCTGTGGTGGTGGATATCATGAAAATTATGCATGGTCCTTTTTTTTTTTTTAAGCTCATCAGCTGTTGTTAGTGTATTTTACGTGTGTGGTATGGCCCAATACAGTTCGTCTTCTTCCAGTGTGGCTCAGGGAAGCCGAAAGGTTGGAGACCCATGCTGGCCGGGCCACGCCACCTGTTCCCTGCAGGATCTGGGAAAGTTTGTCAAGTCTCAAGTTCAACAGAACTATGAAATGGGGATTATGCAAGAACCTATAATTCAGGGGGTTACTGTGGGGATTAACTTGAGCTCAGGTATATAGAGTGATTGTGCAGTGCATGGATGTCGAATATCAAAAAATATTTGTTATTGTTTTTATTGTTATTTGGTGATTTTTCATAAACAAACTGACAACTGGGGTTGGCCTGATTCATGAGATATTGGTGGAGTTCTTTGAAATGCCCCAGTTCTCTTACCTTCAGAAGTCCAAAGCTTTCCACAGAATTTCTGCCAGTTCCCATGGAGGTTTGCATTTTCACAGTCCCTTCTGGCATAATCATTTGCTGCTGAATTAGTTCACGTTGCAGATCGACTCACCATCCGTTTATGTGTCATTGTCTTGTGGCACAGCTCTTCCTTAATTACCTAGCTCTTCCTTAATTACTCTCCCCTCCTCCAAACCCTCAGTGCGTTATGGTATATAGCCAACTGTTCTGAAGATTTTGGCAAAGGAAGGGTTGATACTGCAATGAAACGGTGCCTTCAGACAGTTTAGATTAGATTTGTTCACTCCATCCCTGGAGATTATTTCCTGTGGTGCTTCACTACCTAATTAAAAAAACAAAAACAAAAACAAACAATCAAAAAACCCCAAAAACACTTAACATGAGGTATAGGCATTTTTCCCAAAAGACTAACAGTGCTTGTGTTGGATTATGGTCCTAGGGGTGATTTTCTTCTCTTCCTGTTATATTTCCAAATCTTTAAACATTAAGTAAATAAGTACATGTTTCCTAGTTTTAAAAAGGCAAGTTCTAAAAGCTGGGGGCGAAAGTTTGTTAGGATTGGAGAAGCAATACAAGCAGGATAAACAAATCTTTGCTCAGCGATCCCCATCTCCTTCTAATCCTTTAAAATGTATTTCTCAATCCGGCCTAATGGAGTCATTTTATTTCCCGTGTGTATCACAAGTGCAGATGCCCCGGTTGGTAGCACTAACAGGCATCTTTCCTTCAAATGTCTTGACGTGCCAGTTGCTTCTGAAAAGCTAACGTGGCTCTTGCTGCTCCGGGGTGGAGTTCGCGTGGTCAGACTATCTGCTTCTGCCCGCTCAAACCCCACTTTGGCAAAGAGTGGTATCTACTTTCTCAGTGCCTGGGAGTTGACACCTCAAGCTGCTCTTTCATGGGTTATGATCCTCATGCTTCCAGGACCCCTCCTGCTAAGACCACCAGTGCCCCCATGTTCCTGAATGTAGTGGGCCACTTACAGTTCTTGCCTTACTCCATCTCAGCAGCATTTGACATAGACACTCCCTCTCTCTTAAAATATTATCTCTGCTATCCTCTTGATAGCAGAATCTCCTGATTGTCCTCCTGCCTGTCCATTTCTTTGTTTCTGTGCTTTTCTGATTCCTCTTCTTCATGTAGACCTTTAAACATTGGGCTTTCCTCAGATCTCTTCTCACTCTGCCTGCTCGCCCTGGGTAACCTTTTTTAGTCCCATGGCTTCAATTATTATCTTTTATGTGCTAAAGACTAAATTTATCACATTTCAACAAATCTAAGACATCAGTGATGCTAAGAGGCAGCAAGATTTTATGAACCACAAAAGAAGAAAGAAGCACTGCCAATGAAATGACACAATAGCTTTTTACACATCAGTCATCAGATGTGTCCCATTTTTAGAAATACCAGAATGTAAAAAATGTACATCCAAGAATTAATAATATAGTGTAATATCTTTTGCATAGATTTCCATAGCCTTTTTCAGAGTATGAATACCTCGTATGTCTTAAGCATAGTGCTCCTGGGAGCAGGCAAATGAGTTGCAACAATTTTGTTTTGAGAAGCTGGTTGTTTCCTTAGTCTTAGCTCTCCCTAAGTATAAAACTGGCCTTATTACTTTGTAGTATGTACAGCATATATGTATAGATGAGACAGAATTAAGTTAGCCCAACAGTAAGGCTGAATTACTGAGTCAGTGGGTCTTCAAGATGGTGCCCAAACTCTGAAATTTATTTCATTTTAGATCGTTTTCAACGTCTTAGTATAAACTGTGAGGTGGTCCCTGAACAGTGCTTTCTGACTTCATAACGTTTCTAAGACAACTGAATTTTAATTTTTATAATTCATTTTTAATTGTTAGTATCTCTGGGAAATCATACTGTTGGTGTTCCCCTCCTTATTTCTTTTTTCCCTCTCTGTATCTTCAAAATTACTTTTGACAGCTCTGGGACCTGTAGGAACTATTGCCAAATTTTGGAATGTGACTTTCCTGCAGCAGCATCCAAAGTTAACAAAAAGACATGGAAAAATCCCATCTCAATGGTAGTATTCTAATCTCTCAACATCTGCATACCTTATTCTGCTCCACTGAGCTTTTCTAAAAATAATTTAAGTGATACAGCTTCCTCTACTTCTGTAGGGAGAATAATCCATATCAAATATTTTTGCCTCAAAGTATTATCTTATGCTCAATATGATTATCTCAATAAAGTTTCTATCCCCTTATTTTTCTCCTCCCATACTTTCATAATATCTTTATCGTAGTTACTTTAAAATAGAATGTTTAATGACAAAAGTTTAAGTAAAATATCCCAACCATATGAGAATTTGGAAAATGCTTCCCTTAAAAACTTTCAGGTCAAAGAAGAAATAAAAAGTGCAATTATAGACCATCTAGAAAGAAGAATGAGGATACTATGAATAATATTCACAGGATAAAACCTGAGATATACTTGGAGGAAAATGATTGAATTTAAAAACTTTTGTTATTAAACAAAAAGAATGACAGTTAACAAACTGACTGTGAAATCTGAAAATTTAGAAACAGACAGACAAAAACCACATGGCATGCCCAAGCAAAGCAAGTTAAAACATTTATTAAGGAACCAGAAATTAACAAAGTAGAAAAGAAAAATAAAGTTGATATATCCAACACCTGTTACTTTAAAGAAAAACCTTTGCCTGTCTAATCACAAAGAGGTAAAAAGAAAACAATTCACAGTATTAGGAATGAGGGAAGGGATAAGAAGAGAGGGGTTTACCCACAGATAAGAATTAAAAGATTGTAAAAATTTGAAAATCTGCAGTAAGATAATTTGTAAAGGTATTATAATATTAAAATGGGATTTAGTAAAAATTGGAAACAGTGAACGGATCTGTAACCACATAAGAAGTTGAAACCATTACTAAAGATTTCTGTGTAAAGAAGTACTATACTTGTTTCAACTAATAAATACTTTGTATGTTGAAAGCTTCCTGATTAATTGATGTAATCATAACCATGGTTAATTCACTTGATAACAGCAGCATGAATAGGCTAGGGCATGGAGGTTCTCTCTTAAAAGTATAGATGCAAAAGAAAAAAAACAAATCAAAATAACAATTATGGCGGGAAAAATACAAGGAATTAAAATATCAATATATAATGACTGTGTATGAATTACGTAGTCGTGATTTCAAGTTGGCCATATAGCAGGAACACAAGACTCCTTTAAAGATTAGGAAATCTATTACTATTATTGATAATTTAGGGCTAGAGTTAAAAAAACAAATATTTATCCAAATACATATCAAAAAGGCATAACTTTCACTTCTGATTTTAAAAAATCAAAACTCTTAGTAAACTAGGATTAGGTCACTTTCACGATGCGATAATAAATATCAGCATGAAACTCAATGGTAAAAGATAATAAGTGTTCCATTAAAAATGGGTGCACATAAAGAGATGCTCAATATTGTTAGCTATCAGGGAAGTGCAAATCAAAACCACAATGAGATCGCATATTAGGATGACTATAATCAAAAAAAGAGATTATAATAAGTGTTATCAAGGATGTGGAGAAGTTGGAACCCTTGTATATTGGTGGTAGGAATATTAAATGGCACAGCTGCTTTGGAAAATAGTCCAGAAGCTCTTCAAAAGCCTTACTATATGACTTACCAAATGACCCAGCAATTCTGCTCCTAAGTATAGCCAAGATAAATGAAAGCATATGTCCATACAAAAACTTATGCTCAAAAGTACATAGCAGCATTATTCCTGGTAGTCAAAAGGTAGATGCAACTGAAATGTCTATCAACTGATGAATTGGTAAATGAAATATGATATGTCCCTATAATGGTATATCATGGGGCAACAAAAAGTAAAGCACTGGTACATTCTATGAATAGATGAACTTGGATTGAAACGTAGATTGAGAACATGATTGCTAAGTGAAAGAAACCACTATCAAAGTATGACATGTTGTATGATTCTGTTTATACAAAATGTTCAGAATAGGCAAATCTATAGAGACAGAGGGTAAATTGATTTTTTTAGGGCCGGAGTGGTTGGGGGAATAACTGGGATGTGACTGGTAGTGGGTGCAGGATTTCTTTTTGCGGTGATGAAAATGTTTTAAAATAGTGCGTTAATGTTTGCACAGTGGCAGTGTATACAGTGTTGTGAATGTGCTAAAAACCATTGAATAGTACATTTAAATGGGTGAACCGTATGGTATATGAGTTATATCTCAACAGAGCTGTCATTCAACAAAGGAAAAACAATGCAAGAGTGACTGTAGTCTCCATGCTATTTATAGTTACTCTGAAGTTTCTAATTAATGCTATTATACAAGGAAAAAAGATAAATATTGGAAAGGAAGCAACACATTATTACAGAAAATATTTGGCTACTCAGAACATTCAAGAGATTCATACTAGAATTAATTTTTAAAAGTTTGGTAAGGACGCAGTTATAAAAACTCATTGGGCCTTGGGCTACTAGCCTTACTGTATAAACAGGTCTTATAAATATGTAAGAAATGCTGATCACCCAGTAGCAAAGTAAACCAGTGATATGAAGACCATTCACAAAAAATACACCATGATGGATAACCATACAAAAGAATGTGCAGCATATCAGTAACAAAAGAATTCTTGTAAAAAAAAAAAAAAAACATAAGCTAGTAGGTGAAGGGCACTGTTGTCGAATGTATGCCTTTAACATACATAGACTTTCACAAGTCCTCAGGAATTTCACAATGCTCCAGAGTAAATTGTATAAGTACAGATATTTATAATACCTAATTCTTTATTGACCTCAGTAGATCTCTGAAAACTGGGAGGAAGTGAGATGGGACCCTCTAGAGCTACTCCTAGAGGGCTGGCTTGGCTCTAAGGGCTTAGAGGAGACTGAGGCAATGGGAGGTCTTGGGTCCTGTTTGCTCTTGGTGTTTTGAGGAATGTTCACGAGGTCTGCTACTCCCCTGGCTCTCCCTTGGAGTAGATGGGAAGTCTGAGACTCCCAAACTAGATCAGGACCACACCTCCTATTATTTATTCATTTTTGAGAAGGAGTTTTGCTCTTGTTGCCCAGACTGGGGTGCAGTGGTGCGATCTCGGCTCACTGCAACCTCTGCCTTCCAGTTGTAAGCAGTTATCCTGCCGCAGCCTTCCGAGTGGATGGGATTATAGGTGCCGGGCACCACGCCTGGCTAATTTTTGTATTTTTAGTAGAGACGGGGTTTCACCATGTTGGCCAGGCTGGTCTTGAACTCCCGACCTCATGATCAAAGTGCTGGGATTACAGGCGTGAGCCACCGTGCCTGGCCTATTTATTTTTTTTGAGATGGAGTCTCACTCTGTCACCCAGGCTGGAGTTCAGTGGCACGATCTTGGCTCACTGCAACCTCTGCCTCCAGGGTTCAAGTGATTTTCCTGCCTCAGCCTCCCGAGTAGCTGGGATTGCAGGCACCTGCTACCACCCCAGGCTAGTTTTTATGCTTTTATTTTATTTTATTTATTTATTTATTTATTTTGAGATGGAGTCTCACTCTGTCGCCAGGCTACGGTACGGTGGCGCAATCTCAGCGCACTGCAACCTCCGCCTCCTGGGTTCAAGCGATTCTCCTGCCTCATACTCCTGAGTAGCTGGGACTACAGGCACCCACCAACACACCCGGCTAATTTCTGTATTTTTAGTAGATACAGGGTTTCACCATGTTGGCCAGGATGGTCTCGATCTCTTTACCTCGTGATCCACCTGCCTCGGCCTCCCAAAGTGCTGGGATTACAGGCGTGAGCCACCGCTCCCGGCCAATTTTTGTATTTTTAGTAGAGACGTGGGATTTCACCACGTTGGCCAGGCTGGTCTTGAACTCCTCACCTCAGGTGATCCACTCGCCTCGGCTTCCCAAAGTGCTGGGATTACAGATGTGAGGCACTGCACCGGCCCACAGCTTCTATTTAAACTGAAGAATGGAGCGAATACAATGCGTTAGTTCCTAAGCTGCATGGAAGCAAATACCATTTTGGCTTGAGGGATGAGTCAGTGTTTCTCTGCAGGTGGTTGATCCTTGGCAGTGGTAGGATTGCTGTGCGCTGTGGTCATTACAGGAATGTTCCTCTGGTGGTTATGGTGGCTGTGTCTTACTAGAATTACCATTGCTTCAGTTTTCTCTCGCTCTGTAGAGATTGTCTTGTCATTTCCATTACATTTCATGTTAGGATGATCTCAGTGCACATGTCCTTAAAATTGGTCTGCATATGAGAGAGGTATGCTTTGTAAAAATTGTTTCCAGAAATCTCTTCTAGCAGTTTGGATTTTAGCTGAGTGGTGATAATGCCATTCATTAGGAAGATTTTGTTATAAATGAATGTAAGGATCTTGAGATGGTATGTTTTCCACATTTCTCTGATACTTTTTTCTCCCGTATGTATGTTTATACTTGCTACTAGTTTGTATGGAAGCAAAGAGCCTTAAGGCCATTTCTACAAGCTAGAAACACATAGGAAAATGTGCTTTTTTCTTTTTCATAGAATGTAATTGATACATAGTGTAAACTCAGAACATTAACACATACACTTTCTGCTTTAAATTAGAAATGTAATATAATTATAATGAAATGAAAGCGTTGACCATTGTAAAACCCAGAGAGGGTATTCTTAATAGGATCTACACATCTTTTGTGGTACCTTTAAACTCATATTTTCGTAACTGGTGAATGTTCATCTTTTAATATACACAATCCTACTCTGAGATCCGATTAACTTAAGGGGAAGTTTTTGGTTTTTATTATTGGGGGAATTCTCAAAAAATTGTATTTTGGAGTAAGTGTGAGTTTACCCTGTTATCATTTATTTCGTGAATTGCTCTTCTGCTTTACGGTAACTCTTTTCATCATGCCGATTTCTCTAGGTTGAAAATGTCCGCTTGGTAGATCGAGTGTCTCCTAAAAAAGCAGCTCTAGGTACTTTGTATTTGACGGCTACCCATGTCATATTCGTGGAAAATTCACCTGACCCAAGAAAAGAAACATGGGTATGCTTTCTTTATTTTTAGCTTTCCTTGTTTTGCGTTGTTTGAAGCAAAAAGTGTTTGCCCTCCATTCATTTTTCCTCAGGGTGAGATGGGTGGGCTTTTGTGCCTGGATGTTGGGGAACTGTTTCTGGAATGTGTGTTTGGACTTTTTCTGTGCAGTCGTATCTACTTGATCGACTATTCATTTTAAACATGAATTATTTGAACATCAGTGAAGAGAGACTTAGAACTAGCCAGAAGATACAAGTGCTTCCTGTCACAGCTGTCAAGGAGAGATTCAATAATGTCAGTAGGCCAGATTCAGCATTGTCATCCTCCAGTGCTCCATTTGCAATAGTCTCTATTTGCAGGGTCCTGTAATGCAGCCATTTGGTCATTTTATTACATTGCCTCTACTTTTCTGATAATTTTAAAAAGAAAGAAAATCTAGAGGAGCTTCATCATCAGGTATTTCTCCTACTTATTAATGAAACCATTAGATATTTGAACATCACTAAATAATAATAATTATTATTATTAATATTATTTTTGAGATGGAGTCTTACTCTGTTGCCCAGGCTGGAGTGCAGTGATGCGATCTCAGCTCACTGCAGCCTCTGCCTCCTGGGTTCAAGTGATTCTCCTGCCTCAGCCTCCTGAGTAGCTGGGACTACAGTCACGCGCCACCACGCCTGGCTGACTTTTTTGTGTTTTTAGTAGAGGCAGGGTTTCACTATGTTGTCCAGGCTGGCCTCAAACTCCTGACCTGACCTCAAGTGATCTGCCCACCTTGGCCTTCCAAAGTACTGGGATTACAGGCATGAGCCACCGTGTGTGGCCTTATTATTCTTTCAGCAACCCAATCATGACATCCCTGAATTGTAGATTTCCCTTTGCTGTATTTCGTGCACAGTGGTACATTTTTAGCAGAAGGTGGCAGGCACTTCTTAGTGGAGGGGAAACTTAAAGATTAAAATGCTGCTATTGAAGACTGAGCATAGACCCTCCTGTAACACCAGAGATGCACTTCAGTATGATTTCCTTTAAAGTTAATCTCCTCTTTAGAGAGTAGAATGATGGTTTTACCAGAGGCTGGGAGTGCAGAGGAGGGGGAGGGAATGAGGAGATATTGATTGAAGGGCACAAAGTTTCCAAAAGACAGGAGGAAAAGTCTGGAAATCTATTGCACAGCAAGGTGACCATACTCAATAGTAATGTATATTTCAAAATAATTATGAGAGTAAATTTCAAGGGTCTCACTGTAAAAAAAAAAAAAAAAAAAAAAAACTATAGGTAAGTGATGGCCATGCTCATTAGCTTGATTTAATCATTCCGTATGATGTACATATATCACAGCATCACACTGTAGCCCATAAATGTGTACAACTATGATTTGCAATAAAAATATTAATTTAAAAAATAAAAAGATAAAATAAATCCCTTCTTTTGCAGCCTGCCCGACCACCAACAGCTTAGAAAACAACAATCCCATGTTGATACAGAACTCGAACATTCCATGTGGAATTAAGGAGCATGGTGGCACCTCCCAGCGGAGCCATCTCTAACTTGTGTTGACTGCAGAAGTTTATTTTACTAACTTCTCATGACCTTATTTAATTTTAGCTATTAAGCGCATTCAATATTTGACTACCAAAATGTTTCCATACCTGGACTTGTGCAAATTTATATGCTGAATGGTTTACTTCAAAATAACTGTCCTGGATATCAGGAAGCTTGGTATTGAAAAATAAAATTATAAATTTAGGAAGTTGGTTCTTACCTGGAACATCTCAGTGCTTGTCATCTGAACGCAAGGGTTGAGCTAGCTGGAGGTTGGGGAGCGTTTCTTGTCTTTCTTTGAGCCACAAAGAAATGTTAGTCCTTGTCGTATTCATTAGTTATTTGTGCTTAGCTTATGCACATTAACATTTGGTTCTAGATTCTTCACAGTCAGATTTCCACCATTGAGAAACAGGCAACAACCGCTACCGGATGCCCTCTGCTGATTCGCTGCAAGAACTTTCAGATAATACAGCTCATCATACCTCAGGAAAGAGATTGCCACGACGTGTACATCTCCCTGATACGCCTTGCAAGGCCAGGTAGGGCAGAGGAACTCGGCATTTAATATGGAACCTCTCTTAAAAATTTGCAAATCAGATTCAAGAATTTGTATGGTGCTTAGGAATGATAGGGGTTCAGGGATTATGTGTCAGTCTCGTTCTCAGGAGAGGATAAGCCCGAATGATCATCTGATACAGAGTTTCTTGTTTTTTTAGAGTCTCCCCCGAGTTATTTATTATGTGAGTCTCTTTCATGAATCTTAGTATTAACTTAATCTTGGTGGGGTTATAGGATGCTTTCCTTTTGGGGTGAAATTGCCTTTAAGTTATGCACTTCTTATATTGTGGTAATCGAGCCACCTTGAATGGGGCCAGTGACAGAACTAATCAGTTGTTTTGTGTGGAAAATGTTATCAGACAGTTCTAGCGCAGTTTTCTCCCTCTTGATGCTTTTAAGGTTTGGTCTCCATTGCTTTTTTGTTTCTTGGGGTTTTGGTTTTTTTTTTTTTTTTTTTTTTTTTTGAGGCACTTTTTCTCCGTCGCCCAGGCTGGAAGTGCAGTGGTGCAATCTCAGCTCACTGCAACCTCTGCCTCCTGGTGCAATCTCAGCTCACTGCAACCTCTGCCTCCTGGGTTCAAGCGATTCTCATGCCTTAGCCTCCCAAGTAGCTGGACTACAGGTGCCCACCACCACACCCTGCTAATTTTTGTATTTTTAGTAGAGGTGGGGTTTTGCCATGTTGGCCAGGCTGGTCTTGAACTCGTGGCCTCAAGTAATCTACCTGCCTCGGCCTCAAGTGCTCGGATTACAGGAGTGAACTACCATGCCTGCACCTCCATTGCTTTTTGATAATAATTTATTTTTTCCAAGGTTGATACAACTAGACTAGCATCAGTGACTATTCAGGGTATGGATCTGCTGATTCTCCTGGAAAAAAAAAAAAAAACTTAATGTGGTAGGAAGAACATTTGGATTTGAAAAATATGTTCTTGCCATTGCTATCTTGTTCCAGCCGTCATCTTGGGCTCTTCGGATTTATAGCTTACTGTTCGCTTCTACAGAAGTGTTTCTTGCCTCTCTGTGTGGCTTGTGTGAGTTGTGGTGTTGTTTTCCTTAAAAGAAATATACTCGGCCTGACGCGGTGGCTCACATCTGTAATCCCAGCACTTTGGGAGGCCGAGGCAGGCGGATTGCAAAGTCAGGAGACTGAGACCATCCTGGCTAAGACGGCGAAACCCCGTCTCTACTAAAAATACAAAAAATTAGCTGGGCGTGGCAGTGTGCGCCTGTAGTCCCAGCTACTTGGGAGGCTGAGGCAGGAGGATGGCGTGAACCTGGGAGGTGAAGGTTGCAGAGAGCTGAGATCTTGCCACTGCACTCCAGCCTGGGTGACAGAACGAGACTCTGTTTCAAAAAAAAAAAAAAAAAAAAAAGAAAAAAAGAAATATACTCTACTATACTCTAAGTTTCTTGGAAGAATACAGTGAAAAGAGATCATTTATATAGAAGTTGTGCTACACAGAAGTAGTTAATAAAGGAAATAAGATATGTGCTGATAATTACTTTGCCAAATGCTTTTTGATTCAGGACAAGAAGTTCAATTATGAACTTTTCAAGGCATTTGGTTGGATCCTAAGTTTCTTATGATTTGTCCATATTCTTTGTAGGTAGCTAAGAGCTAAAGTTACTAAATGGAAATGACGCCAGGGAGCTGTCAAAATCTGGTAGTTTTTACTTTGCACTGTTACTCTTTAAAGGCAGTTGGTTGAGGCTTTTTCATCCAAGTGTGTTAAAAGAAAGGCAGAGTAAGGCAGAAAAGCAGTTGAACTTTTTGGAGGGTGCACTAAAATTGGAACAGAAGTTCTGGGAAGATGTACATTAGGTTGCACGCAGCAGATAATGTGAGGAGAATTCTGTGCTAACAGTTTCTGTGTCACTGATTAATGGAAGTACTAGGCGATAAATGTGCTCTGAGCGGATTAATGGGATTTAGGAATAGCCCAGCGAACTGGGAAAGGGCTGAGCAGCTGGTGATGAGTGAATCACAGGGACCAGGAGGGTCATGGCCCAGAGATAGCGAGTGCCAGGACTCTCGCCGTGAGGATCCCTGAGGGGGAAATTACTGTGTTCCCTCATTTTCGAAAAGAGATACTTTTTCCTTAAAAGATGAAGGGAGTTAGGTATTAGATGTAGACAGAGATCTGACTGGCTACCTTTTCTAAAAGAAATCATAGTCATTCACTGAATCAAAGCCATCACCTAAGAGGAGTTAAAAAGAATCACCAGCATTTTGAAACATGGGCATTAGAAATGCCAGTTTGCCTAAAATGTAGTGCTTTAATAAGTGTGGAAGGTGAAACAGATCACAAGCAGTTCACAGTGTAATGTTAAAGGCATTGCTAACATTAGGGCATATTATAGGCTGTAACTTTGGAAGCAGGACTTTGACTCTGGAGGGAGATGGGGAAATGTGGAAGGGGTTAGACATGAAACAGTTGCCTTCAACTGGGGGATGGGGTGGTCTTTCAGAACCATCTGAAGATATTTTATAAAAGACACCGTCCACTGCCTTTAAGGGCATGAGAATAAGGGTGTGTGTGTAGTTGGTGAGGGAGGTGTACTTTGAATTCTAGTAGTAAAATGTAGCTCTCTCGATATTCTGGTTAGTCACCAACAAAGTTCACATATTTTCAGTTTATTTATGGACACCCAGCTAACTGTAAGGTTCTGTAGAGCAGGGGTCCCCAACCCCTGGGCCGCAGACAGGTACCAGTCTATGGCGGGTTAGGAAGCGGGCGGCACAGCACAGCAGGAGGTGAGTGGCGGGCGTGCAAGCGTGAGCTCTACCTCCTGTGAGATCACTCGTGGCATTAATTCTCTTAGGAGCATGAACTCTATTGTGAACCGTACATGCGAGGGATCTAGGTTGTGTGCTCCTGATGATCTGAGGTGGAAGAGTTTCATCCTGAAACTATCCCCCAACCCCACACCCCCATCCACAGAAAAATTGTCTTCCACAAAGCTGGTCCCTGGTACCGAAAAGGTTGTGGACCGCTGCTACAGAGGACAAAACAGTTGTTTTTTACATAAGAAGAAATGTTTGGGAATTCATTTAAGTCAAGGTCTCTGAAGGAGATATTTTCAAAGCTGTCGTAATTTAATATTAAAATCAAAAGTACTTTAAAAATAGAAAAAAAAAAAAAAAACCCCAAACCTTAGCATCAGCAGAATGCGAAGGGTGGGGAAGGGAAGAGAAAAGTTTCCAGCTGTTAGCAGAGGGACACAGAGGTGTGAGGTGTTTTAGAACCGGTGTAACTATTGAAAGGGAAATTGCTTCAGACATTCTGCTGAATTCAGGCAACTTAAAATAAATGTCGAGATTATCTCTTTACTGAGTTAGGATTTCTGGTATAAGGTAAATCAAATTATTAAAAAATTAGAGACTTTATTGGTTTGCTTTTTGTGTGAATAAAGATTGATAACAATTTGGTCACAGACTGTAGAAGATCTCAGGCAAAACATAACATGCCCAAATGCAGGAAGCTGTTTCATTCTTGGTAAAGAACTAAGTTAGGTTAAAATAAGGGTTGTGGGTCAAATGAGATCAGTTAACCTTGTAGATCTAATGTATTAATAAGGATTGAACTTTTCTGATGAAAAGACCCGTTTCTCAGAGGCCTTCAGCTTTTCCCATGTCCTCTCTCCTCTCTTCCCTCCAATTTGCCTCCTGCTGTTTATTTTTGTATCAATTATCTTCCCCTCCTTAGTGTTTGTGGGTACTTCAACACTTAAATAATTTCTTTTGTTTGTTTTCCCCCTTTTCCTAAACTAGTTTCTTTTTAGTATTTTAGTCCCCAGTTCTTTTGGATATTTTTTATTTTAGAAAAAATCTCATGATTGAAGTAGTCTCATTTGCTTTATTGGTAACTTTTTATATTCCTTATATAAGTCATTGATGTTTAAGCAATCTTTGCAGTGGTAATTTCTTTTTTATCAGAGCGTAGCAGCCCTTTTCCACTGTGTTAGCTTTAACAGTCCTAATATTTAATTTCAACACTTGTTTGCTTAAAACAAGACAGATAAGGTGAGGCACCCTCATTTTTATTTTAAATATGCAAAATCCAGTAATAGCTGTATTATCTTCTCACCCCACTCTAAATGGTTTTTCAGCTACAGTTTTTTTTTTTTTGAGATGGAGTCTCGCTCTGTCATCCAGGCTGGAGTGCAGTGGCTCGATCTCGGCTCACTGCAAGCTCCACCTCTCAGGTTCATGCCATTCTTCTGCCTCAACCTCCCGAGTAGCTGGGACTACAGGCACCCGCCACCACGCCCGGTTAATTTTTTGTATTTTTAGTAGAGACAGGGTTTCACCGTGTTCACTAGGATGGTCTCGACCTCCTGACCTCATGATCCGCCCGCCTCGGCCTCCCAAAGTGCTGGGATTACAGGCGTGAGCCACCGCGCCCGGCCTCAACTACAGTTATTTTAAGTTGCCTGAATTCAGCATAATGTTTGATGCAATTTAGCTTTCAGTAGTTACTTTGGTTATTAAAAAAAATGCTCACATCTCTGTGTCCTGATGACTGTTGGTAAGTTTTCCCTTCCCTTTCCCACCCTTCCCATTCTGCTGATGCTGATTCATGTTTGTTTTTTCTTTTCATTTTTAAAATACTTTTGATTTTAATATTACATTATTTATTGCTTCTCCCAGTTAGTCTGTAATGAGAGGCAATTACTCCATATATTTATCCTAAATATTCTGTTTTTATAACCTTTAACTTGATACCTAGGGAACAAGCTAGGTTATTTTCCTTCCTTCCCTAATGTTTTGTTGTACCCTCATCTCTCCCTTATTTGGCAGAAGGAGCACCCTTTCCTTTATATGGGAGAGAAGGAGCAAAGGTTGTATACGGATGCAGCCCCATTTATTCACCTGGTGGTTCCAAGTTGAGAGTTTGTACCTGATGTCTTGCATTTTCTATGGGAAGTAGGAAGTGGGGTTATCTGAGAGTGAAGGAGCCGAGGAGAGCAATAGAGACTGAGCTGCACTGTAGTGCCCTAGGCTTCCCTAGGTTAAGGGGAGCACAATGAACACCGGTGCTAGAATAAGATCAGCCAAAACATGGATCTCTGTGTTTGGGTTGAGCTCATGCTTTCAACTGAAACACTGATTTGGTCTTCCTAGAAACAGCCAAACTGTTACTCATCCTTAATTTCGTGTAGTATTTTAGAAATTATCATTTTGCTTTCTGGGTAGAAAAACATTAAAGCTGGACTCCTGTTTCATTAGTTATATGATTTAATTAGATAATATATGATACTGTAAATACCAAGATTTCCACTTAACTTTTTCTGAATGTTTTTTAAAAATTAAAGGTGCACATTCAGTTTACTCCCACAGTCCAAAGGCATTTTGAGTATTTGCTTCTTATTGGAGGAGCTCTTGTGTAATGGGGCCCCTTAGGGTGAGGCCTTCGTTGCACTTCCTGCTGAAAGCTGCTGGTCACTAACAGCAAAAGATGTTTTAGTTGGATATGCTGGCTTAGACTGTGATGGGAAAAGCCAGAGGAGCTTTTAACATGCCTGTTTTAAGAGTGGGTAGAAAATCAGGTGAGGGATATGACCTTCCTAGAGTGGGCAAATATTTTCTCTCTGTTCAGATTCTGTAAATATTAAAGATTTGTCTAAAATATAAGAAGCTTCTGCATAACAAAGGAAATTGAAGAAAAGACTTGGAAGCCATATACCTGATAAAGGATTAATACCCAAAATATGTCAGGAACTCAAACAACTCTATAGGAAAAAAAACAAGTACTCTGATTAAGAAAAGGACAAGGGACCTCAAGAGACATTACTCAAAAGAAGACATAGATGGCTAACAGATACATGAACAAACGCTCAACCTCAATAATCATTAGGGAGATGCAAATTAAAACCACAGTGAGGTATCGCCTCACAACTGTTAGAATGACCTTTACCAAAAAGATGGAAGACAACAAAGCTTTGGCAAGGGTGGGGAGGAAAGAGAATGCTTATGCACTGTTGGTGGGAATGTAAATTAGTACAAGCCATTATGGAAAACAGATGGAGGTTCCACAACAAACAAAAAATAGAATTATCGTATGATTCCACAATCCCACTTTTGAGTGCTTACTGGAAAGATTGAAATCGGTAAGTTAAAGAAACGTCTGCTCTCACATTTTCGTTGCAGCACTATTCACAGTAGCCACGTTGTGGAATCAACTTAAGTATCCATCATTGGATGAAGAGATAAAGAAAACATGGTATATACAAATAATGGAATGCTATTCAGCCTTAAAAAGGAAGACATTGTGTTATTTGTGACAACATGGATGGAATTAGAGAGCATTATGCTGAGTGAAAAAAGCCAAACATAACAAATACCATATGTTCTCACTTACATGTGGGATCTATGACAGTTAAACTCATAGAAGCAGAGAGTAGAATGGTGGTTACCAGAGGCTGGGGGTGGGGGACGTGGGGAGATGATGGTCAAAGGCTGCAAAGCCTCAGGCAGGAGGAATAAGTCTCATTATTTTGAAATCTGTTGCACAGTGTGTTGAGTATAGGTAATAGTTCAGTAGTGTACATTTCGAAACGCTAAGAGTAAATTTCAGATGTTCTCGTTACAAAAAATGTTAAATACTTGAGGCAATGTATATGTTAATTAGCTTGAATTAATCATTCCACATTGTAGTCAAAAATCATAACATCACTTTTTGACCGGGCGCGGTGGCTCACGCCTGTGATCCCAGCACTTTGGGAAGCCGAGGCGGGCAGATCACAAGGTCAGGAGATCGAGACCATCTTGGCTAACACAGTGAAAACCCGTCTCTACTAAAAAAAAATGCAAAAAATTAGCCGGGCGTGGTGGCGGGCTCCTGTAGTCCCAGCTACTCCGGAGGCTGAGGCAGGAGAATGGCGTGAACCCGGGAGGCGGAGCTTGCAGTGAGCCGAGATCGCGCCACTGCACTCCAGCCTGGGCGACAGAGCGAGACTCCGTCTGAAAAAAAAAAAAAAAAAAAAAAAAAATAATAGCAACACTTTTTACCCCAGAAATATATGAAACTGTAATTCATCAATATATTATTAAAAAGTCTGTAAGCAAAAAAAAAAAAGGATTGTCAAGCCCTAGGTTTTTTTTTTTTAAGCTTGCCTCCCAGCTAATTGCTAAACATTCTGCTAAATATTTGGTAAAAGTAGAGAACGAAAAGAACAGAAAATTATGACATGGGAACAATTCAGTAAAACTTTCATCTGTGCTAGTGGCGCTTTTCGATTTCTTAGAGTAGGCAGAGTCTGCAGGCTGTATCTGGGCTTGCCTGTGGGTAAGAAGCTTGCCCATATTGACATGACTGTTGGCTGACAAAAATGGGCTTTTCCTGGCCCTCGTGTACAATTTTCCTTAAATTGGGCATAAGGATTGGTTGATCACCCTTTTCCTTAAAAAAGGGAAAATTTCATAATTTCAGTGTCAACCCATCCTAAGGTCTCCTAGTTCAACAGTGATCTGCTTAATGTCTGTTATAAATTATTCTTGCTGTAATTTATGGATAATTTCGTTGCCTCTTCCCAGTGGAAACAGGTATCAGCCCACACGCAGAAAACTGTCAGTAGTCATAGGATGTTTTTCTTCTTCTACCTTTAAAGCTATTTGTAAATATTTAACAAAGAGAACTTAACTGCCATTATTACCCCATATTCAGTAGCTCTTCTTTCACTCAGGGAACTGAGGCTTTCTCAAGAGATTCCTTTGGCATCCTAAACAACTTGCATTTGTGGTTAACATTATGGTAGCAGAAGCCTGAGTCATGAAAATGGTACTTAGAGATGGAAAAGATGTGTCAATGTTGAGCCAACTGTTCCCAGAACAGGATCTGAGGTTTCACATGCTGTCAGCAACATTAGCTAAGATGATAAGAAATTGATTTTACGGAACGCGTCTGCTCTGGTTTGTGTGTGAGCACGCCTGGATGTGCGTATTTTGTTATTTGTCCAAATAGTCCGTACTCTAAGTTTTGAAGTTTAGAAACATGACATGGAGAAAGACTGAAATAGAATATAATTTATCTCACTGACATACAGCAGTTGCTTCTTACTCTCAAGAAAAATGAAGAAATCTGGTGCTTAAAATATGACCCTTATCTTTCCTCTTCCATGCAGATGAGTCATCTCAAGTTTGAAACCTGAGTTTTCATGTCAGGCTGCCTGTGTGTTGCTGCAGCCTCTTGCTGGTGGCAAGATTCTATAAAGGGCTACACATACATGTATTTAGGAAACTTAAATTGTTCACACTGAATACTATCACTATGCTAAGGACATAGGAGGACCTAGGAAAGCTATGAGAAAGAAGTATATTGGAGAAAAACAGGAAGATTAGGGGCCTGGAACGAGGAAGGAAGAAGAAGAGAGAAGGATCTGCGTTTGGGGAGGGTGTGTTACAATTAGGAGCAGGCCTTCTGCAGCCAGATGTCTCATTTAAACCTGGACTCTCCGGTAACTGGCTGTGTGACTCTGAGGGAGGGAGTGTGCCTCCCGTTTGCGTCAGATTTCTCGTCGGTAAAATGAGGACCATCAATGTTGCCTACTAACTGGATTAATGCACTTAATTGCGACAGAATCTGGAACAAAACAAGGTCTGAGTATCAGTTATCCTTTATTATCATCAGAAATGCTTAGATCTGCACTGTCCAAGGTGGTAGCCACTGGCCACAGATAGCTGTTCAGCGCTACTGCAAACTGAGGTATGCGGTTAAGTGCCAAATACATGTGAAATTTCAAAGACAGCACAAAACAAAATGTATCAAATATTAGTAAGTTTTATATCATGCACATGTTGAAGTGATAATGATTTTGGATATATTGGGCTAAATAAAATAGATTGTTAAATTAATTTAACTTTTTTTTAATGTGGCTACAAGGACATTTAAAATGACATACATAGCTCACATTATATTTCTGTTGGATAGCGCTGGTCTCTACACTTCCCTTAAATGGCAAGAGCAGAGCAAGAAAATCAAATCCTAGATTTTAGTGGAGAGAGGGAAACAGTGGGGCTATTGGGCTTCACAAGCATCAAAGGCAGTATATAAAGACAGAGATAACACGACAGGATTGAAAGAAACCACATCATGATGCAGCCTTCAATTCGCATCCCACGAGCACAGCGCTGTGCAGTATGAATTGATTTTTTTTATGAATCTTATGCAAATGAGCAGCACAATTACGATATTTATGTAGTTGTTTAAAGTTCAGATGTTTCCAATGCAAACGTTTAGTATATTCCAGAGTTTTTTCAACTTTATTATTTTTTTCTTTTTTAACCCTGTGAGCATCAAAATGTGCAATTGGCCTGGGCCTTGTGTCTGCCTCTGAGAGGCCATCCCAAATCCAAGCTTGATAGGCATTAAAAAAATGGAATCTTCATGCCTAATGAATGCATATGTTCTTAATTTTTATGTTCCATATTTGATGTGGTCTGGAAAATATATTTGCTTTTAAAGCAACAACAAAAAAAGCACAAAATGGAGATGTCCCTGTGTTCTAAAAGGAAAGAAGGTACTGCCAAGTTGAGTTCAGGTACCCCAAGGTCATCTTGTCATTGGTGGGAGGAAGTGGGGGACCCTATCCACTGCACACAGGTTACTCCCAAGAGTGTGCTGGGGGTGGGGGTTGGGATGGCCTCTCTGGGCACTCCAGGTGGGACAGAATGTTTTCGGGGAGATTTGGCTCTGGTTTTGACTAAGCTTGATTTAACTTTATCCTACCTTTTCTTGCAGTGAAATATGAGGAGTTATACTGCTTTTCATTCAACCCCATGCTGGATAAAGAAGAAAGAGAGCAAGGCTGGGTGCTGATCGATCTTAGTGAAGAATACACGCGGATGGGCCTCCCTAATCATTACTGGCAGCTCAGCGATGTGAATAGAGACTACAGAGTGAGTGCGTGAAACCCAAACACTGAAGCCGCATGAAATTAGGGTTTCAGCCAGCTTAGCATCCCTTTATTTTTATCTCCTTCAGGTTTTATAGCTCTTTGTAGATATCCATATGTGGATTTCCAGGTCTCTCTTGGTTAGTGCCAGCTGTATTTACAACCTGGACCTAGAATCAAAACGTTTGAACCTGCTATACAGATCACCCCTTCCAGACCCTTCATCTCACGGTTGCAGAACTTGAAACCCAGAGAGGCCGGGTGGCAGGCCTTGTGGACAGGCAGTTGGTGGGAGAGCTGGCCTGGATCTCATTCTCCCATCAGGTCTTTTTATAGTGTAGTGAGTGATTAGTGGGCAAGTCAGGGAGACTCTGAAGGCAGTTTGGCACCGGCTCCTCTATGTACTCACTGAGTCCTTGCTTGGTACACAAGGTCACCAAGAGGCTTCCCTAGAGAAACATGTCTACACTCACAGGAAGGAATATGGAGAGGCAGGGAAGCTAGAGTGGCAGAATTAATCCCATCTTCTCCTTAATGACAGGCTTACAGATCAGGGGTGGTTTCACTATAATTTTAAAAATATTTGAGTAACAAAAGTAATGTGAGAACATCCTAGATAGTTTACAAAAGGAAAAAAAAAAACCCCAAACCCACCATCCCATTTTTAAAACATTCTTCTGTTTTAAAATTTTCCTTCAGTTGTTTTCTCATCTGTATAGTTTGATAACTTTTTTCATATGTAAGTAATGCATATTCATTATTGAAAATTGGAAAACATAGAGCAAAAGGGTATTAAATCACCTAAAACTGCCATCATTCAGAGATAGCCACTGTTATTATATCTGGCCAATAGTCTTCTGGGATTTTAATGTGTATATTAATTTTTTATGTTTGCACACACAAACCTATTTAAACATATATAACAAAAATGGAATCATTACATGTGCCTTATATTCTGCTTTTCTTCACATACATATTGTGACATTTTTCTGTCAATAATTATATTTGTAAAACACTGCATAGTATTACCTAAGTATGGCTGTATCAAATAATATCTACCTGCTCTCTAATTTTTAGACATTTAGATCGTCATTACTCATCACTATTTTAAATAATGGAGAACATCCTGGTAACTATACCTTTGCCCATATTTTAATTTTTTTAAAAGATAGCATTTTAATATAATTTTTATGTCAAAACACCTACACAAAGTTTTGTACATGTTGTCAAAAATAATTGTGGAAAGGTTGTACCAATGTCTATGAATTCTCAATTGTGAATGCTTGATTCCTTATACCCTCACCAGTAAAGAGTTAGTTTTTAAAAATCTTTTGATACCTTGATGGTATAATGAGTGATTTCTTATTTTAATTTAATCTTCATATCTTGATTTCTTGAGTTGTAGCTTTTTCTATATTGATTGACCATTTGTATTTTATCTCCTGATAAATGACCATTTCCAGTTGCATATTTTGAATTCTGGGTATTTTCTTGACCTTGTCACAGGGATTTTCTTTCAGGTTTTTTTTTTTTTTTAAGGAAACAGGGTTTCACTCTGTTACCCAGGCTAGAGTACAGTGCAGTATAGCTCACTGCAGTCTCAAACTCCAGATCCAAAGCAATCCACCTGAGTAGCTAAGATTACAGGCACATGCTACCATAATTGCTTAATTTTTCAAAGTTTTTGTAGGAATAAGTTCTCCCCATGTTGCTCAGGCTGGTCTCGAATTCCTGGGCTCAAGCAGTCCTCCTCCCTTGGCCTCCCAAATTGCTATAATTATGTGTGAGTCATCTCGCCCAGTTTCACGAGGATTTGCTACATTGCTATATGGTACTTAAACAATCAATGAAATGATTGTACAGTAGTCCGTCAAATGAATGTACTGTAAAGTACTAAAGTATTTCTTTATTAATACGCATTTAAGCCAGGCATGGTGGCTCATGCCTGTAATCCCAACAGTTCGTGAAGCCATGGCGAGGGGACTGCTTGAGCCCTGGAGTTTGAGACCAGCCTGGGCAACATAGGGAGAACCCCATTCCCACAAAAGCAATTTAAAAAATTAGCTGGACATGGAGGTGTGCACCTGTAGTCCCAGCTGCTTGGGAGGTCGAGGCTGGAGGATTGCTTGAGCCTGCGAGGTTGAGGCAGCAGTGAGCCATGATCGCGCCATGCACTCTAGCTTGGGCAACAAAATGAAACCTTGTCTCAAATTTTTTAAAAAGGGCTTTTAGATTATTTAGACTTTTTTTTGCCATATGAATAATTCTTGATATAGTATCCTTATGTGTATAATTTCCCCCAACTTAAAATTATTTTATAAGAAAAATCTTTCCTGAATCTACCAAAAGGCATAAAGGGCCTAATTGTTTTAAAAATTACAGACAGGTAGGATACTGATGTTTTTGTTTTTGATCAGTATTTGTTAGTTTCTAGTCCCTTATATTGCATTCAGTGCACATGGCCTATAGAATTCATATTTGGGGAATGTTTTGAAGACGTATGTCATCATAAAACACAGTATTCTATTTTTAATAAGTATTTTGAGTCTGGAAAAATGTGTATTCTCTATTATTTAGGTGTGAAATTTCGCATTTATCTAAATTGAATTTCTTATTATTTTGGTCTCTTTGCTCAATTGATTCTGACAGAGGTATGTGAAAATATTCCTGTTATGATTGTGATTGGACATTTTCTCCTTAAGTCCTAACATGTTTGCATTATATATTTTAAAGTTACTCTGCTTAGCACGTAATGATTAAGGACATCTGCTTGGTGTATTCTTTTTGTCAGTTTCACATATCCCTTTTCCTGTGAATTATTTAAACTTTGAATTCTATTTTATATGATTATATTTCCACTGTTTCTTTCTCTTTGTCAGAGTTTGCTTGGTGGAGCTCTGTTTAACCCCTTCTTTTTAACCTTCTTATGTAAATGTTTTGTCTTTTTAAGCTGAGTTTGGTTAGATTTTTTTACTCAATCTGAAAATCTTTTTTGCGGTAAAATACTATCTGTGATATTGTTCTAGATATCTTGTATTGTATGTTTTGTCAATTATGCTTTTTCCTTTTTCATGTCTATGACTGGATGGTTTTTCCCTGTATTTGCTTGTAATTATTTCAGAAGTATATACCCTATTGCTTTTCCTCCACTGAGTATCTTTCATTTAGAATAAAAGTTACTTAAATCATCCTACAAAGTAGAGAAGGAAAAAAAGAAAAAAAGTTATTTATTTCTTATGGCACACTTATGGCATACACAGGACTTTGAAGAATAACGGAATGAATGCCAGGGATCCATGTGCTGTATAAGAATGAACATCACCAGTGCTAGTTAATTTCCCAGATGTTCCTTCCAAATTGTCTCTTGCTCCAGCATCAATGTCTGCAGTTTGGCATTGCTATTCCTTTGCCTTTATTATAGCATGTCTACATTTCTAAATATAGGAAGGCCTCACTTAATGTCAGTAGGTTCTTGGAAACTGCGACTTTGAGTGAAACGATGTACAGGATATTCTCAAATAACATCATTTTGCTCGACATCATTTTGTGATAGCTATGAGGGAAAAAAAGGTGTTTTATGTTCTTTTGCTTAAAGTTGCAATTGCCTACAACCTGAGGGCATTGTTGAGCAAGGACTTACTGTAGTAGTATGTGGTATTGTTTTGCATGTTTTTATACTGTCTGTACTTGGTCTGCATATGCTGTATATAGTTTTCTGAAGTTTGACTTTTCACTCAACATGGTAACATTTGTATTTGTCATCCATTTCGTTTAAGAAACATGTATATAGTTACTACATGCCAGGTACTGTTCTAAAAACTTGATAAATGTTAGCAAATATTAGTTCTGTGTATAGTAGTATTATTATTTCTACTTTACAAATGGAGAAAGTATGACAGAGAGATTAAGTAATTGTCTAAGGCATAGAGAGATTAGTAACTGTTGATACTGATAGCTCTGATTCCTTCATTTTTCACTACTGTGTTGTATTCCATTTCACAAATATAACATAGTTTTAAAAATTACTCATCCTTCCCTCTTTCTTTCTTTTTTTCTTTTGTTGGTTGTGTTTTGTTGTCATGAATAAAGCTGTTAAGTGGGCTGTATATGTCTTGTAGTATATTGTGTTTCTACTTAGGAGTAGAGTTTATGAGCTAGAGAGTATATAGATTTGAGCTTTACTAAATTCTGGAAAATTCTTTTCTAAAGTGTTTGCGTGGACATATTGGCCTGCTTGCAAGATATGAGTTCTCATTACGGCACAGACTCCCCGACGGTTGGTATTGATGTGATATTCGCTGGTATTCTTCTTTGTTGATCCCACAGTGCCACTTCTGAGAATTTATTCTGTGGATTTAATAGCATACACACACACTGATACCCAAGGTTATTTTATTTTATTTTATTGAGACAGGGCCTCACTCTGTTGCCCAAGCTAGAGTACAGTGGGGCGATCTCAGCTCACTGTAACCTCTGCCTCCTGGGTTCAAGCAATTTTCCTGCCTCAGCCTCCCAAGTAGCTGGGATTACAGACACCCACCACCACAACCAGATAATGTTTGTATTATTATTATTAGTAGTAGTAGTAGAGATGGTATTTCACCATGTTGGCCAGGCTGGTCTTGAACTCCTGACCTCAAGTGATCTGCCCGCCTCTGCCTCCCAAAATGTTGGGATTACAGGCAAGCCACCATGCCTGGACCCCAAGGTTATTTTTTTGAAGCGTTTTTCATAATAGTAAATATTAGAAGAAACCCAAATATCTTTAATTAGTTTCTTGGAAACTGTGACTTTCCAAGAACCTAATTCTTGGAATGGGGGCCAGCTAAATAATTTTTGCTCTATCCGTATGATTAAGTTAGTTTGTAACCATTAAAGGAAATGTGGAAGGTTCCTATGTACTGATAAAAATTGCTAAAATATATTGTTAGGTTAGAAAAAGCAAGACACAATATGGTGAATATAGTATAATACCTTTTGGCTTAACAAAGGAGGGAGAATAATAACACGTTTGCCCAAAAGTGATAACCTAGAGTGGTGTTGGTAATGGGGTGGATAGGACACAAGGATGAAAGTGGGATTTCTTCTCCTGCTCCAGCACCACTGGATGCAGTTTAGCATTGTTGTTCCTTTGCTTTTATTTGTAGCATTTTATGCACCTTTTGGTATTGTTTCATTTATATAACCATGTGGATTTATTAACTGGTCTTAACTTTGAGCCAAACTGATTGGTATGAATTGGATCTCGATGTGGTTTTTGCATTGACCTGATTGACTAGTGAGGTTAAGCTTGTGTTTCTTGGCTGTTCATGTTGACTCTTCTGTGAATTATCTACTCACATTTTTGCTCTTTTTTCTATAAGATTATTTGTTGTTTTCTTGTTGTAGTTCTTTATATAATGTAGCCAATAATTTGTTATAATTTATAGCTCTTGCAGATATCTTGTCTCAGGAGATTCTGATACACTGTTCCAAGTTTCTTCAGAAGTTTTGAGTTGTCAATCTTTCTTACCATGTTTTGTCTTTTAGCATACTGTTTTTTTTTTTAATTTTTTAATCCTGGTCTGTTTGCTAAACTTTGTCCCAATTTGACGCTGTATAAATCCCACAATTATATTTTTACCAGTTATGATTATTATGGCTTTATAATCTTGATACTTAAAAGTCAGTTCTTTGACATAATTCATCAGGATATCTTGAATTTATGGATTATTTGGGCTAGAATGGACACTTCCATGACACTGAATCTTCCTCTTAATTACACTTAAATTTAACAACCATAAAGTTAATTATTATAAAGTATCTGACTCATGTAATCAGACTAATTTGTTCTCATACTAAAGCTAACTTTTGCAGTGAATTTTTAGCCTTGAAAGAAAGGAAAATCCAAGTTTAGTAAAGAAAATTGGATACTCTTTTTGTTAATATGACACATCCTTGGGCAAGGAAGAAAATGAGACTGAACCACATCTTGTGGAATAACGTCTCCTTGGAAATACAGGTTCTTCTGTTTTTGATGAGATTTCCTTCTAGAATTAGCGCATAAACATGACTCATATATAGTCACTTAAGTCCTACGTTGCACAGCCTGCAAAACATGAGTTACTCAGCATTTCTTTTCAGAAGCAACACACAGCAAAACAAAACTAACAGCAAAACAAAACTAACAAGGAACAAACTGTTTTGAAGCAGAAAAGGTAAAAACCTAGGGGATTTTCTGATTTTGCAAATATCACCGAAATGGGAGGAAGATGATGTATCCTGATTTGTCACTAACTTAGCAAGAGAACACAAGTTGTCTTATTTCAGAAAATTTTTGACTAATAATCCATGGAGAGAGAGATATCCAAATCCATTCCTTTTGCTTTTGACCCCATGGCTGAGAAAACGTTTACTTTTTCCTCTCTTGTTTGACAACTTATCTTATTTCTTCTCACAAATCCTTTGAGGTCGGTGGGTCAGGAAGTGTCATTTGATGGAAAAGAAACAATTGTCGATGGTGGAAATAACAGCAGACGTAGAATACAAAACTTAGATTCTAGAACCAATTCTGCTATTTTCTTTGGCCTTGGGCAGGCTAATTATTACTATTATCTGTATCATCTTACCACCATCGCTATTTATAAGACACTTGCTTATGGTAGTCTAAGTCTCTAAGCTCAGATTTCTTTTTTTACCTAACCCTTGAAATTGTCTTTATTTAAATAAAGTAATTTGTATTCATTGCTAGGTTAAAGTTTTAATCTAACTCTCTTGGAATAAAATATAAAATACAACCCAAACCAGTCAGTTTATTAAAGCTCATTTATTTCAGTTCTCCACAGCTATATTTTATGTATCATGCATTATTTTGTTTTATTCACATATATGTCATTTTATCCTGTTCATAACCTCCTCCTTCTCCCTGTTCATCATAAATTCCTTGAAATAAATTTTAGCACTGAAATGTTTAAGAAGATTGTCTGTATAGATATCTCTCAGTTTCTGACAACTCTTACCCTACAGTGCTCAGATGAATGATTGGTCCTTGGAGGGCTGAGTGACACTTTTGGATTGCATCTTAGATGGCTAGTAGCCTGCAGTGATAAATATATTTACTGGAAGATTCTAACTTGGTTAACAAAGATCAGCTGTCCTGGGAGTGTGAAATCTTCAAGGCCAAAAACTCTTACTCATTTCTGCTCTTGCAGCTGAGAGTAATGCCTGGCGTATAGTAAGTACTCAGTAAAAGCTTGTTGAATGAGTGAAAGAGTTACCAAAAGATTCCCCTTGCCAGGACAGCACCAAGGGATGTGGGCACTCCAGGAAGGTCAATTAATTTAGTGGAGCACAAAGAAAATCGGTTTCCTTATTCATTTTAAAAAATGGCAAAGTGATTAACTGACTAATCCACTTTCATTAACTAAGGCAGAGTGCATGTAAAGAAAATTCAGGAGAAAAACATTTTCCATTCCTCTGAACTTCTCATATTCTCTCTGAATTTTGTCAGGTGGTTTTCCAAACCAGACAAAATCCTGAGAGGCATACTGAGGTGTTTGAAAATTAGCGACATATGTTGCATCATTGTGCGCATTATGTATTGTCAGAGTTTTGACTACAACTCTGTGAGCTTGTTGCAAAAATGGCAGCAGTCAATGCTAAGATTGTTTTCCCTTTTCTTTTTTCATTGTGATTTAAAAAATGCATAACGTAAAGTTTGCCATCTTAGTCATTTTTAAGGTATAGTTTAGGAGTGTTAAGTAGATTGACATTCTTGTACTATAATAGATCTCTGGAACTTTTCAACTCCAGAACTGATACTCTATACCCATTAAACAACTCCCCATTCCCACCTACCACAGCCCCTGGCAACCATCATTCTACTTTTTGTTTCTATGAATTTGACTACTTTAGATACCTCATATAAGTGGAATCATACAGTATTTTCTTTTTGTGACAGGCTTATGTCATTTAATGTCCTCAAGGTTCATCTGTGTTATAGCATGTAACAGGATTTCCTTCCTTTTTAGGGCTGAATAATATTTCATTGTAATGATATACCACATTTTGCTTATCCATTCATCACTTGATGGACATCTGGGTTGCTTCCACCTCTTGGCTGTGAATAATGCTCTGCGGATATGGTTGTGCAAGTATCTCTTGGAGATTCTGCTTTCAAGTCCTTTGGGCATACATCCAGAAGTGAGATTGCTGGATCATGTAGGAATTCTATTTTTAAATTCCTGAAGAGCCTCCATGCTGTTGTCCATAGTGGTTACATAATTTTATATCCCCATCCACAGTGCACTAGGGTTTCAATTTATCTGAGTGCTCACCAGTACTAGTTTTATTATGTTTTCATTCTTTCATTTTGTAATAGTGGCCATCCTAACAATTGTGAGTTAGCATCTCATTGTGGTTTTGATTTTGATTTCCCTAAGATACGCAATTTACTAATAGCTTCTCACATTCTGTAGGTTGCTTTTTCACTTTTGATTGTGTCCTTTGATGTATAAAAGTTTTTAAGTTTGATATGGTTCCATTTGTCTAGTATTTTCTTTTGTTGTCTCTGCTTTTGCTGTCATACATAATAAATCAGTGCCAACTCCAATGTCATAAAGCTTGTCCCTTATGTTCTTTTCTAGGAGTTTAATACTTTTGGGTCTTATGTTTAGGTCTTTAGTCCATTTTGAGTTAATTTTTTTATATAGTACAAGATATGACCCATCGTTATTTTATTTTACTTTTGCATGTGGGTATCTAGTTTTCCCAGTACCATCTGTTGAAGAGACTAATCTTACCCCATTGAGTAGTCTTGGCACCCATGCTATGGATCATATGACCATATACATGAGGGTTTACTTCTGGGTTCTCTATTCCATTGGCCTATTTGTCTGTCTTTATTCCAGTACCACACTGTTTGATTGCTGCAAAATAGATATGGCTTTGTACTATATTTTGAAATTATGAAGTGTAAGTCCTCTTTGTTCTTTTTCAAAATCGTTTTTTGCTATTTGGGGTCCCTGGAGAATCCATGTAAATTTTAGGATGAATTTTTCTACTTCTGCACAAAATGCCCTTGAGATTTTGATAGGGATTGCCTTGTGGTTGCTTTGTGTAGGATGGACATCTTCACAATATTAAGTCTTCCAGTGCATGAACACAGGTATCTTACCATTTACTTGTGTCTTTAATTCCTTTCAGTGGTGTTTTATATTTTCAAGGTAGGATTGTTATTTTAATTTCCACTTGAGAGTGCTGTCTACTTTGATGAAAGCAGGACAAATATCCATGCTTCTAGCTTGGTAAGAGGTTGTATCTTCCCGTGTTAACTGACACCCTAAATCTGCTTTTCTCAAATGCATTCTAGCTTCTTAGAGTTCCCCGAGCAAGTACTCATCAGAATGCCTTATAACTTAAGCTGTGACCCATGGAGCTTTTTCCCCTAGACCCAGTGCTCTGGGGAAGGCAGAAATCCTCATAACTGGTATTGTGTTCATAGAGGGGAGGCCTCCACATCTGATGCAAGCCTGGCCATTGGTGACTGGGCGCAGGTTGTTGAGCTCTTTGTCCTGGCACATGCCAAGCCATCAAAATCTACATACCTCTACTCTGCAGAGTGAGAGCTCTGGTGCTCTTAGAGGGCAGGAGGTGGTCTTCTTGCTCCTTTGTGAATCAAGAGGGCCCTGAGTTGGGGCCAAGGAGAGTGGGCCTCTGGGTGTTGATTTTCTCTGTTTGGTCTCATTCCAGCTATGGTGCACACAGGGCCTTGATGCCAGTGAACCTAGGTGTTTATTTAGCCTTAGAAGACCATAAAAGGGCCTAGCAGGAGCTTATCTCTTGCTCTTCAAAGAGGCTGTCTGAAATAAGCATGTTGACAAATCTTGCATGTTACTGTTATTTAATCATGAAACTTTGCAGTTCCTTAGTGTTGTTACAAGGAAGAATGTAGGTAATTCCCAACTTGCTGAAAACCTACTCATTTCCTTTTAAAAACTGTTATTTTAGGAAAATGTTGTTGGTCTGGTGCAATGACTACATGTCTCTTGAACCTCAAACAAACAGGTGTGGTCCACGTCATAGTCTTCTAGCTGGCTGACTTCATGGAGGTTCAGACACCAGATTGGCAAGGGGGAGGGAGTGCCGTGTTTTATGGCAGTCTTCCCAGCTAAAGCTCTCTGAGTCCAAGTTGGTTGAGCCTTCTGTTCTTGGCAGATTTTCCTTTAGAGTGTCAGTGCCACAGGCCATGTTAAACTCTTTGGTAATCTTCTTTCCTAAAATGTCTGGTAGAACCCTGAAATTAGACTTTGGGCCTGTGAACATCTCTTCTGTGGCCCTTTTATTCCCTGCTCTATGTAGTTTTCTATTCTGCTAACAAAGACAGTGGAGGTCAGCAAGGGAGGCATCATCACAGAAGACTTTATAAGAGGCTTGGATTTCAGTTGTGGGTTTTCAACCCCTACAAACCCATCTTCCAGAGTGATAAAGGTGGGTGGAGATGGACACAGGGCCTGCAGATAAAGTATTTCCCCTTGATGTGGGTTTCTGTGTCCCCACCCAAATCTCATCTTAGATCGTAGCTCCCATAATCCCAACATGTCATGGGAGGGACCCGGTGGGAGGTAATTGGATCATGGGAGCTGGTCTTTCCCATGGTGTTCTCATGATAGTGAATAAGTCTCACAAGATCTAATGCTTTATAAAGGGCAGTTCCCCTACACACGCTGTCTTGCCTGCTACCACGTAAGACGTGCCTCTGCTCCTCCTTCACCTTTTGCCATGCTTATGAGGCCTCCCAGCCATGTGGAACTGTGAGTCCATTAAACCTTTTCCTTTATAAATTACCCAGTCTCAAGTGTTTCTTTATAACCGTATGAAAATGGACTAGTACACCCCTGTTGTTAGACGTACTTGAGGACTCCCTTGAGATGACGAGGAAGATGTTTGACATCCAGGAAGTAAAGAGGTGCCTGACATATCCCAGGACACTTCCATGTGGGTGATCTTCACATTGCGAAAAGACTGATGGACTGAAGTGAAAGCAAAATGTGTTGAGCAACAGTAGCCTCAACTGCTATCACTGTTGCTACCACTAACATTTGTTTTGGATTTAGTGGTTTATAAAGTGCTTTGCCATGGGTGTTGCCGGATTTGATCCATCTGTCAACCCCATGAGATATTGTTGCTGCAGTATCACTTCTAGAGATTAGCAAACCACAGTGCACCGTGTAGTTTGGCTTCCCCAGGGTCATGAAGTTGCTCAGTCAGAGCCAGGTCCTAAACTGCTGATTTCTGGTTCTTAATTGCAAGATCCTTCCAAGGCACCCTTCCACTGTGGTAGTCACTCTCAGGAATGCGTAGAAAGAGTACATCGATCCTTACCACTTATCAACTCAACACATAAGAAACAAAAATCAAGCTGTTACATTGCGCGGTAATCTGTGGCACATTAGGAAATCTGCATGGGCTGAAAGGTCAAGGAAGAAGCTTCCCGAAGGAGGTGGAACTTCGATTGGCCCTTGAAGAACGGATGGGATTTGGGAAGGTGGAGGGCAGGAGTGTCCGGGGAGGCATCAGCTTGTGTGATGTGTCAGGGTCAGGAATGCACACTGGGCGTGTCAGAGCCACAGAGTTAACCTGCTGGCTTAACCAGTGTGCTTATGTTTTAGGAAAACTGTCTCCTGGTGTCATTCTGTCTTTCAAGCAAATCCTGGCAGCTCAGATTTTCTCAGCCAGGGTGCAAAATGGCAGTTTGTCTCTTTTTGATGAAAGGAAGGCTTCATTGTCACTGGTCTTGCACAAAGAGCCCTTGGAGAGAGGGGACAGTGCACGGGGACAGAACACTAAGGGTAGCTTGCGTTCCTTCAGAATGATTACATAGAATCAGCGGCACTTCCTTCCTCTGAAGTGGCTTTGAGTTTCCTCGAAATAGCCTCCTCTGTAACATGGTTAAGGGAACTTAAGGATGTACCTGTAAGCGTGGTGAAGTGGAATTTCTGGGGGCAGTTCGCAGGGCATTACTAGATGGCCTAAAAATCTCTTTGTATTTTCTGGTGACAGGTCTGTGACTCTTATCCTACTGAACTGTACGTTCCCAAATCGGCCACGGCACACATCATAGTGGGGAGTTCCAAATTCCGGAGTAGACGGCGATTTCCTGTCCTTTCTTACTATTATAAAGATAACCACGTAAGTCTCGAGGCGTGTTTTTGTTTTACACTTTGCTTTTCTAGTTTATCATAAGCAGGCATTTTCTAGCTGCCTTCTGCTGTGCGTGTGTGTGTGTTTGAATTCTTCAGAAGGTATGTGGATATTCCTGTGCATGGTATGACATGATACAACTATGCTAAGTCCTTATCTCATGTAGACTTCCTATGTTTATTTGACAGTAATGTAATGATTCAGAAAATGACTCAATAGATTCAGAAAACCCCTAAAGCTAATCATGCAAGTGAATACTGTCCTAAGTGGGCACCTTGGGAATCTCTTTGCTTATTCAGTGCTGGAGATCTGTGGCATGCCTATTTTAGAAAAGCCCCCGAAGTCCATGGCCCATTCTTTTTCTCTATTACGTTTTTTTTTTTTTTTTTTTGAGACAGAGTCTCACTCTGTCACCTGGGCTAGAGTGCAGTGGTGCAATCTCGGCTCACTGCAACCTCTGCCTCCCAGGTTCAAGCAATTCTCCTGCCTCAGCCTCTTTTGTAGCTGGGATTACAGGCACCTGCCAACATGCCCAGCTAATTTTGGGTTTTTTTTTTGTATTTTTAGTAAAGAAGGGGTTTCACCATGTTGGCCAGGGTGGTCTTGAACTCCCGACCACAGGTGACCCACCTGCCTCGGCCTCACAAAGTGCTGGGATTACAGGCGTGAGCCACTGTGCCCGGCCTTATTACCTGTTTTTAAATTTCATGTTCTTTTGAGTATCTTCAGTATAAGAAATCTTTGGTTATAGAGAGCATGGGTTTTATTTTTAAAATATTATTTATAAAAGCCAGAATTGGGTTTGTCTGTAATAGAGACTCTAAGTAACAGTGGCTCTAAGAGGATACAATTTTTTTCTGTTGCGTAAAATTACCAGGGTGCGCAGTCCTAGCCTGGTAGCCTGGCCCCACCCCACTTAGCCTTCAGGTACTCAAGCTCCTTCTACCTTTCTGCTCTACCACCACCTGGATTTGGCCATGGCCTGCCTGGTGCAAGAGGTCACTTCAGTACAGTCACCACCCACACACTGCAGGTGGCAGGTGACGGAGGGCTAATGTTGTGTGCCCAGCTTTTTAAGGAAGGCTTCCAAAAACTGCCACGTGACACCTCCCTTTCATCAGAATTGCACAGGGCAGGTGTGGAAGTACAGTGTTATGGGTGGCCATTAAAATAGCTAAAACTTAGAGTTCCATTTCTGCGGAGGATAGGAAAACAAATTCGGATGAGCAAGAATGGTCTTTGGCACCCACTTTTAAAAGGTAGCAAAAAACCACCTTTAAAAAAGGTGGTTTAAAAAAACAAAATGTTCTTTGGTTCTAGCAAGGTGAGAGAGAAACTTTAGTTTTTAAGCTAGATAATATACTTCTGGATTCAAAGCCGAGTGAGGCTATAAACACAGGAGATTGTGTGAGTGTGTATCCACATGCCTGCACCTACAGCCGGGGGGTAGAGCAGGGTCTCAGTCAGATTCTAGAAGCTTCCAAAAATATCTGGAGCAATGCCAGCTTCATCAGAGTGAGCACATAGCCCTCTCTGTTGCTACTTTGAAGGAAAATATTAATTTGGTGGTGAAAGTTCTGTGAATTGGATAAAAATTATTTTTAGTTATACTCATTGCTCTTCTTCTTTTCCTAGCCTTGAATTAGGGTCTAAAGTATTTTATTAACTCTGAATGTATTTCAGCTTGCACAGAGCTGGAGCACTGGTTAGAGGCAAAGGAAGATGTGATTTTTTTTTTTTTTTTTCGGAAACAAGATCTCACTTGTCGCCCAGGCTGGAGTGCAGTGGCACAATCTTGGCTCACTGCAGCCTTGACCTCCCCAGACTCAAGTGATCTTCCCATCTCAGCCTCCCGAGTCACTGGGACCACGCGTGTGCCACCCGGCCCAGCTAATTGTTTTGCATTTTTTGTAGAGACGAGGAAAGCCATGTTGCCCAGGCTGGTCTTGAGCTCCTGTGCTCAAGTGATCTGCCTGCCTCGGCCTCCCAAAGTGCTGGGATTACAGGTGTGAGGCGCCGCCCCTTGCCTCTTTTTTTTTTTTTTTTTTTTTTTTTTATTAAGATAGGATAAATAGAGATAGGAAGTTTCATGATGTTGCACTTGAAATTAGGTTGCTGGTAACATGCACATTTTTTTTTTTGTAGCATCCATTGATTAAAGAAGAGAGAAGATGAATCCAGGAGAGGGAGAAACGATCTTTTATTGTTGTTTCAGAGGTGTTTTATTGTTGTCTGTAGAATATTTAAAAAGTGAGCACAGTGTGCCTAGCAACTCCCTTTTTATATTCTTGAGACAAGGGACATTTTACTTTTTGTCAATGTGAGTAGTATCAGGATTAAATATGTATTGTCTCAGAAAGAGAATTTTTAGCAGTTAGACCTCAGAGGCAGCTTCTTCCCCGGCTGACCTCAGACCCACATGGCTCCACGCCTGCTCCCCCAAGTGCTATTTTACTGAACCTCCAGGCCTGAAAATGAACTCACACAGCATAGTTAGAGCTTAAGAGTATTCATTGCCCATATTTAAGATTTTAAAGCAGAAACAACCTGAAGCTCTAGCTCTTCTTCCAAGGTACAGAACAGAGATGTGTCTCGAAGCAGCGCTGCGTGATCGGGTTACCCCAGGGAAGTCCCGAGTGAGCACACACCTGCCCGCCCACTCTCCCACCCCATGAACTGAAATCTATTTTGCAGGTGGAATAATGATCAAATTTGTGTTTTATAACAATGTTTACATTTTAATATCAAGGTTAATTATATAAATGCTTCTGATTTGACTAGGGCTTTTCCTAAAGGGAAGTATTATTACCAAAGGTGGATTTCTGTGCTTAATGGAAGACACTGAAATACCAGAGTAGTTATCTGTGCTGTCATTGCTCATCGATGGCCGTATAGAAAACAGGCAGTCTCCCACAAAAAGTAAACAGGTACACATTCCATAAATTTGCTGATCTGTCTTTCTTCTCTTTGGTTATTTGAGACATTTTAGGCTTAAAGAGTATGTATTCCTACCCCCAAAGAATTTATGCTTATGAATAAGGATACTACATTTTATAGTGAAAATACTGTTTCCCACGTATGCTACCAAAGGGACACTTTTGATTTTGGTGGTGAGATGACTTGGCTAATTTTGGGCACTGGGAACTGGTGATCAGATTAGGAGAAGCTTGAAGTGCACGAGATTTTATGAACCTGAAGTTCTGTTCAATATAAAGGCCCCTGTGGAGGGTCCATCTTTCCCTTTGTATCAGCTGTTACCACATGTAGTGTTAGGTTGGTGCAAAAGTAATTTCAGTTTTTGCCATTACTTTTAATGGATGTAATCACATTCTTTCACCCCTGTGGTGAGGGAGGGATTCCTGCTCTAGGTTACAGGGACAGCCAGACACACAGCACTTGACACTGGGCAGGTGAGATGAACAGTCACATATACTCACTGCCAAGGGGAGGAGGACACCACAGCCCATGAAGGGGCACATGAGGTTGCGCTGAGGAGCAGAGTGACAGCCAGGGGCTGTGAGAGGCAGGCTGTGTAGTATCAGGAGCGTGGGGTCACCCTTGGTTCCCACAGGAGGATGTGATTAGCTTGCGTGCATCATTCCATGACTGGCAGGGAACTAAAACCTGCTTCTGGGGGACGGGCAGGAACTGCACCTGGTCTGTTGGATAAGAATTGTTTCACTTGGGAACCTTACCTGCAGGAGCAGAGCGTGGCAGGGAACTTGCAGTGAGGCCATTTGAGGCCCTCTCGGTTTTACCAGATGTCGAAGCAACACATAATATTAATTTTAGGCCTTACGCACATGGGTTATGTAGAGCCACGTGGGCTCCCTTTGAATATCCAGCTATTAACAGCTTTATAGATCATGGTTAGAGATGCTTAGTCATGTGCGTTCGGAATTCTGTGCATCTTTCTTTGAGAGTTCTTAGAATTGCTATAGCCTTTGTTCTTTATTACGCTAGGATTTTTTTTTTAAAGTTTCACTTTAAGATGGTGCACAGCATGGTCTCCCAAATTTACAGTACACATTTCGAGGAAACAAAACTCTAGAAGATTTCCAGTGAGGCAACTTTCCTTAGGAAAAATACAGACCTTCATGGTCTCTTTTCATAATGAATACTTATTGAAACTTCCTATGTGTTAGGCACAGTGCCAGGAGTTTTACAGTGTTATGCCCCTTCTCACACTCTGTAGTTTTAATATTTTACCCATTTTATAGATGAGAAAACTGAGGATCAGAGAAGATACATAAATTACCCAACATCATACAGTGAGTGAGAGCACAACTGGTACTGGAAGCCAGGTCTTTCTGCTGCATCTTTATGTTTTGAGATGGAGTCTCGCTCTGTCACCCAGGCTGGAGTGCAGTGGCATGATCTCAGCTCACTGCAGCCTCTACCTCCCATGTTCAAGCGATTCTCCTGCCTCAGCCTCCCAAGCAGCTGGGATTACAGGCGTGCACCACCACTCCTGGCTAATTTTTGTATTTTTGGTAGAGACAGGTTTCACCATGTTGGCCAGGCTGGTCTCGAACTGCTGACCTCAGGTGATGCACCTGCCTTGGCCTCCCGAAGTGCTGGGATTACAGGCATGAGCCACTGTGCCTGGCTTTATGCTGTATCTTAATAAGGTATTGTGCTGCCTGACCTATTTCCTCCCATTGGGGCTTGAATTACTTTGTTAAGAATTCAGGATCAGGAAATACTCTGTCTGGATTCAAATCTTGGCTTCCCTATTTACTAACTGTGTGACTTTGAGTATGTTACTTAACCTCTCTGTGCTTTGGTCACTTCATGTATCAAGTGGAGCCAATAATAGGTCTTATTGTATATGATAATTAGGCTAATTAAATAAAAATATGCAAAGTTCTTATAATAGTGCCTATCATATAAACACTCAAAAACAGTAGTAAGCCATCAAAAATGTTGAATATTTTAATTATTAGTAGCATTGTAAATGAGCGCTATCCCTTCCGGTTTACAACTGAAGAGTTTTTAATCTGTGCTCTGACATCAGTAAGAAATGCTGCCAAGTAATAGTAATACTCTTTGGATAATCTGTCTAGGGCATGTATAGGTGCACAAAAGCACTGAGACTACTTACTGTTCTGCACACAATTGAAAACCACATGTTAGCAATTACTGATTCAATGAAAAATTCCATTTAGATCATATCTTTAGTTTATTAAGAAAATCTAACTACAAAATACCAAAAATGTAGTCTGTTTAATATGCGTGTTTTAATTTATCGACCACATTCCACAGTATATAACAGTTCCAGTATAGTTCCTCATTTAAAACTAGCTGTTCTAAACCAGAAGATAATTTGAAATAGTTGTTGTCCCTAAATTGCTTCATTTTGTAGTTGGTGTCTCACTGCTTTAGTGAGGTCTGGTGTGTGTGTTCTCAAATTCTCGTCATTTAAATGTGTTACCATCCCCATCTAACCCTTCTGATGGAATCTAAGATTGTCTGGTGGCAGCTGTCCTTAACTAATATTTCTTTTTTTTTTCGAGATGGAGTTTCACTGTCGCCCGGGCTGGAGTGCAGTGGTGTAATCTCAGTGCACTGCAAACTCTGCCTGTCGGGTTCAAGTGATTCTCCTGCCTCAGCCCCCTGGGTATCTGGGATTGCATGTGTGTACCACCATGCCCACCTAATGTTTGTTGTATTTTTAGTAGTGATGGGGTTTCACCATGTTGGACAGGCTGGTCTCGAACTCCTGACCTCAAGTTATCCCCCCGCCTCGGCCTCCCAAAGTGCTGGGATTACAGGCGTGAGCCACCACACTGGGCTAACTAATATTTCTTTAACCCGGATAAAGTATCATCTAAAGCCAACTCAGAATTATTCTCTTTCCAGGAAGAATTCCCTCTGAGCAGGTGGCAGACCCTGACCCCTTAAAGATTAAAGGAAACAGGACCCCTGTGAAAGCCATCTGTGTCATTTGATTTCTGGTCTTCGGACATAGCTTGCCTTCTGCTTGCCAAGTCCCTCTTGATCCCCATCTTCACTTCCCCTTGCTCCTGGCCTTGCCGTCGCTTGCCATTCTGTCTGCCGTGCCCATACCCTTTGATCTTTTTCTCCTCCCCACCAGTCAGGAATGAGCCACCCTGGAGTGACTCTGCTGCTGCCCCTTTGCTTTGCTTCCCACGCCCACACCTTGTCCCCCTGGATTCTCAATCTGGCTGTAGGCCTCAGGCTTCCTTTAACCCCCTCAGTGATTGTCCGTCTCTGCAGAATGGTGTTGGCGCCCTCAGACAATGGCCCCTGTAATATGTCCAGCCATTCTGTGGTTCTCCAACTTCAGAGCTAGTGAGAAATGTCCCCACCTTCTCCAACAAGGAGCACCCAAGCCCTTTGGAGAGATCCAAACCCATGTTCAGTTGTCCTGGGTTGGGATTCAAAGACAATTAAGCTATGGTTGGACTAAGAGTTGGGGTGCCCCTTCATGGATGGAACCCTGCAATACAAGCACGCTGAACAGGCTGTGACATGACAGGACTATTTGCAGTGAAACTTTCCCCTCCATATTATCCTGCATGGAGGGGTTCTGTCACTGCCTGCATTCTTTCACACTGTGGACTTACAGTCTCAATGTAGATGCTTTGAGTCATTCAGGCATTTTATTGGGTGTTTTGTGTTTAAGTGTTAAAACCTAAATCCATGAAAGTACTTTGCCACAAAAGCCGAAGTTTTATAGCTGCAAGGTAGGATCTGTACTACCTACTCATAACTCAGGGAAATGTTTCTGCTCTTCTAGATGTCATCTGACAGTGCAATCTACTCTGTCAGAATTGCAGGGTACGGGACTTGGGGCAGAGAATGCAGATTGATTCCAAAAAAAAATCCCCCTTGTTCTAAGTAGACTTGAGTCAGCACAGGTATGTGCCTGCTGTCCTTCGGTTTCAAACCTAGCAGCAACCTGGGCTCTTGTCACCGTGAAAGTTTCCCGTTTAGAATTAGAATTGGTTTTTGGTATTTGTGATGTTTCTAGATGGGCTAGTTTAAAAAAAAAAAAGGTTGGAAAGCATTAAAAAATAATTTCTATTTTATTAATGTCACCATTAATCGTATCCTATGCATTTGAGAACGGTTATTTATTTTGTATTTTTTCTTTCAGCAGGAAAATGAAGCAATATCAGTGAAAAGGAAAGTAGATTATTTAAATGGTTTTGAATATCATAACTTAGACCCTATCTAAACATCTCTACACATTCCTAATATTTTGCACAGACAGGTTCTTTGTATTGCTTGCCCATTAGTGGTTTGACTTGAATTTTAATAAACAAGGCTTGATTTCCAGAAAGCTGTATCACGTTTTCATAAGCCGAGGTGGACTATCAGTGAGCCAAGGGCTCTTTGTTCTGGAGACACACGTAGAGTGTCTCTCATGGGTACAGTTACCTGATGGTGCTGTGTTGCTGTGACCTCTCCCCCTAGGCCTCCATCTGCCGGAGCAGCCAGCCCCTGTCCGGCTTCAGTGCCCGGTGCCTAGAGGACGAGCAGATGCTCCAGGCCATTAGGAAAGCCAATCCAGGAAGTGACTTCGTTTATGTCGTTGACACCCGGCCTAAAGTAAGTGTCACCGTTGCGATGCATGTCTTTGCACCTGAGTTGTGAAACTGGAGACAGGCAAAGGCTAGCCGACTGCCATCTCTTGTGCAGGTTGCTTCATCTGCAAAGGGGCGGTTCCTCTTGGCATAGTCAGTGTCTGGGCACCCTGCTGGCTACTTCCTGGAGGTCTAGTGCACCTGAAGCCTCCAACTATACAAGTACATTTCATATTTCCCCTGCCCCTAGCATTGTGCTGGGCACACAGGGGCACCCAAATGAATGTGGCTTCATTTTGGAGATTGTGCTCCTAAGTATACCGTATTAGTACTTGGTTTCTTTCTAAAACAGCCCTTTCTGCTCTGACAATAAAATTCACTCTGGAGCTCCAGCAGTTCAATTGTTGCGAAGTACTCAGCTATTATTTTTCAAATTCAACTTGTAGTAATCTATACCTATGACTTGGAAAGAACTATAAAATATAAGGTAAATTAAAAAATATTTTTTTCATAAAAAGTTCTAGGTGTGTAAAAAGGTGTAGAAAAAGATCTGAAAGGTTAAACCCTGAACTCTAAAAATTCCATGGAGAAGGGAGTAGGATTTGCGGACGTAGAGGGCTTTCTACTTGTTGATTGTTAGAAAAGTATTAGTTTACAATTATGTATGTATTAATTTATTAGTTTTCTAATTTAAGAAAACGAATAGGAAATAATATATCTAGACATCAAGGAGTGAGCCACATTGATCTTACACTTACCTCCCACTCAGCCTTAACTTTTTTGTTTTTAAGGAGAATCAGTGTTAAGTCCAATAAAATTCCAGTTTTTCTCCTTAGACCCAAGTCTTCTAAAACTTCAACAAGTGAAGTCCCCAGAGGGATGGACACAAAGTCACCTACAAGTGCATTGACTACAGCAGACAGAATGAGATGACAGAATGAAACGTCCCTTAGTCAGCTTATTTGCAATTGCACTTTCCTAGCCACTAATGAAAATGTGCCTGGACCTGTGACTGAGGAGAAAGATGAACGTCCAGTTCTGTCTCCTTGTATGGTAAGCAGAGGAGTCCAGGATGTCCTGTTAGGCAACAAGAGTGGGATAGAGAAATTATGTTTAATCTTGTTAAAAGAATTGGGGCTGGGCGCAGTGGCTTGTGCCTGTAATCCCAGCACTTTGGGAGGCGAAGGCAGGTGGATCATCTGAGGTCGGGAGTTTGAGACAAGCCTGACCAACATGGTGAAACCTCATCTCTATTAAAAATAACAAAAATTAGCTGGGCATCATGGTGCATGCCTGTAATCCCAGTTACTGGGGAGGCTGAGGCGGGAGAATCGCTTGAACACGGGAGGCGGAGGTTGCGGTGAGCCGAGATCGTGCCATTGCACTCCAGCCTGGGCAACAAGAGCGAAACTCCATCTCAAAAACAAAAAACAAAAAATTGAGAGAATGTATACCACACTGTTTACAGTGGTTTTTCCTGTGGGGTGAGAAGTTCATTTTAGGAAACTTTTCACTTCGTAAGTTAGAGTTTGAAATTTTTTTTCACTATAGAAAAGGTAAAAGAGCATAAGGACTTTAAATTTAGTTAAAAATAGAGTTACCATATGAATCAGCTGTTCCTTCCTAGGTATATAACCAAGAGAAATGAAAACTTATGTCCACATAAAAACTTGTATGTGAATATTTGTTCATTATTAGTAATAGCCTAAAATGTAAATAACCAAATGTTCATAAATGGAGAATGGATTTACAAAATATGGTATGTCCATTCAGTGGAATATTATTCAGCTATAAAAAGGAATGGACTATGGATACATACTGCAACATGGAGGAACCTTGAAAGTGTCATACTAAGAGGAAGAAGTCTGTCACAAAGGAATCATGAAATGCTTTCAACAGGCAATTTCAGAGCTATTGAAAGTAAACTGATGGTTGCCGAGGGCTGGGGGAAGGGAGAGAAATGGTGAGTGACCGCTAATGGGTAGTGGATGTCTCTTTAGGGTGATGGAAATATTCTAAAATGAGATCATGGTGATGGTTGCACAACTCTGTGGGTATACCAAACACCATTGAGTCGTATGCTTTAAATGGGTGAATAGTATGACATGTGAATTACATGTCAGTGAAGGTATTAAAAAAAGAACATAGGAAATAAACATTACAACAGGAAGGGTAAAATAGAACCAGCAGCTCAAGTCATTTAAAAGTGTACACTGTGGGGAAGAGGTAATTATAGACACGGTCTACACTCATTGGTGATCCCAGAAATCACGAGAACTGCATCCTATCCTTTGTGTGGATACTCAGGCCTTGGTGATTTTCACGGATTCTCTGAACTTCATGTCACCAAGTATTATGATTTGTGTCCAGGATAATGGAATGTGATGTTTTCCTAGAGTGAGATCAGTGCCCTACTCGTCCCCTCATCTCAGAACCATCCAGTCTTCTTCGGAGCAAAGCACACAGCGGGAGAGAAGTGTGTGGAGTTACTACTCACGGATGCCAGATGAGCGAATCAGTCCTGGAGATCAGTGATGAAACCGATACCACAGCTAGATCACATTCACATTCTACTAGATTATAAGTAAAGGGTCCCTTCCTTTTAAATTCTCAGAGCACGACACACAGATAAAAGTTTCAAACTGAAAAAAAAAAAAATAGCTCCTTTGCTGGAAGATTTTCACTGAAACATACCAGAAAATCTCTGGCTTTTACTGTTCTCTGTCAATTTGTGCCCTTCTCTCTGGCTCATTGTGTTTAAACCCTTCCTTCTAATGTGACTGCCTTCCCACCTCTTCTTCGTACCCTTTGTTGAAGCAAGGTGGGGCTGTTTTGAATTTCCTAATAGTTACAGATGATTTAATGATTAGCTGCTTAGATATACTGAAGACAAGATAAGAAAAGGAAGAGAAAAGACGGGGGCTTTACTGAGGAGAGATTGGGAAGCCTGTTTCTTACCCTGTTTTTTTCAGATTTAAATAAAGCCAGACAGATTCACCTACTAATTTTAGGACCAGTGATCCAGATATGTACTGTGTTGTGTAAACCTTCTAGGAAACGTGGCAGCTGTAGAGCCAGGCATATTCCAGATTTAAAATAAGTTAATCCAAAGGATTTGATTTGAAGGGTATATTTAGTGCTAAGTGTGTTTACTCTCAGCGATGAGTTTGACACTGATCCATTAAAGAAAACTGGGGTTTCGTACAAGCCATGCCCTCTTCTCATATTTATCCATGCACGCACACTTCACGTGAGTTTTAAACTGTTTACTTAGAGCTTTCATTCTTTTAAAGACTGTGTATGTTGATTTTTGTTCCAGAGTGTGTTAGGCCTCCTTGGTAGCCAGGAGACTGAGTTTGCTCTAGAAGGTGTGGACCCTGGCAAGCAGGCACTTCTCAGGTTTGCTCACAGGTTTCATTAAAAAGAAAAAGGATTAGGAGCTGACCTGAATCGTTCCTGGCCTTTGAGCAAGGCTAGCCCCACATGAGAACTTCCAGAGCTGCCTGTTCAGATGAAAGCCTCAGAATTACTTGTTGACATTTTTTGGGAGACACCAGCCTGGGCAACGTAGTGAGACCCCCATCTCTACAAAAAACAGAAAAAAATGAGCTGGATGTGGTGGCATGGGCCTGTAGTCCCAGCTATTTGGGAGGCTGAGGTGGGAGGATTGCTTAAGCCCAGGAGTTTGAGGCTGCACTGACCTGTGATTGTGCCACTGCACTGCAGCTTGGGCAACAGAGTGAGACCCTGTCTCGAAAGAAAAAGAAAAAATTGGGAGACAAAGTCAATGAAGTCTTCAAGCATGTATTGAATGTCAATTCCAAAAAAAAATTATACTCTTCAGGGCACGTATTAGTGCTAGGGTGTGGCGCTTTAAGAACATATGAAGGTGTTGTCGCAGTCTTCGCTGAATTTTCAAATGAGGGCTAACTCACTGCAGCCTTGTTCATGACTTTGTCATTAATTTGTTCTGGGACTTTGCTGAGCTTGTAAAAATGGCAGGCACTTTTTTTTTTTTTTTTTTTGGGACGGAGTTTTACTCGCCCCCAGGCTGGAGCTCAGTGGCACGATCTCGGATCACTGCAACCTCCATCTCCCGGGTTCAAGTGATTCTCCTGCCTCAGCCTCCCGAGTAGCTGGGTTTACAGGTGCCCGCCACCACGCCCGGCTAATTTTTTTGTATTTTTAGTAGAGACGGGGTTTCACCAGGCTGGTCTCGAACTCCTGACCTCAGGTGATCCGCCCTTCTCGGCCTCCCAAAGTGCTAGGATTACAGGCGTGAGCCACGGTGCCCAGCCAAGGTACTTTCTCATTTAGTTCTTTTAAGAATCCTGGCAAGTTAGGAGGGTTTTGTTTTGTTTTGTTTCTTTTCATGGATAAGGGCTAGAACTTAAAGAGGTTAAGTAATTTGCCCAGGGTCTCACAGTTTACATTCCAGGATTCACATCCAGGCTTATCTAACCCCAGAGCCCACACTCGCTCCGTTTGACCATGGTGTTTTTTCTGTTTACAAAAATTCTCCAGCAGAGCCTCGTTTCCACGTGGAAGCTCTGTGGGGTTACCACCTCTGAGCACACGCCTGACGAGGCCAGAGAACCTCCCAGCAGCTCCTCTGACGCAGCCAGGGCCAGCGGAGGGGGTGCTGAGGCATGAAGAGAAGGGCCGAGGGCGAGGCAGCGCTTGCCTCCGTGACGCCTGGCCTTTTGTCCTTGCTCCTTCTCCAGAGACTTTGCTGTGGTTCTGCCCCGTGATTTCACCAGGTCAGCGAGGTTTTAGTTGTGTAACAGGATGTCACGTGGGATGTTTTTCTTTTTCTCTGGAATTAGTGAGTAGGTGGTTCCTACTCGCTGAGTCCTGGGAGGGGTCACCTAGGAAAGTCAGTGGTAGAGATGAGGGGTGCTTGAGAGAGGGGAATCGGGGGTCTCACACTTGCTGGTGGCCGTCATGGCAGCAACCAGAGTGAAGAGAACTGGGGCGAGGGCAGTGTCCAGTGGCCGTGGAGCAATCTGTGCTCCCTCCTTTTGGCAGGGCAAGGATGGAGAAATTTCCTGTGGGTCCAGTGGAGCCTGAGGAAGGAAGTTGAGCATGAGCCATCTTGCTTCAGCATTCCTAAAAGGGCTCAGCCGCCGGGTGTCTTCAGCTGTAGGTGACTGGGGTGGGTGTGCTGGTGAGGGAAGTTGAGCGTACTGGAATAGACTCAAGCCAAGGCGCATCTCCTTTTTCAGTGAGATGTGTACTCCCTACCTCCAAAAACCTGCATCTATACCTTGGGAGATTGAGCACTTGGACGCTATGCCAGAGAGGGAAGTGGTGACCAACTCATGTCAACCGATGAAGAGAGAATTGGAACCCTGCCGAGCTTTCCAAAGAGAAATTTACCTCTTCTCTTCTCCCTCCTCTGCACCCATCCTCCCAGTACACAGATAGGGCCTACAATAAAGAGGAGAGGGAGGGTGGGCCGGAGCAAACCCCTCAGCAGTCCACACAGCCTGTAAGGCGGCGGGGAAGAGCTAATTTTGCGTCACATACGGGACTGGAATTCTAAGTTAGGCCGGATGGAGATTTTCTATCTGAATGTAAGTAAACCTGATGCTATTAAATCTGCCCAAGAGGTCCTTAGCGGGTAGAAAGGAGGATTTTGACTAGCACAGTTGTAGAGAATAGTTGCAAGGAATAAAATCAACTCACATGTTTGTGTCTGCACCACAAGTGAAGTTTCTTCCTGTAACCAGTTATATAGGAGGGAGAGAGAAAGACCGTCATTTGACCACCTGTGTTAGGGCAAGACCAAGTCCCCCTCCTGCCAAGATCAGCTTGTACGGTCATTTCCCAACCATGTCAGCGTAGGCACTGTCATTCTTCAGGCATTAAATGTAGCTGTGGAAATGGTAGACTTGAGGACTAAGGCAGTGACCAGGCTGACCTTTAACCTGATACCAAGATGAACACAGACTGAGTTTTTCTACATTTGATTGATTCAGGGTTAGGGTGAGAATCTCATGCTGTTTCTTCACAGTCTTGGCCTGCTCTCCCCGGGCCTCATTCTGTTATCCAGTCATTTATGCAGTTGCTCAGCCGGTCAGTAAATCTTCCTTGAGTGCCTGTTCCATGCCGGTTTGAAGGATACGGATGTGGCCATCAATGAGACACTCAGGGCCCCTCGTGGAGCCTGCGTTCTCCGTCCCTCCTCTCTGTCAGCGCTGAGGTTTTCCGTGCCCATCCCTCTCTGCTCGCTCCTTATTCCTGTGCATCTTCTCTGTTGTGGACACTAAATCAGTCTCCAGTTTTTCAGTTAGACTTGCTCAAAATCCTGGAGTTGCTCTCCGCTGCCACAGGTGGAGCCTCAGTTCCTTGGCTGGGCCTGTTGTAGTGGACCCTCAGTGCTTTCTAGCCTTCCCTCTTGCTGTAGCTGCCACACAGGAACCTTCGTCTTCACCTGGAGTGGTTCGCTCATTGGTTATGTAGAATGCCCTCCCCTCTCTCTCCATCCTTACAGATTGTGTTAAAGTCCAGCTCTAGCTTTCTCTCTTAAACAAAACGTTACCCCTGATCCCCAGGCCGACAGAGTTTCCTTAGATTTCAACTCCTGTCATTGTCACTGTCTCTCCCGTTGCTCAGCTCTTGCCCAGTCCTGGTGGATGTCATCTGGGACCACTGGGTGCCATGTGCTTTCCTTTCCATTGTCAGTTCTAAGCTGAAGGCAACAGGAACAGCTTCTTTTGATTCCACTTAACGCCTGGCCATAGTAGGTGTCTATACAGTGTTGACTTTGCTTCATTTATTAACTTCTCTGCACCCAAAGACACTGATATTATCAAACAGCAAATGAACCTTGTGTTAGGAAACAGGGTATTTTTGCAGTCCTACTTTTCACCTATCTGTTGTGTGTTTCTTAAACATGAATTGGAACTGAAGTGACTACCTTTATTGCTTTATCTACTTGAGAACTTTTAGGACCTGAAATGCATAGCTTTTCTTTAGTTGTGAAATGGAGTTCTCAGTCAAAGGGACAGAGGACCGTATTTGATGTAGTAATAGCGATTTGTTTATGTAAGGGATGCCGTATCTTACTGCGCACACATACACGTAAAATGTCCAAGATAACATTGAATTTTTATTAATTGTAAAACCGTATCTCCTGCTTTGAGGGTTCAGCTTTTGCTACATTATCAGGATAGGTCCTGTAAAAAAGGTGGAGATCCTAAGAAATTACACTTCAGCTGGTAGATGAAATATTGCCACCTTCTGTTCATTCTGAGAAGTGCACATTGATGTTCAGGAGGTTATTTGTGTTGCTGCTTTGCTTTTAAGGGAGATTACCAATCAGTTCTCCCAGATCAAGGATAATCAGCTATTTCATAATGTGTACATGGAGTCTTAATTATAGGTTAAAATAATATTTTAATTTTTGTTTATGTTTAAAAAATCTATTCTACATTCTAACTTTTGTAGACTGTGTAGTCTGTCTCTCTTTTTTTTTGTATCTCTGCCTGGGATAACCCTCCTGTCCCTTGTGGGTGAAGGAGGAGAATGATCAGTAACATGGGGTCTTGCTCTGTCACCTAGGCTGGAGTACAGTGGCACGATCACAGCTCACTGCAGCGTTGACCTCCCAGGCTCAAGCAGTCCTCCCACCTCTGCCTCCCAAGTAGGTGGGACTAGTCACATGCCACCATGTCTGGCTAATTTTTGCATTTTTTTGTAGAAATGGGGATTTGCCATGTTGCGCAGGCTGATCTTGAACTCCTGAGCTCAAGAGATCTCCCCACCTCTGCCTCCCAGAATGCTGGAATTACAGGCATGAGCCACTGTGCCTGGCTGGTTTTTCTTTCTTATGCTTTTTAAAAGAGTATCTCTGTGGTATGTGGTGAATAGGCTTCACTTGAATTAGTCAAGATACAGCATAAACGTAAGGTTCATGTCACGTAAGGATACTTTCAAATCTCCTATTAATTTTATTTATGATGCTTGTTATAAAGGATAAACCAACATCTTTGAAAAATAATTATACAAAGCAGTGATATTTTATTAGTTTTGGAAGAACAATGTCTATAGGTAATTTTACAAAAGTTTTCCCTATAAAATATTTATACTTCTTAAAGTGTGAACATAAGTTGTCTTAAAATGCATTATTTTAATATTTTTTTCTTGATTAAGGCCAAACTCTTTATTCTCGTAGCATGCCTGGGAGAAAGATGACACCCTTTTGTGGATGGGAACAGTGTCCTGAGGGGCTGATGTGGCCCAGCTGATGTCACATAAGCCACGTCATGGAGCAGGGCTGCTATTGAAATGTGAGGTGTCTGCCAGCCTGGGCTCCTATGGCAATGGCTTATCCTCTGCTGTTTTTTTCACTTCTAATATACTTTATTTCTATTATTTCAATTACAAACTTCATATATGCTCTCGGTATCAATGAAAGATTACAGGGGCATCCAAAGTAGTACTGATGGCATTCTCCTGTCGCCTGCCATGCTGTCTTTCTGCTGTAATTGCTGCCAAATTGGTACCGTTTTCTATACATTTTTATTCTGCTTGATAAACACGCAAAAACTTAAATACATATCTATAAGTTGGTTTTATAAAAATGGATGATTGTATGAATATTATTCTGTAGCTTACTCTTTTCACTTGTCATGGGCCAATGCCAAGTCTATGCACAGAGGGTCTCTGACTTAATGGTTCGACCTATATGATTTTGTGGCTTTTTACAATGGTGCAAAAGCAATAGACATTCAGAAAGTGTACTTCTCTTGTGATGCTGGGCAGCAGCAGCGGCAGCAGCTCCCAGTTTGCCATGCACTTTTCACTTACGGCATTTTCAACTTCCAATGGGCTCATCATGATATAACCCCATCGTAAGCCTCAGAGCATCTGTCTGTCTGCTGTGTGATCTGTGCCCTCCTTCTTGGTCACTGCTCGCAGGTCAGGGCATGATAAACCATTGTGTATCCTGTCATTGTCCTATTGAGATAGTCATGGGTTTTCAGCTTTTTTCAATAAACATTCTTGGGCATCTATTTTTATGTGCTGGTACTTTTAATTTTGTCAGACTTTTAGGAGATCTGTGTCAAAGAACATATGTGTCTTTAACTTTAAACTTAGCTCTTTTAGCTTTTAAAAAGTACTATTGTGCACTGTGCTTTTAAAAGCAGATATTTTTTTCTGGTGGTGAGTTCTCAGTGTAGGTTCTCTGCCTGGGTTAGCCCTCCTGTCCTTGGTGGGTGGAGGAGGAGAATGGTCAGCGAATGCTGTTTTCTAGGATGTGATGACCTGCTTAATAAAATAGCAAGAATGTTTACACATTCTAGAAACCGATGCATTTCCCAGCTAAAGTAGGACTTGTCCCCTTCTTGATTTTAGCCACGCAGGCTAGGACAGTGTTTGGATTTAATAAACTTCTTCAGATACCACTGTGACTTAACCTAGTTTGCACTTGGAGACCCCAACTTCTCATATGCAAAATTATAATAATGAAAGTGATCAAAAAGCCCAATAGATCTCTAGATTTAAATAAGGCGGCTGGTGGAAATGTCTCTGGAGACTTGGTTGCATTCCCTCTCTTCATTTTATTCAGTAATTCCTGCTCAAGGTTTAACTGGGCATCTGAGGGATCTTGTGGGCAAATTAGAATGATGCAACCATTCCTATTTGATAACGTGTTTATTGGCAATCTAATACTAGAAGATATAATAATGTATAGAGCCTTATTTTGACAGCTGTTTCTGCTGATATTCTTCTGCCAACCTACCGGTTATGTGTGGTATTAAATTGGACTACTTGGTTCCATCACAGAATTCCACATTCAGTTTGGCATCTCTGACGGGGACTGCAAGTGACATCTCCAGAAGGGTTTATCAGTAGACTGCTTTCCAGCTAAGAAAATGTGACCCACACTGACAAATTCATGCTGTTGAATATAAGCTCAGCAGGAGTCCCTGAAGCTATGTAGTTCAGTACAAGGTTGCAGTGATTCAAATAAGCGTATTATGTTTCCGTACATCATTCTGAATGCTTTGATTGGGTATCCATGAAATGTTTTGGTTGTTTCATCATTGTTTCATCAATGTAATTGATGACTGTTCTGTTTTGCTGACCACTGCAGCTTAATGCAATGGCAAATCGTGCTGCAGGGAAAGGCTATGAGAATGAAGACAATTATTCCAATATCAAGTTTCAGTTTATCGGGATAGAGAACATCCATGTCATGAGGAACAGTCTGCAGAAAATGCTGGAAGGTAAACCATTTCCTTATGCACAGCATTAAAATGCAGTTAAGTATTTTGATGCCAAAAGGGAATAAGATAGTCTTGATTTTAAAATGTTTTTACATAGGTGTGATAATTTGGGAAGAATATCATGTTACAGTGGCTTTTTAAACACTTAAGAACGTTTCTCTTATTTGTAAGCATCACTGTGATGTGGTTTTGTCGCTTGGTGGTTAGCAGTCAGGGACTCTACAATGGTACTGAACATCTAAGGTCAAAGTGCACAGGGATGTTTTTGTTTCTTCCTCATAATGTTAGTTTGATCCCCATTCAAGGCCATTTAGGAATAAGGCAATCCTACATTTAAAGCAATAACCAACCATTCTTGTATGGAGATCAGGCTCAAAAACTGATCCTTGCTGAATGGCCATTCGAAGGGAGAATATCGGAGGAGCTGACCCTCATTTCTAAACAGCAGCCACCACAATACACATGCATGTAACCTCCCGCCACCTCCACACACACTTTGACATATATGGCGAACATGACAAGACACGTACCCACAGACTTATATACTCGTGTGGACAGGAAATTAAAGAGATGGATTATGTAATAGAGAAGAGTTATTCATGTGGCCAACCAGCCATATGCTGATGAGCAGAAATTCTGCATTTCAAGCAAAACCAGCTTAGTCCGCTGCTTCTGCTCCTTGTGATCACAGTGACCCCAAGAGGAATCTGTCGCTGTAGTCTACCACTTCCGGCTCTGCGAACTGGGAAAAGACAGAGGATGCAGAAACCATGGCCTTGTGCCTTGGCTGTCCATGCACTGTCTGCGCTTCTGGGGAAAGCCCTGGAGAGCTGGAGCTGGGAGCCCGGGAAGTGGGCTGTCTTGATGGGAAATGCAGGCTCTGGAATGAAGAGGGACAAATAAGGTGCTGAATTATTTTTTCCAGGAATCCACGTTTGCTCTCAGTTACTTAAGCCGTTCTTCGTTTAATCAGAACACCCTAACGTTGGGGTTGGAGAAATCTGAGTGTCACAAACAGGCCTAATTTCCATTCTGTTTCCTGGACTTTCTGGTTCATCTCAGTCATTATGAAACTTTGAACACATCAGTTAACTTGTTTGGGGCTGCATTACCTGCTGCAGAATGACAGGATTAGGCCAATACTTTCTATGGGTCTTCCAGCTGTGACAGTTTGATGCCCCTCTGTAGCAGAAATCCCTTCCTACATCTGAAAACATCTCAGCCCCAGAGCCATTTCCATCTTCTGTACATAATTGGCAGTCAGTCTCTCAGGTCACAGTGACAATACCTGACATTGTCTCAGGTCACAGTGATCATACCCTGGGCATGATTATTTGAGCAGCTTCAACTTTTGGAGATTATCATGCAGAGTTTGGCTGTTCCTGCTACAAACTATGTTTTTTATGTGTTGAAAAATTGGACTCCTTGGTACTGTTATTGGAAAGGCAGTCTGACTTTAGTCTGAAGACTGTTCATCATTTATCAGGACCCTTAAGTTATTTAAATTTTTTATTTAGTCATTTCATAAGATGACCTGGAGAACATAAATATTCTTCTTTGCAGAAAATTGCTCCTACCAGTGCTGATAGCATACACATTTGGCTTTTGTTTTTAAATGGGTAATCTTTGGTTTCTCGTCAGGAACCATTTCTCCTGCCCTTATGCCTGTGGTCTGACACTACTGTTTTCTAAAGAACATGCAAACTGACCAAGTTCTGGAGGGCAGCTGTCTGTTTCATAAGGGAACATGGTGCTTGCACGTAACTTTTCCAGCTACGTGCAGTGCAGTAGGCTAGGATATCTTTCTGGATGCCTGTACGTGGTCTTGACCAATGTTTGACTATCTGTTTTTACCGAGTAAATTATAAACCATTGCGGAGGCTGAGCTGATGATGAAGTGTTGCAATCAGACCCACCTTCTAAGGCTTTTCCTCCTTCAAACAGCTATCCTTGGCATCAAAGAGATATGAAGGCTCATACTACTGGTCACTTGGTAGGCAGAGGAATGAATGATGCGTTTCATTCATGATTATTATTTTCTGAATTATTTTTTACTACTGTTATGGATATAATCAGAATAGATTCTGAATAACAGAAAAGTAAAATTGTTTGCGTTCTGGTTTCAAACAGCTGTCTGTGAGCAAGAGCTGCAAGGTATTTCATCAGAAACTGAAATCTAGGACCAAGTTCACATCCTGTGTAGGTCCTCTATAGAGATGATCTAATTTTAACTTCCATTTGTAAGTCTCAACCAAACTATTTTTGTGGGATCTGTATTTCGTAAGGAGAGAAAATGATGCCTTTCAGTCACATAGCAAGCAATTTTGTTATTTAATGAAGTGATTTTCACGATAGTTTCCCTTTTGATAATATAGATACTGGCTTTTCCCTCAAGTAATAAGAGGATACCCTGTATTTTCTTTTTTTATTTAAAATTTTTAAGTTCTGGGGTATGTGCAGGATGTACATAAGTGAACGTGTGCCATGATGGTTTGCTGCACCTGTCAACCCATCATCTAACTGTTAAGCCTAGCAGGCATTAGCTATTTTTCCTTATGCTCTCCCTCCACTCCCCCACCCCCGCCAACAGGCCCCAATGTGTGTTATTCCCCTACGTGTGGCCATGTGTTCTCATTGTTCAGCTCCCACTTTTAAGTGAGAACATGTGGTGCTTGGTTTTCTATTCCTGAGTTAGTTTACTGAGGATAATGGCTTCCAGCTCCATCCATTAAAACAGTCCGTAGAAGAGCCTGGAATAGTCCCTTTCAAGGCCAGCCTATTATTATCAGCAGAGGTGGAGCTTTTACCTCTTAGGCATCCTGGGTGTTGGGGAGGAAGTGGTGAAGAGGAAGGTGGAAAGGTGTATGGAGTTACTTGCATCTCTCCACTTGTTGAGGGTGTGCCCCACTGGGACACCCTTCATATCTGCCCTGAAGGTCAGCAGGCACTGATAGGAAAGAAGCAACAGGGACATCTTCCTCCTCTGCCAATCAACTTGCCATCTTTTGGAGGTCACCTAGAAAATTTCACTTTCTCCCCACGAGTAGCTTTGTGCCTGCCTACCTTCCACGTGACTGTTAGATTAATACTGTTGGTCATTGTTTCACTGACCACTTATTCATCAATGTATTCATTAAACTAAAAATTGAGCAACTGCTCTTTGCCACACTTCATAAGTATTTTCATTTAAATGATTGTATGAGATTTTCACAACAATTGTGTGCAGTATGTGGTATTATCTGTACTGTATAGATGAAAAAGCATAATTTTTTAAAAGAGTAAACAGTAAGTTGAAATAAACATGTAGATAAACATGTAAATTTGCTCTGGTAATTAGAGAAATGTAAGTTAAAACCTCAAAGTACCATTTGCCACCCAATTTTTTACAAATTAAGATATTCAATACTCAAAAGAATGTGGTAAAACTAGTGCTCTAAATATTTATCGTATTATTTAAATTGGCTTAGACAGACATAATATATTTGGTTTAGAGATAGTTTTTTTTTTTACCAGGTTTCTTCCTCTTAGGGACTAATCCAAAATACGTTTTTAAAAAATAAAGATACAGGAAGGGCATGGAGGCTCATGCCTATAATCCCAGCACTTTGGGAGGCTGAGACATTGAGGATTACTTGAGCCACAGGAGTTTGAGACCAGCCTGGGCAACACAGTGAGACCCTGTCTCTACAGAAAATTTAAAAAATAAAAAAAATCAACCAGGCGTGGTGGTGTGTGCCTGTAGTCCCAGCTGCTCAGGAAGCTGATGTGGGAGGATCACTTGGGCCTGGGAGGTTGAGGCTGCAGTAAGCCATGATCGTGCCACTGGACTCCAGCCTGGGTGACAGAGAGTTAGGCTCTGTCTCAAAAATAAAATAAGATATAGACATGCCTATGTTGATAGTAGTGTTTTATTTATAATAGTAGAATATTGGAAGCCGAATGAATGTCTAACAGTAGTAGACTGATTAATTTTACTTCACCTTCTTGATAGAAAAGTTTGCATCCATGAAAAATACTAAATGTGAAGACTATATGTACTAACATGGGAGAATATGTATAATGTAAGCAAAAAATTCAGGTCGTAAAATTGCTTGCATATTCTTATTCACTATACAGTAAATCATATGTCTGAAGAAAGACTAGGAGAGCATGTGCAGAATGGTCACTGCATTACCAAGGAAAGATAAGACTGATGTTATTCCCTTTTTCCCTCTTTATTTACAAAATACTTGCTATGGTCGGTATATTCCTTTTTTAAAAAATGATATTTATTATCTCATGGTTTCTGTAGGGCAGGAGTCTGGATGTTTCTCAAGCATAAATTGGAACTCAGGGACCCTCTTAGCATCTTTCAAGGCTGCAGTCAAAGTGGCAGCTGGGCTGCGTTCTCATCAGGAAGTTTGAACAGGGAAGAACCTACTTCCAAGCACTTATGGTTGTTGGCAGAATTCAGCTGAGGGCCCCACATGTTGGCTGTTCACAGCATGGCAGCCTGTTTCTTCAAGGCCAGTGGGAGTGCCTCTCTCCAGTTACAGAGTCTGGTGTATTACACTTTTAAATTGTCTTTTAAAAACATCCTTTCCAGTATCACGTTACAAAGCAGTATTTTAACCTAGCACTTTTTATCATATTACAGTGATCGTTGTTGAGTAGTGATTCTGATGTAAGACAAGCTCACAGCTTGTGACCACAAGGATCATTATATGAACTGCAAGGATCATTATAACCACCTCACATCGTAATGAAGATACGTTTATGGAAGGCTTACTATGTATTGGACACGGTTCAGATTTTTTAAGCTGTATTTACTCAAGTAAACCTCATTGAAGTTGTTGTTGCCACTCTTATCTTCATTTTACGGATGAGGAAATTGAGGCACAGAGCCTGAGAAACCTGTTTCAGCTCAAAATAGTAAGTGGTAGAACCACCATTTTTACCTACTTACTGTGAGTGCAGATGCCTCACTCTTAACCACCAGGCTTTTCTGCCTCTCGAGGTAGTGGGTTGGAATGGAAGGTGCCCTGGCCTCAGTGTGTGAAGTCCTAGGTTTGGGTTCTTGATTGAGTCTCTGCGTAAACTTGAACAAATCTCATTTTCTGTATTTGTAAAGCAATGTAAGCAACATATCTTCCCCACTTTAATTCATGATCATTAAAAGGATTTCTTGCAAACTATAAAGTGCTTTCCAGTGTAAGGTGGGTATGCTTTCTCTTGGGAAGCAATAATGTATTTGAAAATAAGCACTCAATGAAATGGATACGTTGATGGGCTGTAGGTGAATTCAGTCAGCCAGGCAAGTATTTGGTAGGCCCCATGCCTTCCTATGGGTACATTTGCTGAATTTCTTTATTCAAAAGACATGAAGTAAGAGCACAGTTTCAGAAGTGTTTGTCTCGTGATAGGGTCTGTGTGCAATCAGCGCACGTTCATCAAAAATGATTTAATAAACAAGACATAGGCCTTTGGGTATTTTCTCAGCAAGTTGTTCTGTGGACTTGCAAATCTTAGCCTGACAGTGGAGCAGGGGAAGTGAGCCCAGAGCATGTGGGACGCAGGCCCCGCGTCAGCTCAGGCATGTGGGCGATCGTACGGTCAGGGACTGAATGAAAGGGGGCCAAGCAGATCCATTCTAAAAGACTGGAATCTTTTTAGCAGGCCTCAAAATAGAACCACTTAAAAAAATGTTCCCTGACATGATGGGCATTGACTGTGGAGAATGTTTTGTGGCAAAGTCAGGTGGCCCTAGAGATGATACCCGATCTGTTCTTCCACGCAAAGGTTTTGAGGCCTGATGGATTGAAATCTTCATTCGGTGTGGAAAGGATGGTTGGAGGCAGAGCACTTGGAGTTGTCGTGGGAGGCACCATCGTGGTGGGTATGACGGTCACATGTTGGATGCCTGCTCTAGTCTCCCTGCCAAGGTGCCTTGGAGGCAGTCTAAAGGGAAGAGCCCCGGACACACCCAGCTCCAGTGGTTTCTCTGAAATAGTTCTCTCTGCTTGGAGAGGAGAGGCTGTGGCTGTCGGTTCCGATGTCCCTTTTGCTCGACACATTCTTCCGTACCTCATGTCTTTATGGAGTGCTGGCTAATTCAACCTTGAGGAAATGGAAGATGGACTCAGCCCTTTGTAGATATTGCAAATTTAAGCTTTTCATTTAAAAGTATTTCTTTTATCACATTACCTGCAAATTTATGCTGTGAAATTCTACCAGATGTGAGCTAATGAAAAGCTGTAAAGGTTGGTCCTTCTCCAGCTTTCTGTAGTCTCAGTTTTTAACCATTATTAATTTCCTCAGATTACTTAGCTATTGGAGGAGATAACCAATAATAACCTGAAAATCTAGTCATTTCTTTCTCAAAATTTGGCACCTTGGCCTAGGTTTCCACATAGAAAACCCATTTTCCCATTAAAGTGGAAATAGGTCGCTCTACATGGAAATAGCAGTTTGTATGGCCTATTAACAAGTGTTCTGCTAGACCAGCAGCCTGTTAGGCTTCACTGGCTATCGACATGGTCATTTAGAAGAAGGAAATGGATCAAGTATGTGTGCTTTTGCCTCTCTGGTGTTGTATGAGGATTTCAAACACAGCTGCTCAGGTGCTGGATGGGATCTGCCCATCTGGACCGTCCAACACTAAGCGCAGAGGCAGAGGCTAGAGGAAGAGCATGGATGCATGTGCGGTGGAATGGATTCCAGCTCAGTTATTTACTGGCTATGTAACCATGGATGGCCTGGGAAACCTCTTGAAGCCACTGTTTCCAATCTGAAGATGGAGAGTGCATCTACCCTGTAGGGTAGATTATGCAGAGCCTCAGGCACAATACCTGCTTGTAGTAAGTACTTAACACACAGGAGCCGGGACATTTATCGCAGACGCTCATCTATTCATCAGACAGTTACTGAGAGTGTTCTATATGCCAGGCATTGGATAGACAAGTGCTTCCTTCATTTATTCTGAAAGAAGTAACCAATTTTGACCTAGAGCAGAAATCATGGCAGGAAGGAAAGATCTTGCTTGTTTATTAGTGATGTCACTGAGGGCCTTCCCTGGGTAAGTCACATTGAATGTTTTAACTGGATGTCAAAGCCAAAGCGTTTGACATTATCAAAGGGACAAAAGAAAAGAAGGTTATTTAATGAGAGAATAGTAGTTATATTTCTCTCAGCGATGTTTTATTTTGCAGTGCACTGAGACAGTTCAAAGATTAATTTTAAAATGTTCACCTTCAGAATTATTGTTCTGTTAACCAAGATGGCAGATTTTCAGAGAACTAGGAGAGCTTCAAAATGAGTGCTTGTAGAAGAAAGTGTAGCCCATCAAACTCAAGACAGTTGTGGCTAATGTTAGTGATAAAAGGAGCTTTCTCCATAAGGCTCTAGGTGGGGTTTGGCAGTTCGATATTTGCTTGCCAGTGACAATACAGTCTCAAAGTTCATAGGAGTGTTGGTCCTGGAAGCTTTCTCAGCTGGCATGAGGTGTGTGGAATGACCCCCCACCCCTGCGGCCTCTGCTGCAAGTGCTGCTCATTTTACCACTTGAGTTACTGGCAGCCACCATCTCAGTCTTCCGGGATTCCTGGCCTCCTCTCTAGTGCCTACCACTTTACATCCACGCCGGACTTTCCAGCCTCTCAACACCCCATCTTTTCCCAGTGTCGACTTCTCTTGTGCCATTTGCTTGGAGTTCCCTGTTAGATTTTAGCATCCCTTAAACCCTACCTTCAGTTTGGTTCCTGTTCATCCTGGCTCCGTTTGTATATTGACTTTTAATTATTCTCTATTTTTTAGTGAAAATAATATGGAAAGTGGAGTCAAGGGATGTAGATTTCGACCCCAGTGTATTTGCTGTGTTGCTAGCATCTGAGCCCATTACTCCTTAATAAATCAAGATAATTCTGTTGGCTGGGTGTGGTGGCTCATACCTGTAATCTCAGCACTGTGGGAGGCTGAGGCAGGTGGATAACCTGAGGTCAGGAGTTTGAGACCTGCTGTCCGACATGGTGAAACCCCATCTCTACTGAAAATACAAAAATTAGCTGGGCGTGGTGGTGTATGCCTGTAGTCCCAGCTACTCAGGAGGCTGAGGCAGGAGAATTGCTTGAATCCGGGAGGTGGAGGTTACAGTGAGCCGAGATCACACCACTGCACTCCAGCCTGGGCGACAGAGCAAGACTGTCTCAAAAAAAAAAAAAAAAAGATAATTCAATCCACTCTAGATGGGAGGTTGTGAAGGTTCATTAAGATGAAAGCACCAAGCCCCATTATTTACATATGGCAGATGTAACAGAAATGGGCACACACATACATATATTTTTAAAATAAGAGAGAGGGTCTCCCTGTGTTGTCCAGGCTGAAGTGCAGTGATGCAACTGTAGCTCACAGCAGCCTCTGACTCCTGGGCTCAAGTGATCCTCCTGCCTCACCCTCCTGAGTATCTGGGACTACAGGCGTGCACCTCCACACCCAGCTAATTTTTTATTTTTATTTTTTGTAGAGATGGGGTCTTGCTACATTACCCAGGTTGATCTTGAACTCCTGGGCTCAAGCAATCCTACTGCCTTGGCCTCCCAAAGTTCTGGGATTACAGGCATGACCCAATGTGCCCAGCCACATGTTTTTTATTTGTTGCAAAGTTTTACACACCTCTGCAGTTAATACTCACTTTTCCTTACCACGTGTTAAACCTAGGATAGTACAGGTTACCATGATACACTGTGAATTTGTCTTTAGACACAAAAATTCACATTCATATATACTAATAGCACATTATTCTATGAACTTGCTGCTTGATTTTCTTTAGGCCATTGGTAAATAGTATTCTGGAACACATGGTGATGAGCTTGTGTAGCCTAAACACTTCGCTCGTACAGGCCATAATAAAGTCCTCTTTGAATGGCTTCACCTGGTGGATGTTCAGTGGAGGGACATTATCATCATTTTGCCAGTTCTCTGAAGACTGTCTTATGGATCTTGGCTTCATGACTCCAAAATGGGAAGAGGACAGAGCCAACAGGCAGAACTCAGACAAGTGCTGGGCTGGTAATCAAGGGAGGGCTGTATATGTTTCAACTTCAGATCTCAGGGTACAAGAAAGACCAACCCCACAGGGTTCAAATGGAGACTTTTTCTGCACCCTCACTGACCCCACCAGCAATTGCATAGGAGAAAATAAGAGTGGTATAGGAAATACCTAAGGCAGATTATCTGAGGCTTATTTTCTTCTAAGTAAATTCCACATTTGCAGAGGTCCTAAAATTATATCTTTTGTCTTTGCTTTTTTATTTTTTTACTGTAGTTTATATATGTTTGTGACATGTAGTTGTCCTTTTATATAAAACAAATATCACTAGACCTGGGCATGAAACTCAGGATTAGTAAGCCCCATTCTCTGCAATTTGTGGCATATGTCTCTGATGTCAGCTGAAATGAACTTTGTTCAGCAAAATGGTTTGTAAATATTGGTTTGGGTTTGGCAACAAGAGTGAACAAATAAGTATTTCTGCCTTATCCTGAGTTTATCCAAACAAACCCAACAGTTTTATATTTAAAAATCCAGGCGCTAATCGCTTTGGTCTCAAGTGTATCCCCATCTGCCCATGTCTATTAATCATCTGCAGACCTCTTTGCTTTTCACACTGCCACTCAGCACACAGGGGAAGAAAACACCCTCTCAGTGGTTAACTTTGCTTGAGAAACTGGTGGGGTTATTTTACTTAGCACACGCAATGTTAATGCTCCTGAAAACAGAAATGTTGAACAAGAAGCCTTGTTAGTGCTGACATGGTGAGAGCCACAGCAGCCTGTCCCATTGCTGAGAGCTAACTGGACAGAGAAGCGTGGGGACATTCTCTCTGGCAGGACATTCTAGGGCCTGGTCCTGTGGCCATCCATTCCTCTCTTGCTTTTGGCACAGGCCATTTCCAGGTTAGCTGGCAAGCCCAGTGTCTTTATTTTTAAACTTGCAGTCATTTCCATGCCTTGTGGGAAGAGAAGGTGGTGAAAAGGATCTTTTGTTCCTGGGCTAAGCGTCAGAGCTTAGATGCCAAGGTATTCCTCAGGCCCCCTGAACTTATAATCAACGAGAATGCTAACTAGCCCTAAGCCCTATAATAACAACTGGAAAGTTTGGCCTGTTCAGTAAAAAAAAAGACTGCAAGAGAATGTTATCTATGGAAGGCTTGGAGGAATCAATTGCATCCTGAGACTTCACGCAGTGGAATGTGTGTATTTTAGGATTAAGTTGAACACTTTGGGGCATGGCCTGGGGTTGGACAGAAAGCCCAAACAGCAGGCGCCCAGGGAGTGGTGAGAGCTCATGGAGGGTGCTGGAATTTGCCATGCTTTCCACTGGGCCGTGTTTCAGGGCCGCGTGCATAGGCAGAAGTGAGCCTGATGCTTGGAGGGCCTGTCTGGTATTGCTGGGCACTGTCACAAGGCATCAGATCTCCAGAAGGGCCGAGCTTGCTCAGTTTTAACTCGGGGCTGGCACTTGGCCTTTGCATCAGATTGTGCTGTCTTCCAATTGGGTCCATGCACCCCTGAATTCACAGGAAGACTTTTTGAATTGCACCCTGGGTACATTACTTTATGGAAATTGGCTTCTAGATCATCAGCTTCTGTATGTCCTCCTTACTACGATTACATGACCTGCCTCTCAGAATGCTCCTGGGGCCAGCTTTAAGCCAGCTCTCCCTTCTCAGCTCCCTTCCCAATTGCCTTGTTGCCACCTTACAAAAAAAAACATACCCTTTACCACACCCTCCGTCTTGCTATCATGCATCATCTCAGGGTGTGTGAGGGAATATGTAGTTTCATATTTTATTTTAGAGGTACATGTGCAAAAATGTTTGAAGACTTTTGATCAGATTCAGCTTCCTTGAGCAGTCTAAGTCAATACTGTGCATAGAAGTAAAATGCAAGACACAAGTGCAGAAAACATTTGGAATTTTAAACTTTCTGGTGGCCACATTAAAAGTAAAAAGAAAATCTCATATGTTATGTAAATATATATATTTATATTATTAATTTTCATAATGTATTTTATTTAACCCCGTCTATCCCAAATGTTATTTCAACATTATCAGTATAAAAAGCTAGTAATGAAGTGTTTTTGCATTTTTTGTGTGTAGCATGCCTTTAAAATTTGATTCATATTTTACACTTACAGCATATCTATCTCAATCCTGATCAGACATATTTCAAGTGTTTCGTAGCCACATGTGACTAGTGAGTCCTGTATTAGGGCAGCACTGTTGTAAGTGATAGAAAGCACAACCTTTAAGCTGATGGTATTTGGGAACCAAGATTGGTTCCTGCTGAATTATGAAAAAAAACCAACCTGAGGTTGAGAGGCATTAATTAAGAGCCAGACTGGAGCCAGACTGGAGCCTCGTCTCACCACGTATCCATCAGCTGGGAGATGCTGGACAAGCACTTAGCCTCTGTTTGCATTGGTTTCCACAATCAAGAATGAGAATAATAAGTGCCTTCCTCAGAATGATTGTTTGAGGATTGAAAAGCTAAAGCTAATCTATATAAAGCATAGTGTCTGGTACCTGGTATGTAAGTGTCACTATTATTATTATTATTTCTGGTAAAACCCACCAAGGTAGCCATGATGTGGTGGCAAAAACTCGAGGTTTGTCTCTCAGAAGACTTGCATTTGAGATGTCTTTCTGCTGTTGATCACTTCGTGCCTTAACTTTTCGGAGCTTCAGCGTTGACATGTTTGAGTGAGTCTAACAGCTCCTTCCTCCCAGGACACCCCTGCTGGAGGCACAGATAATACAATGTGTATCATAGCTACCATTTTCGGGAATCTTCTTTATGCCAGTGTAATGCTTATTGGTATTATTTCATCTTCACAACTGTTTGAGGAAGGTGTTTTTATCCCCATTTTATATTTGAAGACAGCGAGGCTCAGTAACTAGCCCAGGTTACCATGTTGAGCATGGGCAGAGCTGGAGTTTGAGTGCAGCTGTGTCTGCCTCTGAAGCCCTTAAACATTGCTACGTGCTATTGCCCATGCGTATATCATGATTATTACTCAGACGTATGGTTCAGTTCACATAATACTAAAATCTAAGTTAAACAAGGAGGCCCTCCTATTTCCCCAAGATGGCAGAGTAAGCTAATGTGAAATCCCTGCTGTTAAAAACATTTGGAAGTGTCGGTGAGTTCGATCAGGGAAGCAGGACAATGAGCAGTGCTCTTGTTTTCAGGAGACGTTGGAGATGTGAGGGTGTAGGGCTGGGTGCCTGGAAGAGCAGAGGACAAGTCACTGGTGAAGGCCTGCAGCAGGGGCTGGAGAGGATGCCTGTGGAGGCTGCTTCTCCTGTGTCAGCTGTCCCTGGGGGGCACAGAACTGGCCATCAGAGGCAGGGGAGTGAGGACAGATTGGAGTGGGCAGGGACAGCTTCATCAGCTGCCACTTCACGTCACCTTCCAAACATGCACAATACCTGTAGCAGACCCTAACCTGGAACCATCCAGACAAGAGAATCTCAGGAAACCTGGCTGTGAATTAGCTGACATGATGCGGTAGGACCCCACTGCAGTGGCCAACAGCGATTCCTCCTGGAACCACAGGAAGAGCGAGTCCAGACCCATCGGGAACACTATCCGTTATGTTTGTGGGAGCCGTCCATCCTCCTGCTGCAGTTCCAGTAACCTAAAGCCTGTTCCAGATGACTGTTCTATCATATCGGGGTCTTGGGGTGCTCATCCTGTACCTTTTTTCCTCTGCCTGCTAGCCATTATCATGAACGCTGTTCACTGGTGTGCTGTAAACTTGTCTTCAGCCCAGCTTTTTCTGTGGACTCCACAGAACTGTGGAAGCGCTGCTCCTAAGCAGCATTTGGTGTACGTCTGCTGGGTGTCTGTGAGATTCCCAGCCCGAGCATGATAATTCCTTATCTTGGGGGCTTCCGTGCATAAGGAAGGTGTGTTCGGATCCCAAACATGTGTGAGACTAGGCCCAGGGTTTCAGCATCTCAGGAGAGATTTTTGTTTTCCTCATGCAGGGTCCAGGCAGAGACTGGCTTCCCATCATCATCCTGAGTGCATGAGTGGATTTTTTTTAACAGCTCAGTTTGATGTAGGGAGTCTCAGTTCCAGCTTCTGCCTTGCACAGACCCAAAGGAATTTCTTGTTTCTGTTCCAGTTAAACACAACATATAATAACTTACCCACCTCCTCCTGACTTCCCACTGAAATGAGAATGAAGTGGAAAAAAAGGCAAAAATACAGAAGGACGGGAGATTGAAAGAGGAGGTCATGGAAACAAAAATATAAAAGCTGCAAAATAAATGGATGAGTGATAAGTAATGCCACAGACTAGAAAAAAAAGCTGCAATTTATGGCGGAAGTATGAGAAACCCCAAAGTAAGCTAAATAGAAGTGCAGATCCTTAGACAATCTCTGGAATTCGAGCCATCAGGTATCTCTGAAACGAGTAGTAGCCGAATGTTTGCACGAGAAGCAGTTCATTGGGTCCCAGCCTCCTTCCTCCCCTGCACTGCCTAGTGAAGCCTCTTTCCACACTTCCACAAGAGAAGATGGTGATACACTTTCTGGAAAGTCAACCTTTCTGGAAACGTTGACCGCAGGGACTCTGGGATCAGGAGTACCAGGCAAAGCTGGAAGAGGGGATGGGGAATTCCAGGCCAAAAACAGGGGTTAAGTGAAAGTGTAAGTATGGAAGAATGAGACCCATGGTTACTGCCCCAGCTGTCCTCTTAGGACACTGGCATCCAACGTGATGCACTCAGGTGTTCAGAAGATTCCATGCCGGGGCCTACAAACATCGAAGACAAAGGACTCGCAGATGTTACATTGGCCAAATCCCCCATAGCAAAGCTTGGCAGCTAAGAAAGCCTGCCCATGCACACGGCACACGGCACTGCCAGCCAGCATCCTGTGTCTTGCTCTTACATGTGAATGGATAGGCAAAAATTAGCAGAAAACTGAGGAAAGCTCAACATGCAGGACAGAGACCACACCCCCACAACACACACACATATAAGCAAGCAAATTCTAAAAAGTCTGGAAAACAACATTCAGAGAAGAAAACAAAAACTGCCATTAATATTCTTAGAGAAATATTATAAGATTGGCAAAACTTAAAGCATCAGCATTACCAAGTATTAGTTGGGATATGGGAAAAGGAACTTTCCCAACCTACTGGTGAGAGCATAAACCACTGCAGCCCTTTTCAAGAGCAATTTGGCAGTAGAGTCATCCCTCAGTATCCAAGGAGAATTGTTTCCAGCACCCCCACCCCAGCCCCCATAGATTCTCAAATCCACACACGCAGAAGTCCCTTACATAATAACATGGTGTATTTGCATATAGCCTATGCACATCCTCCCATATATTTAAAATCATCTCTAGATTACTTGCAATACTTAATACAATGTAGGTGCTGTGTAAATAGTCGTTACACTGGATTGGTTTTCTATTACCATTATTTTTTGTTGTATTGTTATTTTTATTTTTTTCAAATATTTGTGCTCTGTGGTTGGTTGACTCCAAGGATGTGGAACCCGAGAATACAGAGGGCCAACTGTGCATGATAGAGCTGAAGACTTAGGAACTCTATGACCCAGCCCATTTCACTTATAGAAATCCAGGTACAGGGAGACTTTCCACAAGGAGACTGTAGAAAGGTTTTTTTTTTTTTTTACTGTACTGTTTGTAAATATTGAAAAGGAGGGAACAACTGTCAACAGTAGGGGGATGGATAAATAATTTAAGATATAGAGTGGAATATTATATAGCTGTTAAAATTAATGAAATTTATTTACATAATATGGATATCTAAAAAAAGTTGGATAAAAATTGCAGACTATAATATATATGTAAATTTTAGTACCTATAAAATATATATATTATTTGAGAATAATAGTAATAAGGGCTAACATAAATAATAACAGTTTGATACAGAGGCTATTATTACCATTTTACAGTTGAGGAAACTGAAGGACAGAGAGGCTAAGTAATCTGCCCAAGCCCACATAGCTAGTATGTAAGTAGTGAAAGGACAAAAAGTTCTTGGGAATATTAACAATCTTCATAGGAAAGAAGCAGGATGACACGAAAACACGAGACTTTATTTGTAACTTTATTTTTTAGAGATAGGATCTGGCTCTGTCATCACCCAGGATGGAGTGCAGTGGCAAGATCATAGCTCACTGCAGCCTCAAACTCCTGGGTTGAAGTGATCCTCTCAACTCAGCCTCCCAAGTAGCTGGGACAGTAGGCATGTGCCACTCAGTCTCGCTCATTTTTTCTCTTTTTTGTAGAGCCTGAGTCTCACTACTTTATATAGGCTGTTCTTGAACTCCTTGACTCAAATGATCCTTCTGACTTGGCCTCTCAAAGTGCTGGGATTACAGGTGTGAGGCACTGTGCCCAGCCTTTTTTCTGTTTTGTTTTTTTTTCTTAAGAGACATCTGGAGCAGTTGTGGCCAATCTGGATGTCTGTTACATTATCATGTTTTTAAAGACTTTTTCTTTTTAAGAGCAGTTTTAGATTCACAGCAAAATTGAGCAGAAGGTACGGAGAGTCCCAGCTAGCCCTGCCTGCACACATGCACAGCCACCTGCATTATTCACATCCCCGACGGAGTGGTACATTGTTGTGATCAGTGCACCTACATTGGCACATCGGTATCACTCAAAGTCCACTGTACGGTTCCCTCTTGCTGTTGGACATTCTGTGGGTTTTGACACGTTTAATAAATGTAACCACTGTCGTAGTTTTCTGCCCTAAACATTCTTGTGCCCCACCTATTTATTTCCCTCACAACCCTAACCCCTGGCAGCCGCTGATTTTTTTACTGTCTCCGTAGTTTTGCCTTTTCTAGGAGGTCATATAGTTGACATCATATAATATGTAGCCTTTTCAAGGAAAAGTTGGCTTCTTTCCCTTAGCACTGTGCATTTAACTTCCCTCTGTGTCTTTTCATAGCTCATCTCCTTTTATCACTGAACAGTATTTCATTGTCAGGACATACTACATTTTAAACTTCATATGTTTAAATATTGTATAACTTTTAATGATTAAAACTGTAAGCTTGGGAACTCTCAGCCCACGGCTGACTACCCAAGGGCCACAGGGCTAATATATAGCCATAGATTCTGTGAATCATTGTGTGTATTTTTCACTGGCCTTCCACTAAGCACCCTCTCATTTACCGTTCTGCATGTACTTTATCAGACACATAGTGTCTTCCTGCCTGTGATGCTGGGCCTGAGGTGTGCAAGGGGCAACACTGTGACCTTAGAAAGGTAGTGCTCTGAACCAGAGCGAATTCAAAGGGCTGTCCCTTCACCGACTGCATATCAGGTCTTCAGAGCTGTGCTTCTAGCTCAGGGCAGGCATTTGGAAGGAAGATTTTGGAATCTTGCCTGAACATATTCATAATATGTTTTTCTTAGGTTGGGTGTTTTGCTGGGAATTTTGGTGTTATTTCCTTCAACACTGTTGTCATCTATGACTCAGAATTTAACTACTTGTGCTTTTTTGTGTGTGGCTTTTATGCTGCAGGAAATCACAGTGAATCCTCTTATCTGCATTCTTGGAGGCAGGGCATCTGATAAATTAATATTTTTGTTAATGCTGCTATGTGACCCATATGCACAGTGCTTTCAAAGAGTTCACAAAGTTGAATCTGGGGGTTTACAGTTGGAAGGATATAATTTATACACCTTCCCCATTTTAAAAATGAAGAAATTGAGGCTCAGAGACTGGAATAACATGTGCAAGACTACACAGCTCATTGCCCATGGAGTTGGGGGTAGAAAAATGGGCTCCCTTTTCCCTATGTGTGTTTACTGCATCACAGAGAACAATAAAATAAAAAGAAATCTATGATTTCTTGATTGAATTTCATTGGTTGATTGATAAGACTCCTCAATAGGGCTTTATAGGTCTAAACCTCCACTTTGGATTGCCGTATTTGTGATATGTACTCAGAACACTAGCTCTGAAGCTTTTTAATGCTTTACGTTAAATAAAAGAAGCTCCTGAGGTGAAAGTTGGTGGTTTATAATATTATAGAGGTGTTTATACACCTGCCTTAGTTGTGTAAATATAGATACCACTGGGATCCTAGGTTTTCTTCATTTTCACTCAAAGGGAAAGCCTCTACCCTGATGCTCTAGAATTGGATCAGAGGCATATGTGTTATTTTTAAGCTTACAGGCCTTACTCCCATTGGGTGGGGGTTATTGGCAAGAGGAGTTTGATCATTTTCATTTAAGAAATTTAGGATCGCTCTGTCTTGTGTTTTTACAACAGTCCTAATCTGAAGTGGTTGGGTGACAGAAACTTCTAAGTGGGTAGGTGCTACACTTAGTTATATGATTTTTTTCCTCATAGCACTCCCAATTCATATTCCTTAGTGGCCCATTTTTAATTACTTTGCTGGAAAGGCAAATCGATATTTTCTGCCAGAACTCTTAATGATTTTCATTAATATTAGGATTTCAACCTTACATATATATAATACTTGTAAACAAGTGCAGCATTCCCTGTGACCAGAGAAGGTAGAAAAGCCTTACTTGAAATGGTTCCATAGAATCAAGTTTAGTAAACGTGGGTATTTATTTTGACTTAAGGCTTGCTTCCAGAAAATACCTAATACAACAAAGGAATCATTAACAAACTACCTATAAAACATGATCATATGTAAAATGAGAGAGTACCTTAATTTTGCTTTTATAACATGATTTATCTTGCAGTGTGTGAACTTAAATCTCCCTCCATGAGTGATTTCCTGTGGGGTCTGGAGAACTCTGGCTGGTTAAGGCACATTAAAGCCATAATGGATGCAGGAATCTTCATTGCAAAGGTATGCAATTGCAGAGAAAATAAATTAAGGGACAGATGAGCAAACCACTGACTTCAAAATGGGTATCCCTCTGCCATGGGCTTCCCTGTCTTAAGCTGCACTGCACTGACTGGATAGCCAGCTTTGTAGAGCTCCGTAGTCTGTGCGCTGAAGATATGATTTTGCGAAAGAATACAATGCTTAGCTGATAGTGTGTCAGCACTGTGATCAAATGGTAAAATATTTCCAGAGTATTCTCTTCCATTAGGCTTAATCCTGGATGGAGGAAAGAATTTTCTGTAGAATACAACCAAATGTGAGTTACTTCAGTGATGGGGCTTGGGGCTTACATCCAGTAGAGCCTTCTTTTTAGTCATGGCATAAGCAAAAGTCATGTTCCTGTAGCTGGAAGGTAGAGTCCATTCCGCCATAGGAAAATGTCGCTGCAGCTTTCACATAAGCTGTTTTAGAATGCAATGTCTTTTGTGTTGTTCAGTTTTTTTTAAAGAAATAAATACCTTGGATTTATACCTAAAGAGAACCATATCTTCCCTGATGCCATGGTATGTTCCCTGTTTTGAGGTAATCATTTATTCAAGAAATCTTTATTTAGTGCCAGGTACTATTCTAGATTTTACAGATGTGATGTGAATAAGGCAGATCAAGTCTCTTCCCTCACAGAGCTTATATTCTGCTGGGGGAGACAGAGAATTTTTTTTTTTTTTTTTTTTTTTTTTTGAGAGGGAGTCTCGCTCTGTCACCCAGGCTGGAGTGCAGTGGCACGATCTCAGCTTGCTGCAACCTCTGCCTCCCAGGTTCAAGCGATTCTTCTGTCTCAGCCTCCCAAGTAGCTGGAATTACTGGCACGCGCCACTATGCCTGGCTAATTTTTGTATTTTTAGTAGAGACGGGGTTTCACCATGTTGGTCAGGCTGGTCACGGACTCCTGACCTCAGGTGATCCACCCGCCACGGCCTCCCAAAGTGCTGGGATTACATGCGTGAGCCACTGCCTCCAGCTGAGACAGAGTATTAATAAACTAATAAAACTAGAATTTTAGGTAGTGATAAATGCTATGATGAAATCTCTCCCATGTTTCCCAGCGTATGTTAACTGCCAAGATATTTAGTAAAAAATGATGTGCATTTGCAATAGCAAATAGATATTCTTTTCTTACTGGAGATTTTCTGGTGTCATTTTTACTTTTGTTTTTTCCTTTCCTCAACCTTACATCCATTACTTGACGCTTACCTTTTATTTATAACTTCATAGGTCTGTAATTTATAACTTTTTTGCCTTTTCCTTTTTGGAAATGGCTGGGGCCAGTAGCAACTCCAGAATTTCAGTAAGGCTTAATGTGGAAACTCAGAGGGGAGGGAAGAGGGTTGAAGGTCCGTTTGCATAGGACGAATGCTTATGTTTAGTAAGTACATGCGCTTATTGGAGGTGACTTGAGTGGTGGCTTCTGGATAGAATGGGAAGGGAAAGCTTTAGCTGCCAGCACCAGGCCACTCTGGCTCTGCCCTAATTAGGGGGGGCCCTAAACAGACGAATGGACAGGTGTTTCGTTTTGGCTGTTTCTTTCTGTAAATATACAGTCAAACCTGGCTGTGATGAGAGGTTCTGCCTTTTTACAGCCATTCTTTGTGACTCTTTGCGGATCGTGTGTTTTCTAGGCAGTGTCAGAGGAAGGGGCAAGTGTGCTTGTTCACTGTTCTGATGGCTGGGACAGGACCGCTCAGGTGTGCTCGGTGGCAAGCCTGCTGCTGGACCCTCACTACCGGACTCTGAAGGGCTTCATGGTGAGTGTGGCCACTGGGCGATTCCCACAGGCGGTGCCTTGACCAGGAATGGACCCCTGTTTTTACAACTACTGGCAACTGCTGTTTTCTTGCCAGCATTATTTTTCTTTTAGTAGCTCAGCAAGATTAAAGGGGAAGAGATCAAGATTAATTTAATCAGCAAGATTAAAGGGGAAGGCTTGGAATAAAGAGATGAATTTCTGGGATATTGAAACCATTTCAAGTCAATGCTACTGAATGAGTTTTGGGGCAAATATAAAATATATTTGGTAGTTTGTAAGCCAATTTTATATATCATTTGCTCATAAGTATTTCAAGTTTGAGGTAACATGAATATGTAACAGAAGACTTTTTAGAAAAAATATTTTGGGAAGAAATTTTCTATATTGTGTATGCCAAAAGTCCTTGGTAGGAAAAACTGTTTTCACTTCCAGGGTATGTTTTTTAAGTAGTCCTTCACACCCCTGGATGAGAATGCTGAAAATTTCACAGCCTTTTGTTGTTGTTCTTTGCTGAAATGACGAGTATATCCTGTAGAGTTTGAGCTTTTTAGGTGGGCATCAAATGTAACGTTGCTTTCAACTACAGAGTATTGTATATAGTTGCCTGGGATGGTGAAGTTTTCACTAATCTGGTATAAGTTCCTTAAAATGAATTCACCTCTTAACCATGATTTGGTAGACAGTGCTTCAGTGAATCATGAATCCGTGCTACACAAGATGCTGACAAAGGAGTCCTAATGGAATATCTTTACTGCTGGGTCTCCATTATTGAGTAATATCAGCAACACCCTCGGACAAGAGCGAAGAGGCAGGCTCCCTCTCTGGGATGTTTTTCTTTTTTTGGAAGTGTCTGAGAACTTCCAATTACCTGTGATAGCATTGACACCTCAAAGTGATACCCTTGCTTCAGATCCCTGCTGGACTGAAGTCAGGAGGGCTGGATTGCTTCATTTGCATTTGGAGAGTAAAGAGGTTGCCAGTCACACACTGCCCTTAGGCTCTTCTCCTGCACACATGCGTTTCCATCATCAACTTGTTCTCATTGTGCCCCATTAAACTTACAACCCAAAGAAAATGTCTCGAGTTGTCAAGAACAGACTTCCACTAGTTCATATTTCTTTGTAAGGGGAAATCTCTGGCCACTTTAAAGCATTGGGGATATTGATGAGACTATCCATATTACTTGACTGAACACTTTTTAAAATCCAGGCTGGGTGTGGTAGCTCACACCTGTAATCCCAGCATTTTGGGAGGTTAAGGAGGGAGGCTTGCTGGAGCCCCAGAGTTTGAGACCAGCCTGGGCAACATGGCGAGACCTCGTCTCTATAAAAAATTAAAAAAAAATTAGCCAGGTGTGGTGGAGCCCACCTGTGGTCCCAGCTACTTGGGCTGAGGTGGGAGGATCGCTCGAGCTCAGGAGGTCAAGGGTGTAGTGAGCCATGATCTCATCACTGCACTCCAGCCTACGTGGCTGAGTGAGATCCTGTCTCAAAAATAAATTTTAAAATATAAAACAATATAAAATACAAAACCAAAATAAATACTTAAAAATAATAATCTGGACTGCCTCAGACTTAGAAATTCATGTTAACCCTAATTTCAAAGCAGGGCTGAAGCTTTGAATATACCCCAAACACCATCATTTTAGAATTCTTATAATGTGTAGAAAAGATCACTGAAAAACTTCCCAGTTGTTTTTGTAAAGAGGTTGGTAATTTACATTACACTGAGAGGCAGCATCACACATTGGTTGAGATAGGGTTTGAAGTGGAGAGACCTGGGCTGTGAAGTGGGGTCTCCTTCCTAGTAGCATGATCTTGGGCGAATATGAAACCTCTTTCCTTCGGTTTCCCCTTCTAAAAGAGTGAGAATACCTATCCTACAGTTAGAGATCATACGTAAAGCAATGTGAACAGTGCCTGGCACATAGGAAGCATTCAGCGGGTGGGGTTCCTGCATTTTTATACATCCATTTCCACTCACTGTTCCCATGGATGACCTTCAACTTTGCCTTTGCCATGTGCATCTCTATATGGGTGGATAATGCCTGTTCATGCATTTGCAGGTTACTCGAGGATGGGGACTTCTGCAAGTGCCTCTGAATTCCTCAACATTATTGGTTGTGTGGTCTCTTATTTTTCGTTTGCTTCTCTCCAAGATATTTGTATTCTTTCTTGTGTAGGTATTAATTGAAAAGGACTGGATTTCCTTTGGTCATAAGTTTAATCACCGGTAAGTAATATTTAAGACTGTTTTGAATGTTTAGAATAAAAGCACTGTTTCTGAAAATTTCAATTGAATATTTAGGGGAAAATCGTCTTGTTTTTTGAGTTTGTGTCTCTTATTCAGAAAGCTTAAATTTTGTTGTATATGTCATATCATAGATAAATGAAGTTATAACTGATTCCTTTTGGTAACAGTTGGGCAGAACTAACTAATGTTAACTTGTTCTAGAAGAGACAGAGAATGCTTGTTCATTGTCTTAGTGAGGATCAGCCTTCCCTTCCTCCTGCCATTTGCATGTGACTTACTAAATTATTCCATTTTAGAAGTCCAGAGATTCACTTTAGTCTGCAAGTTGTGAACTGCCCGTGGAACAGTTTCTCTTTGATCTTCTATAGTCCTAAGGCATTTGTATCGGAGTGCAGTTTGTCCCAGATGTCTCTGGAGTGGTGATGAAGGCTTCAGAACCAGACATATCCAACTCCAGATCCAGGCCATGATATTCACTGTCTGGCCTTGGACGTCTGGGCTGTCTGACCTTTGGTCTCTCATCTGTGGAATGGGGATGCCAAAGCTGTTGTTTTGGGAGTCACCAGCCTCCTTTTGTCAGTGTTGATGCCTGTATTGTGTTCTGGTGTTCTCTACTCTTTGAATCTTAAATGGTATAGCTGTACTTAGTTTAGTCTTTGGTGATAAAATTTAAATTTAGGCAGCAAGTTTCATTAGTTTGATATATATTTTCAGAAGTTTTACTGTGTTTTCTTAAAATTCTAAATGCATGCAACTGCTCAAGTATATTTTTGTAGTTTTTTGCTTTTAGCATTAATTGATCACTAATTCTGTGATTTTCAGGAATTCTATTTTTCTAATTTTTTCCAGGAAAGCATAGGAATTCCATTTACCAATGAGAAAATTAAAGCCCCCAATTAGATAAACTTCTTAACATGGCATTATTTTCAGTTTGGGGTTCTATTAATATTACACGCTAGGCAGTTAGGATCTCCAAGATAGGAGACAGATGACAGAAAGAATATGGAAATGACTGAAGATCAGCTAGATAATTGTTTGATAAGGAAAAAATACGTTAATATTAGGCAACCTTTTTTTTTTGATTTGCAGTAAAGTTTATTTTGAAATAATTCTGAAGCCATAAAAGACTAAAATTCCCTTTATGCAAATATAAATCAGTCTCCCATAATGCAATTATTTTTTTCTTCCTCATTTTATTTTTATTTTTTAATTTTATTATTATTATACTTTGTTTTAGGGTACATGTGCACAACGTGCAGGTTTGTTACATATATATACATGTGCCATGTTGGTGTGCTGCACCCATTAACTCGTCATTTAGCATTAGGTATATCTCCTAATGCTATCCCTCCCCCCTCCCGCCACCCCACAACAGTCCCCGGTGTGTGATGTTCCCCTTCCTGTGTCCTTGTGTTCTCATTGTTCAGTTCCCACCTATGAGTGAGAACATGTGGTGTTTGGTTTTTTTGTCCTTGCGATAGTTTGCTGAGAATGATGGTTTCCAGTTTCATCCATGTCCCTACAAAGGAAATGAACTCATCATTTTTTATGGCTGCATAATATTCCATGGTGTATATGTGCCACATTTTCTTAATCCAGGCTATTGTTGTTGGACATATAGGTTGGTTCCAAGTCTTTGCTATTGTGAATAGTGCCGCTATAAACATTCATGTGCATGTGTCTTTATAGCAGCATGATTTATAATCCTTTGGGTATATACCCAGTAATGGGATGGCTGGGTCAAATGGTATTTCTAGTTCTAGATCCCTGAGGAATCGCCACACTGACTTCCACAATGGTTGAACTAGTTTACAGTCCCACCAACAGTGTAAAAGTGTTCCTATTTCTTCACATCCTCTCCAGCACCTGTTGTTTCCTGACTTTTTAATGATCGCCATTCTAACTGGTGTGAGATGGTGTATCATTGTGGTTTTGATTTGCATTTCTCTGATGGCCAGTGATGATGAGCATTTTTTCATGTGTCTTTTGGCTGCATAAATGTCTTCTTTTGAGAAGTGTCTTTTCATATCCTTTGCCCACTTTTTGATGGGGTTGTTTTTTTCTTGTAAATTTGTTTGAGTTCATTTTAGATTCTGGATTTTAGCCCTTTGTCAGATGAGTAGGTTGCAAAAATTTTCTCCCATTTTGTAGGTTGCCTGTTCACTCTGATGGTAGTTTCTTCTGCTGTGCAGAAGCTCTTTAGTTTAATTAGATCCCATCTGTCAATTTTGTCTTTTGCTGCCATTGCTTTTGGTGTTTTAGACATGAAGTCCTTGCCCATGCCTATGTCCTGAATGGTATTGCCTAGGTTTTCTTCTAGGGTTTTTTATAGTTTTAGGTCTAACGTTTAAGTCTTTAATCCATCTTGAATTAATTTTTGTATAAGGTGCAAAGAAGGGATCCAGTTTCAGCTTTCTACATATGGCTAGCCTAGGTAACACTTTTTAAAGCTACCAAAGGTGAGAAACTGTAACATCTGAGAAGTTTCTAGACAATTTCCAATGTTCCCACTCTTGGGAAAACTCTAAAACTGATCATTGCTCATTCCTCTTCCTCAAGGTGATGATCTCTTACTAACACGGGGTTCTATATTGTTATTTTGTCTTTGATGACACCAAAACATCCTTTTGGATTCTCTGTAAAACTCACACAGTAGTGTAAAGGGCTAAGGAGTCTTCATTTTAAAATCAATACAAATTTGAGGAAGACGAGTCTGATGTGCTCTTGAAAAGCAAAGCAATGGGAGATAAAAGAAAAATACATGTGGAATCTGTCGTCACATGGAAATAAATCACGTGATAAGCTTTAACCGCTTTAGGAATGGGAATATTCTTGGCAACTTGGGAAACCACTATTTTTTTTTTTCAAGTTGTCTTTTTCCTCATCCCTTCCCAACAAAACAGCGCAAAAAATGAAGAGCCTTAAAGTTGTCTGGACATTTCTTCTCACCCGCTCATAAAGTGCAACATTTATTTTAAAAGTTCTAATGTACTTTTAAGGAATGAATTTAAAAATGCCCTTTTTCTGTGGAAAGTGTCTTTGAATTTTATTTCTTGCACTAACACTTTCTTTTGTAACTATAACGTGAACGCATCCCTTCTATCCAGACCGTCACTACAAAGTTGCTCTGGAAATTTGAATTTAAAATCTTAACTTTTCTACCTTTTTTGTCATTCCAAGTTTGTAAGATAAGATTTATTTAGGAACTAGGGTTGCTTTTATGGTTGTTTTTGCATTTATGGCTTTGTACTTTAAAAATAAATCTGCCTTAAAAAGTCTCTAATGCTTTGTTTTATAGATATGGCAATCTAGATGGTGACCCAAAAGAAATCTCTCCAGTTATTGACCAGTTCATTGAGTGTGTTTGGCAGTTAATGGAACAATTTCCCTGTGCCTTTGAGTTCAATGAGAGGTTTTTGATTCACATTCAACATCACATTTATTCCTGCCAGTTTGGAAACTTCCTATGTAACAGCCAAAAGGAGAGACGAGAACTCAAGTAAGTGTTTTGGTGTTTTTGGTGTTTAACTTTTATTTAAAGATTTTGATGACTGAGAATTTTAGGTGGCCTTTCATAATTTTGAAGACTTTTTTCATTTAGTCACATACCTATACTGACAGATTAGTTTTATTTTCTTTTTCCTGGTGTCATTTCATAAATGGTTTAAATGTCATCAACTGACAGATAAATAGTTTCATTTTTTCCTTCAGTTTCTGCCTGATAGACAGCTTGACAGACTTGATGCATGAATATCGAAAGGGAATTTTCTGGAGTCAAAAAAGTGGTTTTTGCATTTAAAAGGAAAAGGTTAGATATATTTGGTGGCTATGCTACCATAATAAAAATTGCAAATTTAATTGGGAAAGCAAATATAAAAGCCAGAATTTATTCAGATTAAAACTGTATTGATTTATCCAAGGGTAAAAGTAGATAAATTGTGGACTTTAAAATAAGTGACAGTAAAAAACTTACAACAAAGTGATTTAGGCAGTATACATGAGAGAACATTTTTTAAATTTTCATAAAATGAAATGGTTTTAACTATGGTGTATACAACATTATCAGATTTAATTTGGGGAATGATCAGTTCAAATGAAATGGACTCATAAAGAAAATTAATTTTTGTAGTGGATACTAGTTTGTTTTCTCTAAGGAAGCTCAAGTGTGATTCCATGGAGATGGAGATGATTTAGAAGGAGCAGAGTGTATCCTTTAGGGTCACCTGTTTTCTTGTACCTGACTAGCCAATTCTAACAGTATCTGCTTGGGTCTGAATATGGCTTTTCCACTTACTAGCTATAGGACTTTGGGAAACCACTTATTCTCTCTATTCCTCAGTTTCTTCATCTGTAAATTAGACAGAGCTCACAGCAACTCAGTGAGGATTAAATGAGAGAAAACGTGGAACATTTAGAATAGTGTGTGACAAATTATAAATGTCCAATGACTATTTGGGGGAAAAAACTCCCCCCAAAAGAACAGCTTAACACACACACACACACACACACGAATCGAACACCTTGTCAAGGCCAGTACAGATGGTGGTGAAGTTGAGATTATTACAGTGTTCTCCCTCTATACCATGAAGTCACCAAGATGATACATTTACCTGCTATCGAACAGACACGTGGTTTTCAGGTAACAATTATTAGTTCCTTTCCAGCATTAATATAACATATCTACTGTGTGTAAGCACCAAAATAGGTCATTTATAGACTTATTTTCTTTATAACAGGATTCAAGAAAGAACATACTCATTATGGGCTCACCTGTGGAAGAATCGGGCCGACTACCTGAATCCTCTGTTTAGAGCTGATCACAGCCAGACTCAGGGAACCCTTCATCTCCCTACAACACCATGTAACTTCATGTACAAGTATGTAAATCCTTGGTAACTTTGTAGCCATGGTATGAACTTGGATTCTGGTACCGTTTAACATTCAGAGGTCAAAGTGTATGACACTGATCTTTGAGGCTTTTATTGGACACAAAAGACACCAGAGGGAGATGCTTGAATATCTGATCTGGTATTTTTGCCAGTGACTCCTCTGCCTCTTTATTCCTCCTAAATGTGGAATTTTCTTCAGGAGGTGATGTTTTATAATAATGATATCATAAAAAGGTTAAGTTCCAATTTATTTTTTTAAAAGCAAATGAAAGAGAATAATGCAAATGCCTTAAGTCAAATGTGGAATCACAAGTTTCAACAGTGATCATGACGTGTTAAGGTTGGAGCAAAAATAATTGTGGTTTTTGCCGTTATACAACAAAAAGGCAAAAACCGCAATTACTTTTGCACCAACGTAATAGGTTGCCTTTTTGTCTCCACTGAATTAAGTCCTACTGGAAGTACTTCCCTTGTGGAAATTACATTAAGATTGTATGTATTAGCCGAGGCGGGTGGATCACCCTAGGTCAGGAGTTCAAGACAAGCCTGGCCAACATGGGGAGACCCAGTCTCTACTGAAAATACAAAAATTAGCTGGGCATGGTGGTGAGCGCCTGTAATCCTAGCTACTCGGGAGGCTGAGACAGGAGAATCACTTGAACCAGGGAGGAGGAGGTTGCGGTGAGCCGAGATCGTGCCATTGCACTCCAGCCTGGGCAACAAGAGCAAAACTCCATCTCAAAAAAAAAAAAAAAAGATTGTATGTATGGGGAGAATGGGGAGAGCAGGGTGGCATCCTACAAGTTCTACTAGGTATGTGCTAGATACGTATGTTTTTTCCTTTGGCTTCCTTGTTAGGCTTGTATAATATGAAAAAACTCAAAGGTCAGCAACATCAAAAGACTCATGCAGAATAAACAGAAACCCCATCTCTTTCTTCCTACTCACTCCCGACACAGACTTGATGGCTTTTCTCCCTGTATAGATTTCGTTTCTCAAGGTTTTTTTTCTTAATTATTTCAATCTAATTATCTTCTCAGAATTTATAGCAGAATATTCTATCATACTAAACAAAAGCCTCCATAGTGCATGTAAGACAAGTTTTAAGAGCTGTTGAGATATGACCAGTTGGATTGCAACTAATTTATTATTAACAGCTAGTCAACACATATTTTATTGAGGATCAAACACTGTTCTGGGCACTGCAGATAAAACAATGACACCAAGTCCTTGCCCTCAAAGTACTTACTTATCTACATAAATAAAATAGTGGTTCTAAGGGTAACTCTGTGATAACACCATTTTTCTCATTTGCACTCCAGTTGCTTTTTTGTGTAGGATAAAAAGGGATTTATTGGTCAGGCGTGGTGGCTCCCGCCTATAATCCCAGCACTTTGGGAGGCTGAGGTGGGTGGATCACCTGAGGTCAGGAGTTCATGACCAACCTGACCAACATGGTGAAACCCTGTCTCTACTAAAAAAAATATAAAATTAGGCATGGTGGTGCATGCCTGTAATCCCAGGTACTTGGGAGGCTGAGGCAGGAGAATCGCTTGAACCCGGGAGGTGGAGGTTGCAAGGAGCCGATATCACACCACTGCACTTCGGTTTGGGTGACAAGAGCGAAACTCTGCCATTAAAAAAAAAAGCGGGGGGGGGGGGGTTATTGCCAATGCAAATGTCAACTTTTAGTGGTCGTGATACAAAAGATAAAAGCTGCAAGTTTAAGATTCCCTTTGTAGCTGAAAGATTCTAAATATACAATTTCAAAGTTCAAAACTAAGAGCCATTTTCTTAAAAGGTAATGGTTACATGTACTATTTTAATTTTAGAAAAATGTATTCTGTGCTAATTCATATATACAGGCAGACTTTTCATAAACTTATTCTCCCCAAAAGGCATTTACTGACCCAAGAAAAAAAACATCAACATGAAATTATTACCTTAAGTAGTGGCTTTTTTGAGGCTGAAATTTGCATTTGGTTATTATTAAGACTGTGGTATCATAGATACCTTAGAAGACTTGAGGATGTGAATTTTCAGACTGTGATAAGGTGGTATCACGACGCTTTGCCATCCTTTCCAGGTTTTGGAGTGGAATGTATAACCGCTTTGAAAAGGGGATGCAGCCCCGACAGTCAGTTACAGATTACCTAATGGCAGTGAAGGAAGAAACTCAGCAGCTAGAGGAAGAACTAGAGGCCCTGGAAGAAGTAAGACATACTTGCTTTGTTAATCTATTTTCTGTGCTTATTTCTTGAAGAGCAAGGCTTCATGAAAGCCTCTTAAGATTCAGTGCAATACAAATATTTCACATTTTTAGTCAGTAGAACACCTGAAACACAACCCCATCCAGGTCAGGACTCAGATAACCGAAGCCCAAACCTAGGCATTTAATGCATTTCACACATCTGGTTTGTGGCTCAGTTCCACAAATTTTTGGTTGTTCCTTATTTTAGGTCAACTTGTTTGGTTACTGTTATTTGAGAGTAGTAAAATTAATTTTTTTCTGGAAAGTGTGAAAAAGTAACAGAATAAAATCAAATATATGTACTTGTAAAACTCTTTCCCCACTTTTAGAAATTATGTTAACTATGATATTAATCTATAATTGGTAAAGGGGAGACTGACTGTAAAGTCTTATCTTTTGGCTTCTATGAACTTCCCTGTACTTGGACAGGGAGGTTATAATAAAATGCTTTTCCTAATTGGATAACTTTGTTTCCAATGGTACTAATGTAGTTTATGAACATCTTAGGATTCTATTAGTCTATTCTAGCAGTCTGGCTCTTTAAAACTGGCTCTTCCTTATTACAAAGTCAAAATTCCTTAGGCTGGCATTTGAGATTTTCTCTTTTCAGCTTTATTTTCCATGCTAATATTTAATGGTTTTTGCTGCTTGTATACAATTTAGACCTTCCTACCTTTGTGTTTGTCCTCTCACTGTCCCTACTCCTGTCAGGAATGCTTACTAGCTATCACCAGAATGTCCAAGTTTAAATCTTTCACAGTCCTGTTAAAATGTTCCTTCCTCCCTGAAACTTACTCTGTTCTTTTCCTTCTAACCTTACCACTTCATCCCTCTTCAAGAACTTTTGCCTTTTTGAAATTCTTACATTGCATGAACTCTGCCTCTCTCTGCTCCACTACTCCATGTTCCTTAAGGCTGGGTCTGTATTTATCTATCTCTTTTCCTCACACTGCCCAGCACAGTGCTTTTGCACATAACCTAAGTGAATGGTTTTGAATGAATACATAATACTTGATCTTATAACACCTCCTGTGTTAACATCAAAACATGAAATCTGGCGAAATGTATTCTGAACAACCCAGGTGTCCATAACATGATGAATGGGGAAACAAAATCTGGTATATCCATGTAATGGAATACTGTTCAGCCAGAAAAAGGAATGAAGTACTTGATACATGCTGTACCATGAATGAATTCTGAGAACATAAGCTAAGTGAAGGAAGCCAGATACAAAAATCCACATGTTGTATGATTCCATTCAATTTATATAAAACATCTAGACTAGGCAAATCCATAGAGATAGAAGTTGATCAGTAGTAGCCAGGGGCTGTGGGGAGATAGGAATGGGAAATGACTGCTAATGAGTATGGGGTTTTCTTTCGGCAGGGGAGGTGATGACAGTGTTTTATAATTAGTAGTGATCGTTGCACAACCTTGTGAATATAACTAAAAACCACTGAATTGTATACTTTAAAAGGGTGAGTTTCACGGTAAGTGAATTGTATCTCAGTATAAAAGTTAGATGATAAACACTTCATTCATGATTTCTAAAAAATGTTTTTTGAGTTCATGGGATGAGACTCATCATTTGAAACCATGTAGGTATAGAAAAGAGGGAGACTAGGGTTCACTGGGTGCTTCAACTGTGCTATATTGTTTATTATTATAGAAAACCTATGTCAAGGCAGGTATTATCCTTACATTAGAGATAAAGCAGGCCTCACAGATTTTGTCCAAGGTCGTGAAGTCCAGGTTTGAACTCACATCCCTCTGAGTCACATGTTCTTAACATTATACCCACGTGGGAGGTAACAAATGCTAAAGACATGCATATATAGAAAAAGATAAGTTATTTATGATTTTTCCCCTGAAATTGTTATTTCTTTCTTAGAGGCTGGAAAAAATTCAAAAGGTCCAGTTAAATTGCACTAAGGTGAAGAGTAAGCAAAGTGAGCCCAGCAAGCACTCAGGGTTTTCTACCTCAGACAACAGCATAGCCAACACTCCCCAGGATTACAGTGGGAATATGAAATCATTTCCATCCCGGAGCCCTTCACAAGGCGATGAAGATTCTGCTCTGATTCTAACCCAAGACAATCTGAAAAGTTCAGATCCAGATCTGTCAGCCAACAGTGACCAAGAGTCCGGGGTGGAGGATTTGAGCTGTCGGTCTCCAAGTGGTGGTGAGCATGCACCGAGTGAAGATAGTGGCAAGGACCGGGATTCTGATGAAGCCGTGTTTCTCACTGCCTGAAGTTTCCCTTTGGAGTTCCAAAGTAAAGGACACATAAGCAACACTTCCAAAAACAAGGGAACAAGGTGGTTTATTGTAAAAACAGGAAATGGTGCATGTCATTGAGAACTACTTTAATGCAGCTATGAAAAGGGAAAAAAGTGCCCAGTTCTTGATTTCTTAGATACTGAAGAGGACGTAGTCATTTCATTTATCAAATATAAGGAAAATTATTCACCATTTTGAAGCTCACCCTAGACTATGAAAATTATATTCACTGCAGAGCAATTACTTCTGTCATTACCTGAAGTGATCAGTATCTATCTTCCTTGTCATAGCATGCATCTCTCAAAAAGCCTCCACTCCTTTCCCTCACATCTGTGATCATCATGATTCTTTTAGTTCACTTCTAGATGCATATTTTGTGTTTTCTAAAGCATCTGACATTATCCTCCTTTCCGACCCTCTTATACATATTTCTAAAAACAGGCACATTGGTGAGATGCACCCTTTTTAGTTAATAGATGCATTCCTAAGGAGCTTTTAATTGCTTATCTTTCAGGCATAATCATCACTTTAACTTTTCCTTGGAGCATATATTTTGAATTGTGAGAATAATTTTGTTGCTTTTCTCTGAGATCTATAGTCTGTTTCTCCTCATTATTTAAAAATGCTAAACCTTGTATCTCACTTTTTCTCTAACACTGATTTAATAGCTAACGAGGTAGAAGCAACATTCATTCTCCTGGTCTTACATATGAATTTAAGTATCAGCTTTCTTGTAATAACCTTTTATTACTGTTCTAGAGACTACACTACCGACAGTGTGGGCCAGCCACCAGCCTGATCTCAAAGTATCACATTATAAAGTTAGTAGATAAAACATCTGTGAGTGAAAATCCAGTTTCAAGAACCAGAGAATTGGGTTGTCATGTCTGTTTAATGAAGGGAATAGGTTTTGTAATCTATCATTTTAGAAATTATGTAACTGGCTAATATGGTTTAATTAACCTTAGTAACATCTCATGACCACTGACTGCTGAAAGTTCTGAAAAGAATTTTTGTTTTGTTACACTGCACATTTAAGGGAGAGTCCCTCCCCTATCTTATGAGTTAAAAAAGACTTCACTAGGTGACCTAAATTAAACTTAGTGGGGAAAAGTGGCCATGTTTGGACATAAATAAATGGTATTCACACTGTATGGTTTTAATATATTAGTACATTCTAGAATGTAAAAGGATTAAACTTTACAATTTAGATCAATATTTTGAATATGTGAAAGGATTAATTTAAACTTTACAATTTACATCAATATTTTGAATATCTGATTTTTTTTAATGGGAGAATTATTACATTTCGCTGAAATGAGGACGAGGGCAAGAAAGCAACATTGCTGATCTCTCTAGTATGAAAGATTTGGAGGGAGTGTTGCAATATATATAAATGAAAACATTTAATTGTGTTCATCATATTTAAAAATATAGAATATATTAGAGAACTGTGATTTAAAAGTACTGTTAATGTAAAAAATAAAGCAAGTGTAATTAATTCTTTCAGAATATAAAATTTGGGCATTCTCTGCTGAGCAGTTCCCAAATTAAGTACAAGGAATGTTTATTCATTTTCTGCAATATACTATATGTAATAGGGAATACCTTGCTAAAATAAAACTTAGGATATAGTGGTAATGGCTTTCACATTTTTATAACATAACATAACTCACTTCACAACCTTCTTGGAGCTGTCCACTCTTAGAAACTCTGTTGCCTAATATTGAGGATGTGGCTTTAATTTCTTCCGTTTGACAGTGTATGTCTATAAAAACAATAAACATTTTTTAAAAAATGACAAAGTATCTATGCCAAACAGCACTATGCTTTTATTTGAAAAGCAAATAGTATAAATATTTGATGTTTTAAAATGTAGTTTTTTAATATGACAACTTCCATATCAGAGTCATAAACTTTTAGTCCCCTCAACTTTTTTACAAGACAGACATTATAATTTATGTAACATGTTCGTCTGCTTATTAGAAGTTAACCTAGCACTGAGATTTATATAAAAGGTTACATTTATTGCTTATTAAAACTTTACTGTACTTTCACAGATTCTTCAGAGCATGGCTAACCCAACAAGACTAAAATATCCCCAACAAGACTAAAATATCTAATAATCAAACATTAATCAGGAAGTGTTTTATTGAGAGCAGTGGTTTAAAGCATAGGGAATAATCCAGTATAAAACTGATTTGAGGCATATTACTTCCCAATTAGTAATATATAGAATGCAAGTAATTTATTTTTTAAAGTTGATATGAAATAAATAGGTAAGAATTTTGACCATGACCCAGCAAATCAGTAACTGAGCTTTTTATAGAATGGAAGGTGATGATCAGAGACAGAAACCATAGAATAAATTTTTATTCTTTAAGAGCACATTAGTTTACTTTCTTCTCCTAAAAATGAATCTGAGCTGTCCTTCAATTTAAGCATATATATGTGTCAAGCACCCTCTATTCTGATATAAATTTCCTAGTCTCAATTTATGCCTAGAAATTTCTTTCAACTTTGAAGTGGGTCTGTTTAGTTTATATCTCACTGATTGATTGATTTAGAATTTTCTTCTATTTTAAGATATTAACCTTTAAATCTCTACCTATGACAAATTCGTACACTGATTAGCCTAGTAACTCCTAAGTATTCCTCTTTAATTCTGATTTCTATCTCATCTTGTAAAATCAGAATACAAACTTTCACATGCATTTCATTTTTCCTGTGGCACTGCTTCTCCGATGTGACCAATTTTTATGAAGAAAATATATAGCCATAAAATTAGAAAAAATGGTCACTTAATCTCTGTTGCAAAAACAGAACCCACATTCATACGGGCATATTCAAATGCAGATTCTTTTCATCGTGGGTGACATACATAACCTTTATGTAAACTGATTTGTCTATTTGTTAAATGCAGATAACTGATCACACTGCTCTGTTTCATGACTGGGTTGTAACAAGGTTATCCAATGAATGGTATAGAATGAAACTGGGATAGTTCAACTTTAAAGAATAAAAAACACTGAGATGAACTACTCATGTGATTATGTAGAACATTTTTACTCTGTAAGAAAATGTTTCTTTTTTTTCTGTTTTTCTGGTGAAAAGGAAAGTAGATAAGCATCTAAACAATGTTTATCTTTGTATAGTATTTCCACAATGCCTTATTCCTAGTAGGTACTTAATAACATAGATAGATCAAATGAATTAATCAAATGAGGGGCTGTGGTATGCTCCTCCCTTGTTATGGGATACACCTACCTGGTTTCTAGGAACCTGATGGTTGGCAAAAGATTGAGACTGTTCTATCTCCCATTGCTGTAACTGCTGGGAAAATTAAGCTCTGGTGGCCAGTGCAGTATAAGGAAAGGTTTCTGAATACCCAAAAGACTATCATAAATTTGAAACACTCTTACCTCAGTTATCTACAAATCAGGAGTAATAATTAATTATTCCTTCCTCATCTGGTCACTTTGAAGCTTTAACAGCATGTCCTTAGCACAGTGTCAGGAAGACAATGAAAGTTATTTTCTGTATCCAACATTGTATCTCAGTCCACGTGAATACCTGCCCTCCACAAACAGACTAAATATTAAGCATGTTTTAATTCTAACAAAATAATTTTGTTCTTCCTATAACTTTATTGCCAAAAACATGTACAGGAAGAACTAAAAAATATAAAAAAGACAGACAATCTATACTATATGCTGGTGTTGGGAAGACAATCATACTGGGATGAAATTTAAGCAAAATTATGCATTAGTTTGTTTTGTAATTTAGATGGCACCTTACCAAGCCTGAGCTACATAGTTCACGGCATTTTCCTTTATGAGCTTTTAGGGCTTCTCAAGAAATACATGAATTTTGTGACACGGTATAGAAGCAAACTGCTCAATGTAGTATACAAGAACACTCAATTAAATTCATTAAAAATCAGGATTGCCTAAAAATTAAATTTTACTTATTACTATAGCTTTCCTCTTAGGAAAAGGTAACTCACAGTAAAGGTCAGAAAAGTTCACTGACTTTTTTTGTGTATAGATTTAGTGTATATTAACATAAAGATTGTTTTTAACATTAGGAATTTAGAAAACCTATCCAACCACAAACCTACCAGATATATATATGTTTTAAATTAGCATAAGAATTTCTGTTGGAATGGTTTAAATGAAAGGCAACTTTTTTTTTTCCTATTAGGTAAAATATTTACTTGTATTGCTTCTTAAATGCATCTTTAGTTTTAAAAATGAAACAATATATAAGAACAGCTGGTTTATTCTTTTGATTTATTGTAGGTATTAAAAGTTTCTTTTGTGAGATGGCACATAGGCAGGTTTGGTGTTTCCTAACACTATGAATATCTTAAATTGCTTTTGAAAGTTTTATCCACAAAGAAAGAAAAATAAGGGTTTCCTCACAGTTGAAAATAGTTTTTGAAAAAAGGTTAAGAGGAAAAAAATCTAAATACCATCCTTGATAAAGAAATGGAACTTCAAGTTAAAAATACAAATTTAAATGAAGTTTTATAAAATATTAAAAACTAGCTAAAAGTACATGCATAGGCATTTAATCAAGGTAAGAGGAACAGCAGTGGAACTTAAATATGATACAATTTATCAACAATAAATAAACATTTCAGTGCAAATAGTGCAGAAAAATTTCTCAAAGATCATAGCAATCATTCTAATCGGTACAAAATCAGTCTCAGTTCTGTATACAATCTATATAGGATATCTGTGAATTTAGCCACTGATGAAATGCCAGTTTGCAAACCATAAATATAAAACAGTGTTTGGTTTTGTGTCCCATTCCTCTCTTGGCAGTTCATGTTTCCAGGAAAATCTAGAAAGAAAACAATAAAAAATACCTCTAATATTTAAGAAGATGAATATGTATCTCTTTACATTATCTTCCAATTAAGATTTGCCCACAGTGGCTCCCAGGCAAGATGGCTGAATAGGAACAGCTCCAGTCTGCAGCTCCCAGGGAGACCAACAGAGAAGGCAGGTGATTTCTGCATTTCCAGCTGAGATACCTGGTTCATCTCACTGGGACTGGTTAGACAGTGGGTGTAGCCCACGGAGGGTGAGCAGAAGCAGGGTGGGGTGTTGCCTCACCCGGTAAGTGCAAGGGGTTAGGGAACTACCTCCCCTAGCCAAGGGAAGCCTTGAGGGACTGTGCTACCCAGCCCAGAAACTACGCTTTTTCCACGGTCTTCGCAACCCACAGACCAGGAGATTCCCTCAGGTGCCTACACCACCAGGGGCCCGGGTTTCAACCACAAAACTAGGTGGCCGTTTGGCCAGACATCGAGCTAGCTGCAGGAATTTTTTTTCGTACTGCCTGGAATGCCAGCGAGACAGAACCCTTCACTCTCCTGGAAAGGGGGCTGATGCCAGGGAGCCAAATGGTCTTGCTCAGCGGATCCCACCCCTATGGAGTCTAGCAAGCTAAGATCCACTGGCTTGAAATTTTCACCGCCAGCATAGCAGTCTGAGGTCGACCTGGGATGCTGGAGCTTGGTGGGGGGAGGGGCGTCCACCATTAATGAGGTTTGAGTAGTCTGTTTTCCCCTCACAGTGTAAACAAAGCCTCCGGGAAGTTTGGACTGGGCAAAGCCCACCTCAGCTCCACAAAGCCACTGTAGCCAGACTGCCTCTCTAGATTCCTCCTCTCTGGGCAGGGCATCTCTGAAAGAAAGGCAGAGGCCCCAGTCAGGGGCTTATAGATAAAACTCCCATCTCCCTGCAACAGAGCACCTGGGGGAAGGGGTGGCTGTGGGCGCAGCTTGCACACACTTAAACGTTCCTGCCTGCCGGCTCTGAAGAGAGCAGCGGATCACCCAGCACCATGCTCTAGCTCTGCTAAGAGACAGACTGCCTCCTCAAGTGGTTCTCTGACCACCGTGCCTCCTGACAGGCAGACACCTCCCAGCAGGGGTTGACAGACAGCTCATACAGGAGAGCTCTGGCTGGCACTTTGCAGGTGCCCCTCTGGGACAAAGCTTCCAGAGGAAGGAGCAGGCAGCAATCTTTGCTGTTCTGCAGCCTCCGCTGGTGATACCCAGGCAAACAGGATGTGGAGTAGACCCCCAGCAAACTCCAGCAGACCTGCAGAAGAGGGGCTTGTTAGAAAGACAACTAACAGAAAGCAATAGCATCAACATCAACAAAAATGACGACCATGCAAAAATTCCATCCGAAGGTCACCAACAACAAAGAACAAAGGTAGATAAATCCATGAAGATGAGGAAAAACCAGTGCAAAAAGGCTGAAAATTCAAAAAACCAGAAAGCCTCTTCTCCTCCAAAGGATCACAACTCCTCGCCAGCAAGGGAACAAAACTGGACTGAGAATGAGTTTGATGAATTGACAGAAGTAGGCTTCAGAAGGTGGGTAATAAACTCCTTAGAGCTAAAGGAGCATGTTCTAACTCAATGCAAGGAAGCTAAGAACCTTGATAAAAGGTTAGAAGAATTGCTAACTAGAATAATCAGTTTAGAGAAGAACATAAATAAATGACCTACCTGATGGAACTGAAAAACACAGCACGAGAACTTCATGAAGCATACATAGTATCAACAGCCCAATCGATCAAGCAGAAGAAAGGATATCAGAGACTGAAGATCAATTTTATGAAAAAAAGCGTGAAGACAAGATTAGAGAAAAAAGAATAAAAAGGAACAAACAAAGCCTCCAAGAAACATGGGACTATGTGAAAAGACAAAACCTATGTTTGATTGGTGTACCTGAAAGTGACAGAGAGACTGGAACCAAGTTGGAAAACACACTTCAGGATATCCAGGAGAACTTCCCCAACCTAGCAAGACAGCCCAACATTCAAATTCAGAAAATACAGAGAATACCACAAAGACACTCCTTGAGAAGAGCAAACCCAAGACGTAATTGTCAGATTTACCAAGGTTGAAATGAAGGAAAAAATGTTAAGGGCAGCCAGAGAAAAAGGTTGGGTTACCCACAAAGGGAAGCCCATCAGACTAACAGTGGATCTCTCTGCAGAAACCCTATAAGCCAGAAGAGAATGGGGGCCAATATTCAACATTCTTAAAGAATTTTCAACCAATAATTTCATATCCAGCCAAACTAAGCTTCATAAGTGGAGGAGAAATAAAACCCTTTACAGACAAGCAAATGCTGAGGGATTCTGTCACCACGAGGACTGCCTTACAAGAGCTCCTGAAGGAAGCACTAAACATGGAAAGGAATAACTGGTACCAGCCACTGCAAAATCAAACCAAAATGTAAAGACCATTGATACTATGAAGAAACTGCATCAACTAATGGGCAAAATAACCAGCTAGCATCATAATGACAGGATCAAATTCACACATAACAATATTAACCTTAAACGGGCTAAATGCCCCAATTAAAAGGCACAGACTGGCAAATGATACAGAGTCAAGATCCATCAGTATGCTGTATTCAGGAAACCCATTTCATGTGCAAAGACACACACAGGCTTAAAATAAAGGGATGGAGGAAGATTTACCAAGCCAATGGAAAGTAAAAAAAAGCAGGGGTTGCAATCCTGGTCTCTGATAAAACAGAGTTTAAACCAAGAAAAACCAAAAAAGACAAAGAAGGGCATTACATAATGGTAAAGGGATCAATGTAGGAAGAAGAGCTAACTATCCTAAATATATATGCACCCAATACAGGAGCACCCAGATTCATAAAGCAAGTTCTTAGAGACCTCAAAGAGACTTAGACTCCCACACAATAATAGTGGGAGACTTTAACACCCCACTGTCAATATTAGATCAACGAGACAGAAAATTAACAAGGATATTCAGGACTTGAACTGAGTTCTGGACCAAACGGAACTAATAGACATCTACAGAACTATCCACCCATAATCAACAGAATATACCTTCTTCTCAGCACCACATAGCAATTATTCTAAAATTGGCCACATAATTGGAAGTAAAACACTCCTCAGCAAATGCAAAAGAATGGAAATCATAACAGTCTCCCAGACCACACTGCAATCAAATTAGAATTCCGGATTAAGAAACTCACTCAAAACCACACAACTACATGGAAACTGAACAACCTGCTCCTCGATGACTACTTGGTAAATAATGAAATGAAGACAGAAATAAATAAGTTCTTTGAAACCAATGAGAACAAAGACACAATGTACCAGAATCTCTGGGACAGAGCAAAACTGTGTTTAGAGGGAAATTTATAGCACTAAATGCCCACAGGAGAAAGCGGTAAAAATCTAAAAAATCAACACCCTAACATCACAATTAAAAGAATTAGAGAAGCAAGAGCAAACAAATTCAAAAGCTAGCAGAAGACAAGAAATAACCAAGATCAGAGCAGAACTTAAAGAGACAGAGACACGAAAAACCCTTCAAAAAAAAAAAAAAAAATCAATGAATCCAGCAGCTGTTTTGAAAAGATTAACAAAATAGACCACTAGCCAGACTAAAAAAGAAGAAAAGAGAGAAGAATCAAATAGACAAAATAAAAAATGATAAAGGGGAGATCGTATGGGCATGGTGGCTCACACCTGTAATCCCAGCACTTTGGGAGGCTGAGGTGGGTGGATCACCTGAGGTCAGGAGTTCAAGACTAGCCTGGCCAACATGGTGAAACCCCATCTCTACTAAAAATACAAAAATTAGCCAGGTGTGATGGCACATGCCTATAATCCCAGCTACTTGGGAGGCTGAGGCAGAGAACTGCTTAAACCTGGGAGGCGGAGGCTGCAGTGAGCCAAGATCATACCAATGCACTCCAGCCTGGGCAACAGAATGAGAGTCCATCACAAAACAACAACAACAAAAAAAAGATCACCACCGATCCCACAGAAATACAACCTACCATCAGAGAATACTATAAACACCTTTACACAAACTAGAAAATCTAGAAGAAATGGATAAATTCCTGGACACATACATCCTCCCAACCAGGAAGAAGTCAAATCCCTGAATAGACCAATAACAAGTTCTGAAACCGAGGCAGTAATAGCTCACCAACCAAAAAAAGCCCAGTACCAGACTGATTCATAGCCAAATTCTACCAGAGGTACAAAGAGAAGCTGGTACCATTCCTTCTAAAACTATTCCAAACAACAGAAAAAGAGGGACTCCTCCCTAACTGATTGTATGAGGCCAGCATCATCCTGATACCAAAACCTGGCTAAGACACAACAACAAAAGAAAATTTCAGGCCAATATCCCTGATGAACATCAATGCGAAAATCCTCATTAATGTACTGGCAAACTGAATCCAGCAGCGCATTAAAAAGCTTATCCACCACGATCAAGTTGGCTTCATCCCTGGGATGCAAGGCTGGTTCAACATACGCAAATCAATAAACGTAATCCACGACATAAACAGAGGCAATGACAAAAACCACAATTATCTCATAGATGCAGAAAAGGCCTTCGATAAAATTCAACACCCCTTCATGCTAAAAACACTCAGTAAACTAGGTAATGATGGAATGTATCTGAAAATAATAAGAGCTATTTATGACAAACCCACAGCCAATGTCATACTGAATGGGCAAAAGCTGGAAGCATTGCCTTTGAAAACTGGCACAAGACAACTCCTATTCAACACAGTACTGGAAGTTCTGGCCAGTGCAATGAGGCAAGAAAAAGAAATAAAGGTATTCAAATAGGAAAAGAGGAAGTCAATTTTTCTCTGTTTGCAGATGACCCGATTGTATATTTAGGAAACCCCACTGTCTCAGCCCAAAAGCTCCTTAAGCTGATAAGCAACTTCAGCAAGGTCTCAGGATACAAAATCAATGTGCAAAAATCACAAGCATTCCTATACACCAATAATAGACAAACAGCCAAATCATGAGTGAACTCCCATTCACAATTGCTTCAAAGAGAATAAAATACCTAGGAATCCAACTTACAAGGGATATGAAGGACCTCTTCAAGGAGAACTACAAACCACTGCTCAAGGAAATAAGAGAGGACACAAACAAATGGAAAAACATTCCATGCTCATGGATAGAAAGAATCAATATCGTGATAACGGCCATACTGACCAAAGTAATTTATAGATTCTATGCTGTTCCCATCGAGCTACCATTGAATTTCTTCACAGAATTAGAAAAAATACTTTAAATTTTATATGGAACCAAGAAAGAGCCCATATATCCAAGACAATCCTCAGCGAAAAGAACAAAGCTGGCGGCAGGCATCATGCTACCTGACTTCAAACTATACTACAAGACTACAGTAACCAAAACAGCACGGTACTGGTACCAAAACAGACATACAGACCAATGGAACAGAACAGAGGCCTCAGAAATAACACCACACATCTACAACCATCTGATCTTTGACAAACCTGACAAAAGCAATGGGGGAAGGATTCCCTATTTAATAAATGGTGTTGGGAAAACTGGCTAGCCATACACAGAAAACTAAAAATGGACCCCTTCCTAACCTTATACAAAAATTAACTCAAGATGGATTAAAGATTTAAACGTTAAGACCTAAAACCATAAAAACCCTAGAAGAAAACCTAGGCAATACCATTCAGGACATGGGCATGGGCAAAGACTTCATGTCTAAAACACAAAAAAACAATGGCAACAAAAGCCAAAATGGACAAATGAGATCTAATAAAACTAAAGACCTTATGCACAGCAAAGAAACTACCATCAGAATCAACAGGCCACCTACAGAATGGGGAAAATTTCTGGAATCTATCCATCTGACAAAGGGCTAATATCCAGAATCTACAAGGAACTTAAATTTACAAGAAAAATACAACCCTATCAAAAAGTGGGCTAAGGATATGAACAGTTTCATAAGAAGACATTTATGCAGCCAACCAACATGAAAAAAAGCTCATCATCACTGGTCACTAGAGACATGCAAATCAAAACCACAATGAGATACCATGTCACACCAGTTAGAATGGCAATTATTAAAAAGTTAGGAAACAACAGATGCTGGAGAGGATGTGGAGAAATAGGAACACCTTTACACTGTTGGTGGGAGTGTAAATTAGTTCAACCATTATGGAAGACCAGTGTGGTGATTCCTCAAGGATCTAGAACTAGAAATACCATTTGACCCAGATCCCACTACTGGGTATATACCCAAAGTATTATAAACCACTCTCCTATAAAGGCGCATGCACACGTATGTTTATTGCAGCACTATTCACAATAGCAAAGACTTGGAACCAACCCAAATGCTCATCAATGATAGAATGGATAAAGAAAATGTGGCACATATACACCATGGAATACTATGCAGCCATAAAAAAGAATGAGTTCATGTCCTTTGCAGGGACACAGACGAAGCTGGAAACCATCATTCTCAGGAAACTAACACGGGAACAGAAAACCAACTAATGCATGTTCTCACTCATAAGTGGGAATTGAACAATGAGAACATATGGGCACAAGGAGGGAACATCACACACTGGAGCCTGTTGGGGAGTTGGGGGCAAGGAGAGGAATAGCATTAGAAGAAACACCTAATGTCAATGACAGGTTGATGGGTGCAGCAAACCATCATGGCACATGTATACCTATGTAAAAAACCTGTACGTTCTGCACATGTATCCCAGAACTTAAAGCATAATAATAATAAAAAAGATTTTCCTATAAAATAACTTGACTATGAGGGAATAGAGGTAAGGAACGGATTTGAGTATGTTCATATAAATGAGCAACTACTCTGTGTCTACTTCTTCTTAAGCTGGCAGATATGCAAAGTTGGTATCAAAAATCAGCCCCTACCCTTAAGGAATTTATAGTATGATTTGGAAAGTAACACATAAAACAATTCATTGTGAGCACTAATGTTACAAGGAGCAGAAATAGTTTACTGGACATGAGAAACGCCTGTCATTTCTTTTCCTGTACCCTAGTCCCTGTTTTAGGGAACCTCTCATGCTCTCTTCTCATAATCCACTCCCTCAGCCCAGTCGACTGGGCAGAGGACCACAGGATACCAATTTCCAGGCCAAACTGACTACAGTAGGATGGATAGCTTGCCCATACTGGGTCAGTTACTCTTCCAGGGAATGTTCTAGAACTCCAGGGACTCTTGTTTATCTCCATCGGCTGTCTGAACTGTCAGATGATATAATCAGGAATACGTGAAGGGCTAGTAAGAAAAAAGAATTTTTTTTTTTTTGAGACAGAGTCTTGCTCTGTCACCCAGGTTGGAGTGCAGTGGCGTGATCTCGGCTCACTGCAAGGTCTGCCTCCCAGGTTCATGCCATTCTCCTGCCTCAGCCTCCCGAGTAGCTGAGACTACAGGTGCCTGCCACCATGCCCGGCTAATATTTTTTTTGTATTTTTAGTAGAGACGGGGTTTCACTGTGTTAGCCAGAATGGTCTCGATCTCTTGACCATGTGATCCACACGCCTCGGCCTCCCAAAGTGCTGGGATTACAGGCATGAGCCACTGCGCTCGGCCAGAAAAAATTTTAAAAAAGAATAGAGATGCAGAAATAAGAAACAACCAAACAAGCAGCCTCAAAAAAGGTGTGAGAAGAGCTGTTTTGGTCACTGAGTGGCTGTTTTCAGTCTCAGGTGACTGTACTTTCCTTCATTTTTACTCTATAATAAATCCCTGTCCTATCAAATAACATAAGCTTTTACTTAAGTTTGTTGGGGTGGGAACTATTCTTGCAAACAAATCATTCCTAAAACAAAACAGATGCAGAGGAAAAGGAAAGGCATCTTAACATCAGGTACAAGCACGGCCAAAGATACCGTGGTAGAAGAAAGAATGTGCCATGTAAGACAACGCAATGTAAGGGGAAAATGCAAAGTTAAAATGGATGATCTGAAATATATGCAAGATTATGGAAATCTTAAAAGCAGAGGAATTTGGCATGGATACTGTCATTACTAGCGATTAATTACAGGTTCTGGAGTAGAGCAAATTTTATCATAAAAGTGGTATTTTAGGAAGATCATTCTATCAGTGCTGCATAGGAAGAGAACCCTCAAGTCGTGGGGACAGGTGAATTATTAGAGTAATCGTGGTGTGGGATAGAGAAAGAGACTGGCTGGAAGTTCACTTTAAAGGAAGAAATGACAAAGGAGCCTTCTGAGAAATGTTAGCCACATGACAAGGTATACTCTACACACCAGGTGAGAGAAAGGAACTGACTATAACTTACAATTCTACATTAGCAGCTAATGTTAAAAAAATCTCATTCATGCCAAGATCACAGAAAATATCCAAAAGATTTCTACTAGTTATATGTTTATATTATGCTTATTATATAATACAAAGCATTCTATGTTACATAGCACAGTAACTATAATGACAGAATTATGCTTAAGGCTGATGAACAGGCACCGTTAACAACATGTCTATTTAAAGAACACTGATGCAATCACCTTGAGACTCAAACTTGAAATACAATTTACCTATAGTGGAGCATGAAATTGGCTGTGCATTGCTATCGCCTGCTGAAGTTTCTCTTCCTTGGCTCTTCTACAGTGGCAAATCTAGAAAATAAATTTTTGAAAATACCAGTCACTTTTACAAAGATATGCCTACTACTTTACTTCCAACAGTATGACAGGAAGCTTTTAACTTGTTGGCATTATTTTATGTTTTGAATGTTGAAGATAGCTAATAATCTAATAGCTAAAATTATCAAATTATGAGCAAATTCATTTCATTAGCACTAATGGTACAAGGAGCAGATAATACTTTGAATGGGACATGAGACATGCCTGTCATCTTCTTTCCTGCACCCCAGTCCCTGTTTTAGGGAACCTCTCATGCTCCCTTCTCATAATCCACTCCCTCAGCCCAGTCGACTGGGCAGAGGATCACATGACACCAATTCATTTTGAATTAGGTAGTAATCTAATAATTGAATGTTGAAGATAGCTAATGTTGACGACAGCTAAGAATTTAACAACCAAAAAAACAAAAAAACGCTCTTGCTTGGAAGACAGCCTTCGCCTACAAGCTTCTAGAATGTAAAAAACACTGATCCTTTATATCAATTATCTAACTTTAAATATCTATGTTTAAAAAAATGGACGTAAATTCTGCTACTGTTAAGCAGGAAGATTAACAGATACAAGCTTCAAGGCACAGTTACACAGCATTGAAGAATAATGGAGCAGAAATCAATGCCTTACTAACACTATAACCATAAGTAAGTCACTAACATCTCTGAACTTCAATTTCCTCTCATGAAAAATGGGAATGATAAAATCCACCTCATCTGCCTTAACAGGAGTGTGTGTATGTGTGTGTGTATGTCTCACAGATGTTTCATAAAGTTTACTAACAAAATACTATTTTTAAAATGTGATTATTTCAGACAAATTAGGTAAATATTTTGGACTGTATTAAAAGGCAAGAAACTATTAAGCAGACTTTTTTGGATTTTTCTTTAAATACAACAGAAATATCAGAACAGAACAGAAACTGTTTCTCAATTTTTAAAAATGTATTCTATAATCCCTGTACGTTATTCTTTCTTTCAACAAGTGGTAAAACAAGTCATTGAGGAGTCTATTTCAACTATTAGGACTAGATTTATCAGCTGTATTACAGAATGATACAGATACTACCATTTCTGAAACAACTATTTGATTTACCTGCTTGTATACTCAGAAAAAGCAAGTCTAAAGTGATAGGAAGATGCTGCTATTATTCTCAAGAGGCTTTTCAGGTTCCTCTCACAGCACTCAAAACTCCAGTTCAGTAATGTGCTAATGTTTTTCACTCATGAGTATGCTAAAGTAATTTGATACTATGCTGTCAAAAAAAAAATTTTTTTTTTTCCAGATCAGCACAAAGTTTATTAGCAATTTCTGCTCAGAAGAGCCCCCTTCTGACCAGGACTGTTCCTCTGACATACCAGACAGGAAATAGCCACACGTACAGGCCCTCACTCTCATTTATATCTCAAGTCACATCAAAAGGACATCTTAGAGCAATGGCAGTTGCCCCCCTGGGGTCCCCTGGGAATAGCTAAGGTGTGTGGCTGTCCAGAGTCCTATGACAGACCTTCAAAGTTTTAAGTTCCAGGAACCTGGTTTTTGCCCAAGTCCACACCCAAGGAATAGAAACCTTCCTTTCAGGTAAATATATTGTACAAAAAAAGGGGGATGATATCATAATAGAGAAATAGCTAACACCCAGTGCTTCTCCTCCTCTATAAAAATACCAAACTTTATCCAATACTTGTCCTCAACTGACGAGTATTACATACTGTTCTCTTTTCCATGAAGCTACTGAGAAAATCATCTATTTCCATCTTTCCCTCCAAGAAGTCTTCTGCAATATTATCAGATTCTTCCTCAGCTTCATGTGCAGCTACTTTCAATCTTGCCTGAAGGGCACTTGCACTACAGCTCTGAAAAAGAAAATCAGGCACTACTTTAATTTATGATACTCACAAGAACTCCTCACAGGGAAAGGAAGTAAGGTAGTGGTATGGAGAGGCAATTTATTATATGCCCTATATAGCCTCTTTTTGAGAAAATCTGCTGTCTTATAATGCCCCACCCAGGTCCTTAGCTTTTGGATAGGGGTAGACACCTAACTCAAGAGAAACTAATCTATTGGCTGCAAACTATTAAATGAGAGAAACTGGGAAAATCATTGTTCTCTCCTAAGGATTTACGAATTAAATCACTGTGGTAGATATATGCTAAGGAGACGCTCCACTAATGACCTCACCTCCTGGTATTCCTGCCCTTGCATAATCCCACCATTGAGTGTGGGCTGAACCTGACGACTCATTTCAATAGAATAAGGCAAAAATGATGGGATTAAATTTCACTAAAGCAGTGAAAGACTGATAAACAGAAAACTGTAGACACTGCTATAAGAAATTGAAGACATAAATTACTGGAAGACATCCCATGTTTATGGGTTGAAAGATTTAATATTCTTAAGAAGACATTACTAATCAAAGCAACCTATAGACTCAATGCAATCCCTATCAAAATCTCAAGGGCATTTTTTGCAAAAATAGAAAAACCTATCCTAAAATTCATACGGAATCTCAAGAGACCCCAAATAGCCAAAACAATCTTAAAGATGATTAATATTTCCTCATGTCAAGTTACTAACAAAGTTACAGTAATCAAAACTGTGGTACTGGCATAAAAACATAAAGAACAATGGAACAGAATAGACAGCCCAGAAATAAACCCTCACACATATGGCCAAATGATTTTCAACCAGGGAGCCCAGTCCAGTTAATGGGGAAAGGAATCTTTTCAACAAATGGTGCTGGAAAAAACTGGATTATCGACAGGCAAAGGAAAAAAGTTGGACCCTTACCTTACTTAAATACAAAATTGATTCCAAATGGATCAAAGACCTAAATCTAGGCACTAAAATGATTTTTTAATAATAGCTATCCTGCTTGACGTGGTGGCTCATGCCTGTAATCCCAGCACTGTGGGAGCCTGAGGCAAGCAGATGGCTTGAGCCTGGGAGTTCATGACCAGGCTGGGCAACATAGCGAGACCCCGTCTCTACAAAAAATACAAAAATTAGCCAGGTGTGGTGGCATGCACCTGTAGCCTTGGCTACTTGGGAGGATGAATTGGGAGGATCGCTTGAGCCTGGGAGGTCAAGGCTGCAGTGAGCTGTAACTGCAGCACTGCACTCCAGCCTGGGTGACAGAGTAAGAAAAAAAAAATAATGGCCATGCTAATGCATGTGGGGTAGTATCTCTTTGTGACTCATAAATAAAAATGAACTGTAATGCACCATTTTCTCATTGCCCTTGCCAAAACTGGTTATCTATCTTCACAAATATGGCTCACATGGATGTTTTATTTGGCTTTTTAAAAAATTACAGTAAAGTTGAACATATTTTCCAAAGTTTCCAGTTATTTATTCATTAAATATTTATTGAGTACCTATTATGTGCCAACCACTGAACCAGATATTAGGTGTACAGTAGAAATGAAACAGAACAGATTCCTCCATCACGGAACCAATGGTCTAATGAAGTGGTTTCCATATGTAAGAGCGCAGAAGATTCATCATCCCCAGAAAATTTTGACTGAGAACATCTAGAAAGAAGCCTAGGAATCATTGTTTTGTGTGTGTGTGTGTGTGTGTCTTTTTTTTAAGTGTTTGAAGAGTCACTTCCAGCAATTCTTATATGAATGTTTAAGGATCAGAATAACTGTTAAAGCAGAATCTTTATTGGACATTTATATTTCTCCTTTTGTCAGTTTCCTGTTGTTTCCTTTTCCAATAGACCACTGGCATTAGTATTTGTTGTATAGGCTAAAAATATCTGTACCCTTTTTTTAACTTCAATTTTGATTTCATGATTTTTTAATATATCTGAGTTTTCAATCTGTAGAGGTAAATATGTCGAGTTTTTCCTTTATGCTCATATCTGTTTTATTATGCTAAGAAAGGCTTTTCCCACCATAATCTTAAAGAAAAAATCCTAGAAGCTAGTTGACGTTTTATGGTTTCCGCTGAAGCAGTTTATCTGTAATAAACTTTCTGTGTATTGTATGATACAATGATCTAACCTTTTTCTAAATGGATACTAAATAACCAATTTTATAATTTATTGAATCCTCAATTTTTTCCAACTGATTATTCACATACACAAGTCTATTTTTGAACTACATAGTCTGTTCCATAGAAATAATTTTCTCTTCCTATAAAACTACTATACTGTTTTAAATAATGAGGATTTACAGTGTATTCTGATACTGGGAAAGGGAGTTTTTTTCATTTTTTCTTTTTGTTCAAGCTCTTCCTGACTACCCATCTGAAAAATAAAGTTTCAGATGAACTTTAGAATAAACTGTTAAGATAAAAAAAATATTCTTGGCATTTTGATAAGAACTGTATTCAATTTCTAAGTTATTTTGGGGAGAATGAAATCTTTTTAATAATGGATCTTTCATTCAATGAATATTCTATGCTGCTCTAAATAGTCTTAGAAAATACAAAACTCAGCTCTTCTTTTATGGCATTCAATAAAGTTTCCTAACTTACTTCATTGGGTTTACTTCTAAGTACTTTACAATTTTGTTCCTATGGTAAATGAGTTGTTTTCTGTACTTCATTTTGCAGTAGTAATTGCTGGAGCAAACAGGAAAAAATTTCTCAGTTCTCTAGAATTTTTGATTGTTTATTTTTGGTAAACAACTGTTTCATTTCTTCTTTTTATGTTATACCACTTTTTTTTGGTCTTGCAGTACTCAAAACCTCCCAAACAACGTTAAACAGCAGTGATCATGAGGCATTACTCTCTTATTCCTAACATTAATGGGATCCTAGAAATGTGTAGTAATTGTGAGGTTTACTGCTGGTTTCTAGTATTCTTTTTCAAATAAGAAATTTCTATTTTTAGTTTACTAAGAGTTTGTATAAAGAATGATGTTGAGTACTATGAAAGCTTCTTCAACATTTACTAAGGTCCAGTATATATCTAACAGTACTTCAGTTGAGTCTCACAGATTTTCTGTGAAGGAGGACTGCTTAGGTTACACTCCTAACTAATGTTTCTACTTGTATGACCTCAAGAAATTTATTTAATCTCCCTGTGCCTCAGTTTCCCTATCTGTAAAATGTAAAATGGGAAAAAGTAACAATACCTATTTCATAGGATTTGGTGTAATAATGGCCCAATATACGTAAATAGCTTCATGCGGTGCAAGACATATTAATTGCTCAATGTTAGCTATTATTTCTTTATTCTGACAAATGACCGTATTATCTGAAATTCATTATAAATTTATATTCTCCTTTACCATCTTTTTTGCTGTTGTTGGTTTATGTCTATTTTATGTTTTATTTCATTGACTTTACCCAAAGTTCCTAATTTTACAGGAAACAGAATATTAACTATGAGGTTGTTATTGGTATGATACAAAGATTATGTCCTCTGGTTCCTTTTCAAAGATTCCTTTTTTTTCAGAAATATAGGTTGAATTTTATAAAATTCTTTTGATTTTCACATAACTGGATTTCTAGCATAAAACTTATTTGTAGCAGATAATACTATATATTTTTCATATATTATTCTTTTTAATTTGCGAACTTTTCATTTAAGGTATTTGTAGATAAGCTTACAAGTGAGTCGAAAGTTTTTGTTGTTATTGCTAGGTTTCACTACAAGTGTTACAATGGTTTCATAACTTACCCAGAAAAGTTATGTGTCAGGGCCTGTCATAATTTTCTGTTTTAGAAACAAATACGCTCTTATATGAGCACAAATAATGTATGATGCCTCATCACTGAGAGCTGTTCATCCACGTTTAAAGGTATCATGTCTTATAAGGTCAGATACCTCATAAATGGTTTCTGATGATAATGAAAGTGAGATCAGGACTCATGCACATAAGATTAAAAAAAAAATCTATGGCAAAGGGAAAAAAATAAACAGTCTTACCTCACTAAGTTCATGCTGCCTTTGCATCTTCTTTTCGAAAGTGGACTTCATCTGTGTAAGTAATTCATACTAAAAGAGAAAATGAAAAGGTTGTTTTATTCTATTTTTAAATTATGTAAATTTCTTCAAAATTATCACTAACTCACCTTATCTAAAACAGTTTGTCTTTTGGCTTCCAAGCTGGGCTCCAAAAGGAGATTTTTTCCTGTAAGATAAATCTCTAGTTTACTTCTAGGTAAAGATGAGATTTTTTTCAGGAAATGTGCGCTCAGGAGAGGGAAAACATACTTGCTAGTTCCTCAATACTTTTTACTAAGTCATCTTTGTCGGTAATAATTTGTTTTAGTTGAGGCAAAGTCAGAAACTGTTCTAGTAATACCTCCTCTTGTTCATTCATATCTGTGAGTTGTGACACACTAGAAACACAAAAGAAAAAATGTCAATAAATATCAGACATCGAGTTTTTCTCCATGACAACTATTTACAATTTTTCAGCTTTAGTTAACTGATAGGGTTCTAAATAATTTTTACATATACACCTAAGGCTGCCAGTTTTAACCTTAAAATCAAATAAAACATCAACCACAATGGAACATAGAGCAGTCTGTAATATATTCTTGACAGAATCTGTAAAAGTAAATTTTGGTCCAATGGATATATCGATATATCTACTTTCTTTAAAAATCACAACCGTGGGGAAGTGTTCACAGTTATACAGTGACCTGAAATTAAAAATAAAGTCAACTTAACTCAGGTAAAGAACAATGTATGAAACTAAGGAGCTTATTCAGCTTAGGTTTCTTAAAATAGGACAGCAGTAATATAGTTAAGTATTTTTTTCTTGTTCTTAATTCTGTTTAACTTAATTGCTTGAGAATATCACTTATTTCTTAAATTTCCCTGATAGGAACCAGACTTACTGATATGTAAAATTTAAGCTATTTATTTCTTCCAAGCATAATGTTGAACACACTAGTACTATAGTAAATTCAGACAAGTACAAGTTCACAGACAAGGTAGCATGAGAAGAATTTCTTCCTAGTCATTTCATTGTATGTATTGATAAGAGGGAAACAGAGCTGAAAAGAGGCCAGAGTAGTTACTGTAACATTTTGGCTTTTTCCTCTAGTCAGCTTTAGACCAGGTCAGTGCATGATTCCAAGGATGTGTTGGCCAAAATGTAGCCAGTAAAATCTCCCAAGACTCTACAAGATAAACAGTCTCTGCTAGTGTATAATGTCAGTTACTGTAGGACCAGTAAGACACGGCACATAAGCAGTCACAACAACTCCGTTTTAACCTCTGTGACTATTTAGCTTACAGATGTGTGGCTGTCACAGTAAGAGTTATAGATATGTTTATGTGTGTTTATGTATATGTGTGTACAGATATTCATAAAATATTTAAAGAAAAGAAATAATGGAGGGCTAAACCAAAAACAAAAATGGGTATCTGTAGGGTGAAAGAACTAGGTGGAGCAGATATGGATGGAAGCAAAACTTTTCTGAACGTATCTTAGTTTTGACTATGGAGCCATATAAAAACGTTGGATAATTTAAAAATAAAGAAGAAAAGAAAAAGCAGTCTTTAAAATTCAGGGAAAATGGACTGCTTTGAAAATAAATAAACCTGTATATTCTAAGTTATATCAACACCCAGAGAAAAATTATTTGGAGAGATTAAAAAAACAACAGTATATTCTGGCATGTCATATCCTAAAGACAACAGAACTGTAAAAAACAAAAACAAAAATTTAACCTGCATTCAATAATCTTAGTAACAGTACTGGTATTGTTATTTTGGAAAAGAACAAGCACCCTTCAGAGAAATGGCTGACTCTAGGTCTGGGAGAAGAAATGTTCATGATGAGCCCACAGCATCTTCACTTTGCCAAAAACGATACAGAAGGCAACTTGAGTTTCTCACCCATCAGAGCAACTTTTGGAGACAGATAGTGCAGCAACTCATTATTGTGACAGGTGATAATATAAGGGGAAAAATTTAAGCATTTTTCTTGGTCCTGTATGAAGTATACTTCAGTATAACTAAATATGTAGTTGATTAAGTCAAGTTCTTCATAGAGTAATTCTGGTTAATAAATTCTGGTGGTAATGATAAAATCATTAAATCATATTTATGACCCTTGCTATATTAATGATGGTCAATGATTTCAGGTGCTTTAACCTGATATAATCTTAATGTCACTAAAAAAAGGGCAACCAGACCTCACTGCTGCCTCATAGGATGTAAAAAGAAGCATGCAGTAATTATGACATAAGTATTGGCAAAAGAATTGAACCTTGTCTACTTCTAGCCACCAGCAGCATAAACTATGGGAAACAGAGAAACATCTTCAATGGTACCACAAGGAGGCACTAAGGAAAAAACAGGATATGGAAAATTTTATAGGACAAATAACCAATTTAATAAACACACACTATGTCTAATATACACGCATGGATGTATGTACATGGACATGTATTTATTCCCATATTTGTGTACATGTATACGAACATATGTAAATACACATATGTATATGTCTGTGTGTGTGTGTGTGTGTGTGTGTGTGTGTGTGTGTGTGTATAAAAGAGAAAAGTTGGGGAGAAATGGTTCATTATTAAAAGGAACTTAAGAGATCCACTATCCAAATGCAATAGGTGGAACTCGTTTTGAATCCTGATTCAAACAAACTGCCCACAAAAATATTAATTATTAAGACACTGGAGAAATAAGGTAATATTAAAGAATTACCATTAATTGTGTTAGGTATGATGATGATGGTGACTGGGGTTATGGTTAAAAGGAAAGAAAATCCTTACCTGGTAGAAAAATTTACTGAAGAATTGATGGGTTAAAAAGGATGTATTATCTGGGATTTGCTTTAGAATAATGGTGACTCATACCTACAGCCCTCCAAGAAAGCTGGATAGAAGAGGCATGAAGCATGGTGAGCAAAAGGGTTTATAGCTGTTGTTGCCACATGATGGATACGTGGTGGCTCATTATACTAGTTTCTTCACCTTTTTTGCATTTTTGATGTTTTCATAACAATTATTTAAAAAAAATTTAAAGCAAAAAAGATAATCTTATTAAATGAGAACTCCTACCTTATGGGGTTATTGTGAGCATTACAATGCATATTAACCTTTAATGTATGCAGTATATTGTAAATATTCATTTTATTACAGAAGACAATAAATCACTATTTCCTTAAAATGACTATAAAACACTGGTGCAAATAAATTTAAACTCTTTTTAAACTACAGAATTTCTCATGGGTACTTGGCTGTACATCTTTGATGAGATATATCCTAAAGACAAAAAGGACTGCAAAAAAATAAAGAAAAAGTCTAACTGCATTCAGTAGTCTTATTAGTAATAAGAGCCTTATGAGTATCATGAACTCTCAATGGGGGTATAAAGGGTGCAGTGCTTCCCAAAACTGAATGGCAAAAAACCATTTTCTTCATGAAACATTTTAGAGAAGCAAAGTTCCATGAAAAATGGCACCTTAAATTTGATTATAAACTTTTCTGCTATAAATTTGAAAAAAAGTTTGGATCTGTAAAAACACCTAATACTTTATAACTTTATTTCTCTATATGTAAAGTTTATCTACTAAGGGAACAATGGAAGATCTAAAATAGGCCAAGATATATTTTGAAATTGTCAGGAATAATGTATTCAAAAATATTTTTCAAAGAATGCAGGCCACATGACAGAAAGGATTTTGTTATCTTGGTAACTATTATATCATTATAAAAATCCTATAAAAATCCCTGAGTATGTACCAGTCACTCAATAAATGTAACCTATAGGACCTAAAACTGATTTTTAAATCCCACTAAGGCAACAACAATATTGTTTAGGATTAGTGAAAATTTTAAACTTTAATTTATATGGATATGAAATAATAATCTGGTTTATGCTTACAAATAAAATAGACAATGTGACCAACTTTACTTTCCAGGTTTACCTTAGTTCTGAGAGTTCTGGAAATGCATCAGGGACATCTGGCATCTTGTACCCAAAACCATTTTGGCTTGTCTAAAGAAAAGTTTTAAATGATATTAAATTTCAGCCATTATTTTTGACTGCTCTCAATTACTAATAAACGTAATCTTTAATGTACTATATCCCATAACTGTTTGCATTATCATATTTTCATCTTCACATCTCACACTGCCTTAGTCTCCCCTTCTTCCTTCAGTCTGTCTTCTTTTCAGCGTCGTATACATAGGATTACTTTTTTTTTTGGTGATGGCCATGTGAGGACCTGTGTTAGGTAGAGAACTGGTAGTTCTCTTTCTTGTCTAAGTACATGGCTGTAGATTTCATTGGTATATATGAATATGTTTCTCTCAAGTGAAAGGCATTAAATATACAAAAGCAATAATTTATCAACAGTCTGAATAGTTACATGCCTCAGTCACATGAGACGGTAGGGTAGATGAGCAACCGAGTAGCCACTGTTTGAATATATATGACTTTTTATCCTTGAGGACCCTTGAAAAGTCCTCTTGTAATTTTGTTCACACTACTAACTGTAATTTGTTCACAACACTCATTAACACAATAAATGAAAGGTTTTGGAAAAACCAAGTCCACTTAGGTCTGTATCTTCTAAATGATTATAAACTCTGAAATTAGTAATGTTGGATATACTATGGTTTCATACTTGAGTAATGCTATGGGTGATATTCACTGAGGGTTTTAATTGAAAGGTTTTATACCCCTTTAAATGTTTCATGCCCTAAGTATTAGTCTCTCCTTCAGGAACATTCCACATAGCAACAGTTACCAGCTTAAGAATATACAAGCTTTTAAACCAACGGAACACTTGAAGCCCTCAGCGTATGTTAGCAGACCCATCATAATGTGACACCTGCTGCTCCCACATGATCATTCTTCTGCCTTTGCCCACACCCTATATGGCAGCCAGAGAGATCTACTATAGGCAGCTTCACAAAAATGCCATCCAGTTTCTACCTCAATGTCTTTGACAATGTTACTGCCTCTCAAAGAATGCCTTATGTATCCCCTTGTTATTCTGGCAAATTAATAATGATCTTTCAAAATCTGGCCTCAAGCATAAATGCATGCATTTGTTTAGCTGCCTCATTTTTAAAGAGTACCCACTATATTCATCAGTATATTTGAGGCACTAAGAAAGTGGTGAAAAAAACCAGAATCACATTTTTTGTAAAGGCGATCTACTAGTTCTACCTTGGTCCCTAGGAGCACTGACCATTCCCCTAACTGTGTCTCTACCAAAACTCTGTCCCTTCTACTACACTAGAATTAGAAGCTCCATATTTAAAATTATTATTTGTTGGTTACCTGTTACTTGAATTGAAAAATGTGAGTTCATCTTTTCATATTTTGTGTCTAACTTATTATCTGGCACACAGAGGCATGTAATAAAGGTGTGTGGATTGAATGAATGTTTCAGTGGCACAAAATATAGATAACTGACGATACCAACCGGTATTGAAGCATCCACTGTGGGAATGGGTAATGGCAGATTTGAAAGGACACCAAATGAAGGAGCGGCAGGCTTGGCTGTGGTATGACTTGTTGTTGAAGAAGAAACAGTGTCAGCAACAGATAAAGAAGTGATACTCCTGTTTGCTTCTTGTGGAGGATATGGAGGAAGAAATGGAAAACCCTGAGAAGCATAAGGAGACATCCCACTTGGGTTACTGTATAGACTGAAAAGAAAAAGAGAAGATCATTACATTAGATTTTATGGATAAAACATGTCAAATTGTTTCTAAATTGTTCTAAATAACAAAGGTCAAGTACTATATAGATGAAATGTTATAATGGCAGGTGATATTTATTAAATTATATAATGGAATTAAATATTATATAAAGTGGTAAAATATGACCCCACCCCCCCGAAAAAAAAGAATTGTAGAATTGTGGTTTCTACAAAGAAGATGATGGGTGCTTTAGAAAGCATGCAATTCAACTGGACGGAGTAGAAGTGGATAGACAGGCCATTTTTGAGTTTTCAGCACTCCACTGCTATCAATCAGTATCTCCATAGAGGGAATGCAGAGCAATATTTAATCCAGGACATTTATTCAAGTAGAGGCTAACAGCTTTCTCTGTATTTGTCAAAATCTGACTGAAAGTCAAGACTGCTTTTCTAGAAAATTTCGAAGTAAAATTAAGTATGCAGATGAGCTTCTAAAATGTTGAAATATTAAAAACAGATGCATATATAAACACGCATGTATATTAGAGTCACACAGCATTATGTACTTTGGATTCAATCACAGAACAATATAGTCAGTATTTATTTTTGCAAGATAACAAATATTTTACATTTAACATTTTTTCCCCTTAGCAAATTTTAGAGAGAACCAGATCATTATATTACTCTAAAAAGCATTAGAGTAATTCAGACCTAGATGCAGACTGAGAATCATCTAAATACAATATATGAATAATACAGTGAGTTTATATGGATCAGGCACTCTAGTGTAAAGGATAAGGGACTTACAGTTATGTTTTAAATATTAATGTAATGCTACTAAAATGCTTCCCTTTACATTGAAAAATGTTTCAAAATGTATTAATTTTTTATGAGAGTACTATTATTTCATTTAATGACATAACCTGAGTTGGAAATTTTGTGGGAAGAAAACATTTTTTTTAAATGTATACGAATGACACTAAAATGTATATGGAAAAATAAGCCACAGTAGAAAGAAAAAAAGCCTGAAAAAGGAAGGTACAGAAATATTAGTCCTTTGATAAAGCAAAACAAATTATAAAACCCTAATACACGCCTGTAATCCTAGCACTTTGGGAGGCTGAGGCAGGTGGATCATGAGGTCAGGGGATCGAGACCATCCTGGCTAACACGGTGAAACCCCGTCTCTACTAAAAATACAAAAAATTAGCTGGGCGTAGTGGTGGGCGCCTGTAGTCCCAGCTACTCGGGAGGCTGAGGCAGGAGGATGGCATGAACCCGGGAGGCCGAGCTTGCAGTGAGCCGAGATTGCGCCACTGCACTCCAGCCTGGGGAAAATAGGGATTGTATAGGAACAGAAACTGGTACAACTACTCTGGAGGGCAATTTTGCAGCATTTGTCAAAACTACAAATGTGCATTACACTTCTAGAATTTATCCAACAAATAAGCTCACATTTGGGTAAAATATTATTTTAAAGATTATTTACTGGAGCAGCACTGACGGCAATGAAGTAGGATGGGCTTTTGAGGGAGGGTTAGAAAACATGAAAATATCTGTCAGGCTTGCTAAAGACATTATAATACACCCATAAAACAAATACTTTGTGGCTATAAGGAATAATGAGGAAGTGCCTTAGTACTAACATGAAAAACTTTCCAAAACCATATCATTTAGTGACCCCCTCCACCAAAAAAAAAAAAAAAAAAAAAAAAAGGAAGGGCAAAATATGCTACCATTCATATAAAAAAGGGGGAAAATACAATACTATATATATTTTCTTGTAGATGAATAAAACAGCTCAGGAATTATATATACACAAACCCAAACAAATAACTTTAGATGCTAATGAGGAAAAAAAATTAAGCTGCAAGGGAAAAAAGTGACACGGAGATTTTCACTCTATACTCCTTTATACTTTTTGAATTTTGAGCCAGGTGAATATATGACCCCTAGAAAAAATTAAGTTTTCTAATCAGCTTGTTCATTTCAAACGATGGCTCATCTTTATCTTAAAATTTATCTGAAGGAATTAGTGATATGTATGTGAATATAACAAGCTATTTAGAAACAATAAAACCAACATGAGAGAGTATTTGTAATATCTTTGAATTTAAATCAATAATTCTGACCCAATCTGCTTTATTTTGAACTCAGTAGCAGGTACAACCCACAAAATAATCTAAGAAATGCATCAAACTTGATTTTTAATAATGGTACTATATCCCCGAACTTATCTGAAATGAAAACAAGTAAACTTGTCGGTTTGTATTTTCAAATAAGGTAAATGAGTTTATATCCAGCCCTATTACTACAGAAGATAGAGGTATGGGTTTTGAATACATTTTTTATCTGAAAATAAGGACTCAGGACTCTAGAACATAGAAAACAGGAAGAAAAAGATGAGGGGGAGAGGGCTGAAGTACCTGGAAGTGGAATGCTGCTATGACAACAACAACAACAAAAATCTAAAGTGTGGGAGTAGCTTTGGGACCAAGCAGAGCTATAGGCTGGAAGTCCCCTCAGAAGATTATGAAGGTCTAATGGGCCTCAAAGAGGCTGTTAGGAGGAGCCTGGTGGGCCTTTGAGCAGATGGTCACCGGAAGGAGAACTTTTTATTAGTGGAAAGTTTACCAATACTGCTGCATGCAATAATATGGAAAACAGAAAATGTACCTAGTGAATTGGATGATCTAGCTAAGGAGATTTCCAGGCAGTGCGGATGGTGCCACCTGATTTCTAGCTGGCTGTAGTAAAATGTGAGAAGAGAGAGAAATTAAAGAACTGCTAAATATGAAAGATGAGATTTCCTGGATTTGAAAATAAATTTATCTCTCATTCCTAGCTTCCCTAAGATTCTCAAATTAAGAAACACCTCTAAAAGCAAAGTTCAAACCCAGCATGGGCTAGAAGATCCTTTGTTAACACCTCTGGAAGAGCCAAGGCAGAGCCTCAGAGTGCTGTCGAGTAAGAAAAACAGCCACTTAGGGCTTCAAAGAATCTTAAAGACATTGTCTCTCAGCAGCCTCACTGGAAGCCCAACAGCTTATTTGGAGGAGCTTAGTGGGTGTTGCTTTTGTTTAATGAAATGAATGAAAAAGGATTCATAAGAAATCATAAGCATTTTTTTTTTTGAGACGGAGTCTTGCTCTGTCACCCAGGCTGGAATGCAGTGGCGTGATCTCGGCTCACTGCAAGCTCTTCCTCCCGGGTTCACGCCATTCTCCTGCCTCAGCCTTCCGAGTAGCTGGGACTACAGGTGCCCACCACCATGCCCAGCTAACTTTTTTGTATTTTTAGTAGAGACGAGGTTTCACCGTGTTAGCCAGGATGGTCTCGATCTCCTGACCTCGTGATCCGCCTGCCTCGGCCTCCCAAAGTGCTGGGATTACAGGCGTGAGCCACCGCGCCCAGCCAATCATAAGCATGTTAAAGGAATTGTGTCATCTTGGGTCTACAAGGGACAGAGAAAGTACCAAATGAAAAAGAGGCTAACAGACCCTTAATTTCTACAGGCAGGAAGCAGGCTGAAAAAACTATGCACTTGGAAACAAGGGCTACATTTTACAGAAAGGAATTATGACACAGAAGGCAGAACCAAGAAACGAAAATTACTCTATGAAGAATCATTTCCATTAACTAAGTCTTAATAAAAAAAACAATGTGCCCAGTTGGATTTCAGTACTGTTATGAACCAGTGGCTCCTGTGTGCTTCCTACTTCCTCTCTTTTGGAATCTATAGTGGTTACCCGAGGCTTGTTCTACCATTGTACAGTGGGTGTGTGAGGGGCAGCTACCTTGTCTCTTTAATTCCGTTGTCTTCAGATCAAGAGGAATTGTTCTTCAGGAACACAAGTGAGAAACCTCATCTGTACTTGAATCTGATTTAGATGAAAGAACACAAGCCTGATTCTACAATATGATGAACTCTGCAAGTTCTTGGGGAAAGGGGAGTGTGCCTATTCACCTATAGGAAAGAGGTGAATTCTTACGGCTAGGAGGAAGAATGTGACCGACTTTATATTCCAAAATGGCCACAACCAGATTTCCAGTCCCATATGAACTTCTTGAACTTTGCTACCCCATCGAGAAATGAAGTCTACTTTCCCTCCCCTTTCAATCTGGGTGGATCTAGGTGACTAACTTTAGAAAATGCAGCAGAAATGATGCTGAATAACATTCAGGACTAAACCAAAAAAGATAATACAGCTTCCACTTGGTTGGAATGCTCTCTCTCTTGGGATCCTGACCCTCAGATCTCACCCCTGCCACGCAGTGAGGAAGCGCAGGTCACATGGAGATGCCACATATAGATGTATCAGCACTGAAGTCTAACCATTAAGCCAACATTAACTGCCAGACGACACCAGGTAATGCAAAAAGTGGAGCAAAAATGAGTTATCGCCACTGGTCCCTAACCAAATGGTAGATTCTTATAAAAACATAAATGTCATTATTTCAACCAAAAGTTTTTAGGGTAATCTGTTATTCATCTGATATAGTTTGGATGTTTTCCCCTTTAAATCTCATACTGAATTGCAATCCCCAATGTTGGAGGTGGGGCCTGCTGGGAGGTGACTGGATCATGGGGGTGTATTTCTCATGAATACTTTAATGCCATCCTCTTGGTGCTGTCCTTGCCATAGTGAGTTCTCATGAGATCTGACTGTTTAAAAGGGTGTGGTACCTCCCCCACTCCTCACTCTTGCTCTCATCATGTAATGTGCCTGCACCCGCTTTACCTTCTACCGGGAGTAAAAGCTCCTCAGATGCCAAGCAGATGACAATGTCATGCTTCTTGTATAGCCAGCAGAACCCTGAGCCAATTAAACCTCTTTTCTTTATATATTACCCAGTCTCAGGTATTCCTTTATAGCAATGCAAGAACAAGACTAAAACAGTATCTTTAGTACGAGAACATGACTTTATTCAGGAAGCTACTGGAAGGCAGTAAACCAAGAAACTAGGAAATGGCCTGAGAAAGGGAAAAATGAAATCTAAGAAATGGAGAATCCAATACAAGAAAGTGGCAAAGGGAAAATCCCAGGATGACAACAAAGGAAATTCCTGGTGAGAGTTACTCAAATGTTATAGAGAGTAACTCAGAATGGAGGGAAGAAGTGGAGCACTGAATGTGAAGGAAACAATGAAACCCAGGTATTATCTTACTGGTTTGATATGAAAAAAATGGTTTAAAGGATATTTTTCATAGTTGCTAAAAGCTCTGTGGAAATTTAGTAAGATCTTAAAATTTAAGATGATGTGGAAAATGAAGATGATCTAAAACAAAACCAAACCAAATACAAAATGTAGGTAATTATTAATTCCAGAAAAAAGGCAAAAAATTGCACCATAAGGGAAATGTAAACATGGTAACATACTTGGCTCAGCAATGGACAATATTGAGAGTCACAGTAATAAATACACCAAATATGGAATAATATTAAAAATCATGATATAATTTCACTGAGACAGTGAGGAGAAAGGAAGTTTAGTGAAAAACAGCTGAAATCTTCATCTATTACAATAGGAGGCCAACAGATAATATCTAAAATGAAAGAATCGAGTGATAGAAGTACGCATACATTATTCAGAAAGATGTAGGTAAACATTAGAAGAAACAGGTAAAAGAGTAAAACAGTTGCCTCTGAAAGTATGGATGTATTTGTGGGGATGTAGAAATCAGAGGACTGATTTTTAACATCATTTGAATTTTTAAACTATATTTTGATTAATACATTAAAATACAGGCAGACTTTTTTATTTACTAGAAATATACTTACTAAGGAAATGCTGTTGAAGTAGGAGCTAAAACTGGAGGATTCTTCCAAAACTCATCCAACAGACTCTGAATAATTTTTCCAAGATCTGAGTGCATTGTAAACTGAAAGTAACAATACATGACGCTTAAAATCACTTCCAGAAAAAGATTATAAAGTCTCATTAGGATAATGTCACTCTAAATATTAACTTACTTTTGCAGGTCAAGAATTAAATGAAAAAGGATATTAGCAATTAACAAGTTATAGCATTTTCTTATAGAATCGATACCATAAATATCTGGTGATTAGTAAACAGGTTAAAAGTCCATTGAATAAAAAATGGAGCCAAAATATTTCCTTACTTGACTATTTACAATAATTTGAGGGTTCAAAGGTAAATACTAGAGTATATGGAAGTTATAATCTTTCACAATCAACCATATCATATTGTAAGAACTTTAAGGCGTAGTCTTAAATATTCAATTTTTAAAAAAAGTACTCATGACAAAATGAAACTTTAAATGCATTTCAGATTTCTAAAATATTTAGTAGAAAAGTAATACACCTATTATATTACCCTGAAATAAATTATCCCATATACATACATTGTTTACTAATGGAGAGGTAACATACACTCCTTGTTTATCCATTAAGTGATGTCGTATTGGTGGATAAACACTGATCACTGGTTTTTCCTGAGGAAACTGTGGAGGAAGCAATCTGGTAGAGGTAGAACAGATGAAAAACAAAAACAAAGATAACAAAGGTACATTATATGGTCAAAATCTTAAAACAAAGCTATTTAAAAGTAAATTAAATTTTCACACTTTGATATGGGTCATTTAGTAATAAGTGCTCTATTATGGTGTTGTCTGAAAATATGTTTAAGACTAAAATTTGGTAACAAGACTAGTCATTCAACGCAGTAAAATCTTAATGTGAAATATGGACATGAATTATAGAATATTCTTCACATCATGCCAATTAGTTGCTTTCAAACACAATATACCAAGCTATACAAAATCTTAGGTAGAAATTAGATCAGGCATTTTTATCAGGTGAACCATACTAGTCCAGTCTGGCTATTTATTGGACCACAGGTTCTAGCCATATAATTTTCTGTGGTTTTTCTACTTTGAGAATGCTGTCACGGCTGGGCATGGTGGTGCATGCCTGTAGTCCCAGTTACTTGGGAGGCTAAGGCAGGAGAGCCACTTGAGCCCAGGAGTTCAAGTCCAGCCTGGGCAACACAGTGAGACCTCATCTTTGAAAAACTAAAGTAAGATAAAAATAAATAACATGCTGTGAAACATTATTTCACTATTTACTGTATTTCTAAAGAGGATAAAATGTAAAGTAGGAGGATTGAAACAATGTAGCTGTCATCAAGACTTGGTTCTACACGGCTCCCTTCTAAATGCCCCAAATGACACATCTCTCCCAAGTTAGAGGTCAATCACATGGTTTCACGTAAAGAACAGTATATTTTCAACACACACACACACACACAAGCAGAAATTTTAACCTTTTTTGAACTACTACAAAACCAAGATTAGTGAGTGAAATCTTAAAAATGAGAGTTTACTGGATATGAAACCCTGTTTCCAAATCTCTAAAACTCAAGAATATTTTACTTTGAATTGTCTCTTTGTTCCCCTGATGGTTCAGACAACTATTTGTTGGTCATACTGTTGAAAAGAAAACTGGGTCCTTGTTGGCCTCTCCTGCTTAGCTTTACCTGGTCATTTGATGAGAGATAAAACTACTTCATTTACAAAGCTGAAGATTTTAAAACTAGTTTGGTAAAAAAGGCACTAAATGGCCTTTGGAGCCCAGTTTGTATCTTGACTATGCTACTTACTAACCGTGTTTCTGTAATTTGCCCTAATTTGCAAGGCTGCTGTGAGGATTCAAAAAGCTCACATACGCCTGTAATTCCAGCACTTTGGGAGGCCGAGGCGGGTGTATCACGAGGTCAGGAGTTCGAGACCAGCCTGACCAACATGGTGAAACCTCGTCTCTACTGAAAATTCAAAAATTAGCCGGGCATGGTGGGGCGTGCCTGTAATCCCAGCTACTCAAGAAGCTGAGGCAGGAGAATCGCTTGAACCCGGGAGGCGGAGGTTGCAGTGGCCAAGATTGTGCCACTGCACTCCAGTCTGGGCGACAGAGGGAGGCTCCGTCTCAAAAATAAGTAAATAAATAAAAAAGCTCATATATATCGTTAACACAGCACTTATATATTCATGCTTTAATTCACTCATTAGTATTTAATAAGGTCTCCTATGTACAGGCAGTATGCTGGCAAGGAGAACGTGAAGGTGAATATGATAAGGTTCCTGTCTTCAAGTTAGGTGCCTTCTTATCTGGCTCAAACACTTGCTCTAGCAGCAGCCACTTAATGTAACCTCAGGTAATCACAGCCTTTTCACACTACAGCCTCATAGCTGCATTTAAGGCTAAATTGCTACTTCAGCAATCACTTTGTCCAACTTTTTGTAACTTAAGTAAAACCCTCATAATTATACTTTTAACTTTTTTGTTTTTCTTAAAAATGATCAGCAAATCAAATCTAATCTTGAACTTTCTGGTTGATGTAGTATATCTGTTGCTGAAATTTGGAATATTTTAACTTGTTTCTGATTTAAAGGTGAATCTATCTCTAACGGCTTTATATATATAACCCCTTTGTTTTTTATTATCATTTTTCAGCATACCTCCTGCTAAGATTTTAGTGCTTATCAATAAAAACAATTACAGTACTCAGAATTAGTATTACACATTTTTATTGCATTTCCTCTTTTCTAGTTTCTTTCTTATAACACTATAACAGTGATAGCTTTCGAATATTTTTATTTCACTGAATTGTGCACTATTTTATAAATTATAGTTACTTGAAATAAGTTCACCTTAAAAGTTTATTTCTAATAACTAAGAAACAATAAAAAAACTGTTAAGTCCTTTTACATGAAAAAGTAGGATACAATTCTACTCACATATTAATGTTAATTGTCAGGTTGTTTATGGTGAATGGCAATCTGTATTCCACATCTTTCTGTATTTCGGCTATACTGCAGGAGAAAATTTTAAAAAATTTACCCAAAGTCATGAAACCATTATTGTTAAAAACCAATGTTAAGTGCTAGAATCTACTAAAACTACCTTTATTTTTAATCACAGAATCTGGATAGCCAGCATAACTTGTATCTTGAGGGGAAGGAAAATGATCATAGTTAGAAAGGCTCATCATCTAAGCACACAGTAACATTCTAAACTATCCAGGGGAAGGGGGATGATGATGTAAAGAGGCAAGAAAAAACTCTTCATTAATGCTACACTGTTTTACTATCACTCTATCCAATTTACCATTAGCAGAAGCAATTGTGTGCTCTCCGGTTAATACAGATGAGCAATCCATCTGGGTTTTAACTGCCACTATTAAGCAATATCGGCAGCTGGGGAAGTCTGGGTCTTAACAGCTTGAACTTAAAAGTCTAGATGAGACGCATCCTACAATCTTATGACAGAGGATGCTGGCTGCTTTCCAAAAACAAATATCCCCTTTTTTCTAAGTAGAGAAGCCTGATTTTATTCTGGGTAGCAATGTTCTAGTTAGTTCTTATAGCTAGTTGTTGCTATAGACTTAAATCCCATCCAGTAGAATGTACAGGAAAGTTGTAGGGAGAAATTGTAGGAAAATATCTTAAAGGGAACAAAATAATAGACAACTGATATGAGCCCATTTTGCCCTTCCTGCCTTCCTTCTACTTCCTCCTTGGATCTAGGAACTAGACTTCTAATAGCCATTTTCCACCATGAGTGACTCTGAGAATTGAAGCCATGCACTAAGGAAAGCTAGGCAGAAAGAAAGAAGTAGCTTGGGTCCTTGATGACTATGCAACTGTCAAACTCTGAATTTGCTTTATGTGTGAGAAAAATAAACTTTTATCTTGTTTTAGCCACCATTCTTGGGTCTTTGGTATTGGCAGGTAATATAATTCTTGGCTTCTAAGTCCCTGATACTTTAACATTCTACATTCATAAGTTTGTTTTATTGTTATTTGCAGGCATATATTATTACAACTATAATACACTAAGCAAGTCTTTTGGGGGCTCACTTGAAATTCTAACCAATATTCATGATATTTCCAAGGGGGAAAATGCTAAGTAGTATTAATGAGGTGAGGTTGCAGAGGAAGCTTAATATTGAAATGAACATGAAACTTCTTCAAGCATGAATACCCTTCAAAGATCTAGCTTATGACTAATGATTTGCTTTTTGTTCTTTTGGATGCTTCTTCTAACAGCTTTATAAAACCTCTTATTTCCCTGTTTTTGGTCCTTTGATAAAAACCCAGACTCTAGGATATGTAAATCTTAAGATAGCTTAAAAGATTCAAAAGTGTTGGGATGGAGTTACAGAAAAACTGTAGATGTAGATAAGCTTTCCTCTCTGATATCCTAAGGAATGGAGTTATCACTTAGAAAAAACGATTAAGAAAAGACTCAAGTGGACACTCAATATTAGGACTTGAACAGTTTTTCTGGAAGTTTTTCTTTGGGAATTAGGTTTGGACTGAAAAACCTCCTCCCTTGTATGAACACCACATAATCAACAGAATGGCCTAAATTTTTTATTCCTCTACATTATTTTAGAACCTGAAGAGGTCATTGTTCAAGGAAATAAATACTGGTCACAAAAGCATCCACCAATTCAAAGTCAACTAGAGCATCTTAGTGATTAACAGCACTGCCTCTCAAGTCAGGCTTCCTGGGTTCAAATCCTGTCTTTACCATTTATTTACTGTCATGGGTAAGTTAAGCCTTTTCTCTCAAATGGGAAAGGGAGATGTTAAAAAAAATCTACCCACCTAAAAGATTTGTTAGATTACGCAAAATAATGCATGTAAATCCCCCAACACAGTACCAGGCAAATAAGTGTTCAATAAATGTTAGCTATTATTAAATAGGCATGTAGAACATGGAGGTTGGTCCCTCTCTAGATTTATAGTATTAAAGTTTTTTGTTTGTCTTTTTGACACGGAGTTTCGCTCTGTTGCCCAGGCTGGAGTGTGGTGACACGATCTTGGCTCACTAGAATTTCTGCCTCCTGGGTTCAAGCAATTCTCTTGCCTCAGCCTCATGAGTAGCTGGGACTACAGGTGTGTGCCACCACACCCGGTTATATATATATTTTGTAGATAAGGGGTTTCACCATGCTGGCTAGGCTGGTCTCGAATTCCTGACCTCAAGCGATCCACCTGCCTTGGCCTTCCAATGAAGTTTTAACTCCTCAGTTTTTCAGACATTGTTCAGATTTTTATAGAAAATTTTCATTGAAAACATATTAAAATAAATTTGATTTAAATAATTTTTATCTAAATAATTGGTTAGAAATGTCCAATTCATTTTCTCCAGTTATACTGATGACAGTTCCTAAAATTTTTTTTATGAGTTTTCTTCACAAACTAAGTATCACAAATAACAGAAGGTGATACTTATAATATTAATGAGAGCTGAACCATCAACAAATTCCAAAACAAGTTAATCATGGCAATCTAGAAATGCATTTTGATTAGCTGCATTAAACAACAGATAAGTACTTGTTTTACTTAATTAAAACAGGAATAATTCCCTGAATATTCATCACAAATGTGATTTTGAATGTTGCTATTTTAATACTTTTAAAAAACTTATTCCAAAACATTCATTCTCATTAAAAAAAAGTTGCCAAAAAACCACTGTAAACATATTGCTCTATAATCTTCTAAACTTCTTTGCACATTCATAGCCTCATTTAAAATAAAAATATAATTACACTGTACATCAATTTTGTAAGTTACTCTTTTCTCACTCAATTGTGATTATCTTTCCAAATTAGTAAATGTTATTTTACAATATCTTTTTTTTTTTTTTTTGAGATGGGGTTTCACTCAGTCATCAGGCTGGAGTGCAATGGCGAGATCTCGGCTCACTGCAACCTCTGCCTCCCGGGTTCAACCGATTCTCCTGCCTCAGTCTCCTGAGTAGCTGGGACTACAGGTGCACACCACCACACCCAGCTAATTTTTGTATTTTTAGTAGAGACGGGGTTTCACCATGTTGGCCAGGATGATCTCAATCTCTTGACCTCGTGATCTGCCCGCCTCGGCCTCCCAAAGTGCTAGGATTACAGGCGTGAGTCACCGTGTCCGGCCTACAATATAATTTTTAATGGCTGCATAATGTTGTAGTATATGGTCATACTATTATTTAAGCTATTTTCTACTATTAGATATTTAGATTGTTTGCAGCTTTTATTCTTACAAACCACACTTTGATAAACATTCTTATAACCATATCTTTATACTGACAGTGGTACTATTTTCAACATAAATACACACACACACACACACACACACACATACTTTAAAGTAATATTTTAATCACACCACAAGAGAAAATTTAAATGACCTGCAAATTAATAATTTCATTTTCTAGTTTCTCTGGGAGAAGAGAATTACTATGGTTTTACCTCAGTGGCTCTGAATTTGTTGGGGCTAAATAAAGCTGTAATAATATATCACTTTGTTATTAAGAATATAGATTAACTGGCATCCTCATTTCTTTGATAGTCCCCCAAATGGAAACAAATAGACCTTAATATGCTTTAGAGAATTCAAGTTCCAAAATGGTGTCACAGAAGCAAGCTGGCTTCACTTAATGTCACAGAAAACAACAAATATGTAACACTAAGATTAACACCAACGACATCCCAGAACTCAAATATGAGGATCAGTCACTTCTCAGGGCCACAGAGAAGTGAAAAAACTCTGAGCAGATGGTAAGAGAATCGGACTTCCATACCTGTGATGCCTCTCCCCACAATCTTCCCAGCATCAAGCATACAAAAAATTTCCCCTCGACTCACGATTTCTACACTGGAAAAAGTAAGATCGAGGTGAACAATCGGCTTTCCCACCATTTTTGGTTCCCTGGCAGGAGACTCATCCCTGCCTCAACTCACCAGAAGCATCATGAGGACTGAAGGGAGAAATATTCCTGAGGACAGCCAGAGACAAAGGGGAGAGGCAAGACTACCATCCTCAACCCTGGAAACTGCCCTGTCTGCAGCCAAAGAAAACACCAAATCAGAGTGCCTATTCAGCAGCTCCATGTTGTAGGAGATATATTCCACAGAAACCATGGGCAGGAACCGTTTGCCAGCCTTCCCACACTGTTGGGATATCCCCTTTGGGAGCTCCCCCATTAGAGATGGGCACTGCTCCAGGTACTTATTAGAGCCAAGGCAAACCTGGGTTTAAAGTGCCACTGAGAACCAAAAAGGAGGCAGAAACCTTACAGTAAAGAGTCTTTAAGCAAATACATTCAATAAAACCAAAACAAGCCAGAGAGAGAAGACCAGAATAAATAACTAATTCGTCAAAGTAAAGACATAGACGCACATCCGCAGGAAACAAGAGCAAACAGGGAGCCTGACTTCCCTAAGCGGATGAAACAAAGAACAAATGACTGACCCTAATGAGATAATAATATGTAAGCTCTCTGAACAAGAATTTAAATAGTAGATTTAAGGAAACTCAGTGATCTCCAAGATAAAACAAAAAATTCAGAAATTTATCAGAGAAATTTAACAAAGAGATTTAAGTAATAATAAACAATTAAACAGAAATGTTGGAACTGAGAAATATGTTTGCTGAACTGAAATACATTAGAGGCTCTCCATGGCAGAATGGATCAGGCAGAAGAAACAATCAGTAAACCTGAAGACAGGTTATTAGAAAATACACAGTAAGAGAAAGAAGAAAAAAGACTGAAAAGAAATGAAGACCACCTACGAAATACAGAATATTGCCTCAGAAGACCACATCTAAGAATTACTGGTGTTCAAAAAGAAGTTGAGCCAGAGGAATGGGTAGAAAGCTTATTCCAAGAAATAGTCACAGAAAAACTTCCAAAGCTTGAGAAAGTCATAAATATCCAGGTACTGGAAGGTCAGATACACTGAACAAATCTGACACAAATAAGGCTACTCCTAGGCATATAATCATCAAACTCTCAAAGGTGAAGCACAAAGAGAGGATCCTAAAATCAGCAAGAGGAAAGAAACAACATAAAAAGGAGCTCTAATTGGTCTGGCAACAGACTTCTCAATGAGAACCATATAGGCCAGAAGGGAGTGGAACAACATTTTCCAAATGCTGAAAGGAAAAAACGAACAAACAAACAAACAACTTGCCATCCAAAAATACTGTAACCAGCAAAGTTATCTTTCAAATATGAAGGAGAATCAAAGTCTTTCCCACATAAATAAAAGCATGGAGAATTCACCCCAAGACCCATCTTATAAGAAATGCTAAAGGGAGTTCATCAGTCTGAAAGAAAAAAAATTAATGTGCAAAGAGAAAACATCTGGAGGCATGAAATCCACTGGTAAAATTAAATACACAGAGAAACCCAGAATCCTCTAATACTGTAATTATGGTGTGCAATCCACTTATAATTCCAGTATGAGGCCCAAAATAAAAATCTATCAAAAACAACAATAGCTACAACCACCTGTTAAGAGATAGGTAATATAAAAATCTGTAAATTGAGACAATTAAAAGTCAAAATGTTGGGGAGAAGGAATTAAGGCATAAATATTTTTGTTTCTGTTCTTTTCTTTGTGATCTAAGTTATTGTCTCTTTGAAATAACTTATTACATATATGTTTTTTGTAAACCTCATGAAAACCACAGTGCAAAAACCTATAGTAGATTCACTAAACATAAAAAAGCAACAAATTAAAACATACTACCAAAGAAAGTCACTTACCTACAAAGGAAGATAGTAAGAAAGGAAGAGAGGAGATTAAGAACAACCAGAAAACAATCAACAAAATGGAAGAAGTCCTTACTTATCAATAATTAATGTAATGGACTAAATTCTCCAATTAAAAGGCATTAAGTGGCTGAATGGATAAAGCAACAAGACCCAAGAATATGTTGCCTACAAGAAACCCACTTCATATAAAAAGACACACGTAGACTGAAAGTGAAGGAGTAGAAAAAGATATTTCATGCAACTGGAAACCAAAAGGAGCAGGAGCAGCTATACTTACAGCAAATAAAACAGACTACAAATCAAAGACTATAAAAAGAATCAAAGGTCACTATATAAAATGATAAAGGGGTCAATTCAGCAAGCAGATATAACAATTAGAAATATCTATGCACCCAAAACCAGAGCTCCAAAGTACATACAGCAAACATTAATGAACCTAAAGAGAAAGACAGATTGCAATACGTTAACTATAGGGGACTTTCACTCTACTATCAGTAATGCAAAGATCATCCAGACAGAAAATCAATAAAGAAACACCAAAGTTAAACTTCACTTTGGACCTAATAGGCCTAATTGACATTTACAGAACACTGCACTCAATTGCTGCAGAATATGTTCTTTTCATCAGCACATGGAACATTCTCCAGAACAGAACATATCTTAGGCCAGAAAACAAGTCTGAACAAACTCAAAGAAATCAGAAATTACATCAAGTATGTTTTCTGACCACAATGCAATAAAACTAGAAAACAATAACAAGAGGAACTTCAGAAACTACACAACCACGTGGAAATTAAACATGCTACTGAACAGCCAATGGGGTGACAAAGAAATTAAAAAGTAAATTTTAAAAAGTCTTCAAACAGATGAAAATGGAAATAGAACACACCAAAATCTATGGGATAAAGCAAAAGTGATACAAAGAAGAAAGTTTATAGCAATAAATGACTGTATCAAAAAAGTAAAAAGACTTCAAATAAACAACCCAATTATGCACTTTGATGAACTAGAGAAGAACCAAACCTAAAAGGAGAAAAAATATAAATATCAGAGCAGAAATCAATGAAGTTGAGACCAAAAATACAAAAGATCAAGAAAATGAAAAGTTGGTTATTTGAAAAGATAAAATCATCAAGCCTTTAGCTAGATGAACTAGGAGAGAAGACCCAAATAAATGAAGTCACAATGAAAAAGAAGATGTGACAACTGAGACCACAGAACTATAAAGAATCATTAGGCACCACTATGAATTATATGCTAAAAAACTGGAAAGCCTAAAAGAAAGGAACAAATTGCCGGACATATACAACCTACTAAGATTAAACCATGATAAAATAGAAAACTTCAATAAGCCAATAATAATGAGATTAAAGCCATAATAAAAAGTCTCACATCAAAGAAAAGCTGAGGACCTGATAGCTTCGCTGGTGAATTCTACCAAACACTTAAAGAACTAATAACAATTCTACTCATGCTTCAAAAAAATTGAAGAAGGACTACTTCCAAACTCATTCTACAAGATCAGCATCACCCATAGAAACAAGAAAAAAGAAAACTACAGGCCAATATTACAGATTAACATACATACAAAACTCCTGAACAAAATACTAGCAAACCAAATTCGACAAAACATTAAAAAAGATCATTCACCATTATCAGGTGGTATTACCCCAGGAATGCAAGGACAGTGCAATATATATGCAAATCAATAAATGTGATATATCCATTAAGAGAACCAAGAACAAAAAACAAATGATTGTTTCAACAGATGCTGAAAAAGCACTCAATAAAATCCTTTGTGATTACAACCCTCATCGAACTGGGTATAGAAGGAATATACATCAAAATAATAAAGGCCATATATAACAAACCACAGTTGACATTATAGTGAATGTGGAAAAACTGAAGGCCTTTCCTCTAAGATCTAGAATAAGACAAGCATGCCCACTTTCAAACTTTTATCCAATATAATAGTGGAAGTCTTGGCCAGAGCAATTAGGCAAGAGATAGAAATAAACAGCATCTAAAATGGAAAAGAGAAGTTAAATTAGCCTTGTTCGCGGATGACACAATGTTACGACTGGAAAAACCTAAAGACCCCACCAAAAAAACAGACAAACAAAAAACCTGTTAGAAATGATAAACCAATTCAGTAAAGTTGCAGGATACAAAATTAACATACAAAAATTAGTGGCATTTACATATGCTAACAATAAACAATCTAAAGAAAAAAGTAATCCTAGTTACAATAGTTACAAAGAATATAAAATACCTAGCAAACAATTTTACCTAAGAAGTGAAACATCTAAACAAGGAAAACTATAGAACACTGATGAAAGAAATTGAAGAGGACATGTACAAAAAAAATGGAAACATATTCCATGCTTGTGGCTGGAGGAATAAATACTATTAAAATGACAATACTACCCAAAGCAAATTACAGATTTGGAGCAATCCCTAGCAAAATACCAATGACATTCTTCACAGAAATAGAAACAATCACAATTTTTTTACAAATTATACTTTAGGTTCTGGAGTACATGTGCAGAATGTGCAGTTTTGTTACATAGGTATACACGTGCCATGGTGGTTTGCTGCACCCATCAACCCGTCACCTACATTAGGTATTTCTCCTAATGCTATCCCTCCCCTAACGCCCCCTGACAGGCCCCGGTGTGTGATGTTCCCCTCCCTGTATCCATGTGTTTTCACTGTTCATAATCCTAATATTTATATGGACTCACAAGACCCTGAATAGCTGAAGCAACTCTGAGCAAAAAGAACAAGGTTGGAGGCATCACACTATCTATCCAGCTTCAAAATTTACTGCAAAGTTATAGTAACCAAATCACATGCTACTGGCCTAAAAACAAACACACAGACCAATGGAGCAAAACAAGGAACCCAAATATAATTTACAGCCAACTCATCTTAACAAAAGCACCAAGAACATACAACGGAGAAAGGATGATGTTTTCAATAAACGGTGCTGGGAAAATTGGGTAACTATATGCTGAAGAATGAAACTAGACCCTATCTCTTACCATACACAAAAATCAAATAAGAATGGATTAATGACTTAAATCTAAGACCTGAAACTATGGAACTACTAGAAGAAAACATTGAGGAAATGCTTCAGTACATTGTTCTAGGCAAACAATTTTGTGTAAGACCTCAAAAGCACAGGCATCTAAAGCAGAAACAGATAAATGGGATTACATCAAGCTAAAAACCTACACAGTGAGGCCAAGGCAGGCCGATCATCTGAGGTCAGGAGTTTGAGACCAGCCTGACCAACATGGAGAAACCCTGTCTCTACTAAAGATACAAAATTAGCCGGGTGTGGTGGTGAGTGCCTGTAATCCCAGCTACTTGGAAGGCTGAGGCAGGAAAATTGCTTGAATCCGGGAGGCGGAGGTTGTGGTGAGCCGAGACAGTGCCATTGCACTCCAGCCTGAGCAACAAAAGTGAAACTCCATTTCCAATAAATAAATAAATAAATAAATAAATAAATAAATAAAACCTACACAGCGAAGGAACAATCAACAAAGTAAAGAGACAACCCAAAAAACGGGAGAAAACTTTTGTAAACTATCCATCTGACAAAGGATTAACTACCGAATACATGAGGAGTTCAAACAACTCAAAAGCAGAAAAACAAATAATGTGATTTAAACATTGGCAAAAGATCTCAACAAACATTTCTCAAAAGCAGCATACAGGGTGTGGTGGTGTGCGCCTGTAAACCCAGTTACGTGCAAGACTGAAGTGGGACTCCTTGAGCCCAGGAGTTCCAGATTAGTCTGGGCAACAAACAGTGGGACCCTATCTCCAAAAAAAAAAAAAAAAAAAAAAAAAAAATCATTTTACCCCAGCTAAAAAGACTTTTATCAAAAAGCCAGGCAATAACGAATGCTGGCAAGGATTTGGAGACAGGGGAACCCTGATATACTGCTGGTGGGAATGTAAATTAGTACAACTAATTTGGAGTCTGCTATGGAGAACAGTATGGAGGTTCCTCAAAAGACTAACAATATCTCTGCACCTTTAGAACCTTGAAAAAAAAAATGAAACTGCCATATGATTCAGCAATTCTGCTACTGGGTATATTGCCAAAATAAAGAAAAAAAATCAAAGAGATAGCTGCACTCCCACGTTTATTGCAGCACTATTCACAACAGCCAAAATATGTAATAAATTTAAGTACACATCAACAAATGAATGGATAAAGAAAATGTGGCATAATACACAACAGAATATTATCCCACCATAAAAAAGGATGAAATCCTGTCATTTACAGCAACATGAGTGGAACTGGAAGTCATTACGTTAAGTGACATAAACCAAACACAAAAAGACAAACATTGCATATGTGAAAGCTAAAAAAGTAGATCCACAAAGAAAGAAAGTAGCGTGATGGTTCCAGACACTAGGAAGGGTAAACAGGAGGGGAAATGAAATTAATTAGTGAGTTTAAATATACAGTTGATAAAAGAAATAAGACCTAGTGTTTGTACAGCTATCATGTATCAATTTTAAAAGATTTAAAAATGCAACAGAGGCACTATTTCTGAAGCTTCCTTTTACAGAATAAACAATAATTTATCACTTAGTTTATATATATACACACATATATACACATACACACACACACACACATATATATATTTAAGACGAAGTCTCACTCTCGTTGCCCAGGCTGGAGTGCAATGTCACTATCTCAGCTCACTGCAACCTCTGCCTCCCAGGTTCACGTGATTGTCCTGCCTCAGCCTCCCGAGTAGCTGGGATTACAGGCGCCTGCTACCATGCCCGGCTAATATTTATATTTTTAGTAGAGACAGGGTTTCACCATGTTGGCCAGGCTGGTCTCGAACTCCTGACCTCAGGCGATCCACCCGCTTCAGCCTCCCAAAGTGCTGGGATTACAGGCGCTCAGTGAGCCACTGCAGCCAGCCCACTTAGTTTATATTTTGTATTTATGTTTATATTTAGTTTGATTTCATAAGACTCAGTTTAACTGAACACCAACCATATATCCAGCATCCTGCAAGGAAATGGAAATACAGAGATGAATATGGGGTGTTTTGTGCTCTGAATGAGCATACAGTGTGATGAGAAACTCAAGTTACTAAAAAGATCAATTCAAGATAATGATGTCATGCATTTTCCTCAGTGTTGGGTAACTCAAGTAACGTTTATAGGTGAATCTTGCAAATAAAAGATTCAAGTGCTTAGAATAGATGGAGAACAGACAGACAAACATCCTATCTAAATCTCTATGATTTAGATAAAAAAATCAAAACAGATTTTTTATTTTTAATTATTATGGATACATAATAGTTATACATATTTATGGGGTACTTGTGATGTTTTGATAGAAGTACAAAACAGATTTTTAAAAAGCAAATCCATAACAGTGCTGAAAAGCAAAAACTACCATATACAGATAAATTTTGAGCAAACTGACAAACAGAAAGGATTACATGTAAGAAAGGAGTGAACATTTAAAAAAAAAAGAAGAAAAAGAAAGTAAACAAGGAAAAAAATCACAATCCAAAACATAAGTCCAATATAAAGTTTGGAGCAGTTTGAAGGTCCTCTAAGCCCTTGAACCAGGTCAATGCAAACTAAGAGTTTGGGGGGAAGAAGGCAGGTCAGGAGCATTTCTCAGAGTAATTAATCAACAGGGTGACATTCGTGGAGCAGCAGGTAGGCTAGGGAATTAGCCTCTTTTCCTAGCTTGTTTCCAGCTTGTTGCTGGTAAATAGCAGTAATATTTGCATTCAGATTAACACAGAGACAGCCTCTAAGCTAGCGGAGACTCCTCAGGAAGTTACTAACCCCATGACAGCTACTGACTCCCCAGGAAGCCTCCTTTTCCAGAAGATAACTATCAACTTGCCCTACCTAAGGACTCGTCATTCTTATTCTTCATCACCAGAAGCAGACTATGGCAAACAGTAAGTATTCACAAACAAGTCAACAGGGAAGCTCAAATACAGAAACGAGAACGTCATAAAGGTTTGAATAAAAAAAAATCACGCAAACTGTGCACCAAATTCAACAAATTGAAACATAAAAAACTCAAGAGCAAAGACAAGATGACTATAAATTTATGTAATATCAGAACAACAAAAGACAACAGCACTTGCACACACACACATACTTACACAACTGATATAAGAATGAAAAAGCAAGAAACTGGAAATTTAAAACAAATAGCTCCAAAAATGGTTCAGTGTTGTTTGGAAAATCCTTCATACTATAGCTGTCTCTTGGAGAATGCTGATCCACTTTAGCACATTAAAGATTTTGAGAAATTCCAAAGTAAATTGTGTTTGTTTTCGAAATCTGTGTTAACATGGAGCACTTATTTCACATTTTTTTAATAGAACACATGATAATGACTGAGATGTACAAAGAGCTATGAAAACACAGAAGAAAGCACCTAACCTAGCGGCAGTGGGGTCTTCTGGAAAAAATAATATCTGAGTTACATTTAAAAGAGTTAATACTCAGAAAAGTAAATCAGGGAAATACAGTGTACATTTTAAATGGAGAAGCCCTATCAGAAAAGCTTCAGATACAAAATAACACAAGTTCTCCAAAAGTCTCCATAGCCTTTGCCATATATGAAACGTTACATTCTGTTTGTTGATATCTTTCCACCAGTCACATCACCATCTTCTGTGACAACCAGGAATCAAGTTAAGGTGGCTGGCCTTTTTTGACAAGAGTTAGGAAACTACTGAAAGGAGTGACATGGTCAAATTTGAATTTTAGAAAGATTACTCTGGCAGCAATGTGGAAGAAAAGGCAGAGGGAAAAAGGCTGGAGGCAGAGAGAACTGTTAGAACCTTGTGGTAGTAGACATGGAAGACTGAATGGAAATGGAAGACGGCACAGGTTTTCGGCTTAGGTGAGCAAACAGCAGAAATGGTTTGGAAGGAGTTCAGGTTGGGGGGAGGGGCAGATGTAGCTGATTTAACTAGCAATGGAGAAATGACTGCCTTATCATAACTTTTTTTTAAAGCAGTAACGGACTAATATTTCTAATGAGAAAATTAACTGAGCACTTGAGCTGTATGATATTTCTTAAATGGTACCATGCTTTATTGCGTCATACGCTCTGCAATTATACGTCTTAATCACTGGTTACAAATAGACAATATAATTTAATGTGTCAAAGTTTTAACTTAATTACAGGATTGATACGCATAATTTTAAAGTTTACTATATAGAGCTCAAAGTGCATTTACACAGTCAAAATGTTGATATTTTGGAGATTTCTGTAGCTTCAATGGGCTAAGGCATAACAGATGCTTGTAGAATTTTTTATTACAAGTTAATGTTATTTCCTTCCATAAAGAAGTTTTCCTATCAAATAACTACACCAGCGAGGTAACACACATGAATGAAGGCAGCTCCTTGTAGTCCAACAGGGAGTGAATTGCAAACTAGTGAAATGGGTAGTGGGTAGCCCAGCAAAGCAGACAGCTACTCTTCAGCTTGAAGCAAATGTTGCTATGTGGAAACCAATCTTTCCAGATTTTCCATTTTAAAAGAAGAGTTAGAGACGACAGGGGACATAGGGGAAATCTTCTGCCTTTTAATTTTGCTGTGAACATAAAACTACACTAAAAATAAAGTCTATTAAATAAAGAAAAATTGGGCTGGGTGTGGCAGCTCATGCCTGTCATCCTAGCACTTTGGGAGGCCAAGCCAGGCAGAGTGCTTGGGCCCAGGAGTTTGAGAGACAAGCCTGGGCAACATAGCAAAACCCCATCTCTACCAAAACAACAACAACAACAACAAAAGTAATTAAACTTATGAGCCAGGCATGATGGCATGTGCCTGTAGTTCCAGCTACTTGGGAAGCTGAGGTGGGAGGATTGCTGCGGTAAGCTGTGATCGTGCCACTGCACTCTAGCCTGGGTAACAGAGTGAGACCCTGTCTCAAAAAATAAATAAATAAAAAGGAAACCTGGAAATTTTAATACAAAAATTGCAAATTTTGACTGTTGATAATAAATGCTTTTCATAAAAATATATAACATGCGACGGGTTGAAACACAGACATACACATCCCTTCATTACAATATCTCTTGTGTTACCAAGTTTGTGTGTGAGTCCTCATGAGCTGAGAATGAATTCTATAGAAACAAGAGCATGGAATTTAAGCTTACTCAGAATCCCATGAGATAGGGGGACAAAGTCTTATAGCTGTGATCAAAACGTTAAGCTTAGCAGCTGTGGGGGAGAACTATACAAGAGCTGACTCTACAAGAAGTTTTAAGGCTAAACATTTAGGCAATCAGAACAACGGAATCCGCAGACTGGCAGCAAAAGAAAATATTAAAACAAATTTTAAAGACTAGGGAGAATGGCACTACTATTTTAAAGATAGGGACAAGAACAAAATACAGTAACAATTGCTGTTTACATCTCCTGTGTGCAAGATAATAATTTAGGTTATTTACCTGCATCATGCCTAATTTTATGAAGAAACTAACTGTCTGGAATGGACTTGCTTTCTAAATGGAAAGTCAGAAGTAGTTCTGCCAGAGACAGATAAGTTGTAGGTAAGCTTATGAGAGATCTACAAACAATAAGCTGGCTAGAAGCTTATAGGCTAAGAGGCAAAGATTCAAGCACACTGATTCTATGCAGTAGAAAGAAGGAATGTAATTCGTCCTATGCCTACTATGTGCTAGATACTCTTCCAAATGTCTTACATATATTTTTTAGTTATCAAAAATCCTGCATGACAGGAATCACAATTGCTGATTTTACAGATAGGAATTGGAGGATCAGGGTTGTCTCACATAAAAATATCCAAAACATGAGACATTTCTTCCTCCCAGTCATTTGTTACTATTGCTGAGAAAACATTTTGAGCAGCTCCCCAGCAGACTTCCCCTCCAACTCCCACTAACCAAGAGTCCTGCTTCCACAGTAACTTGGGGGGAAGGGTGATGAGACCATCATCACTGGCATAAACAATCCTTATTCACCTCTAGTGGAGGCTGGGTTGAAAGATTCCAGCCTCCACAAAGTATGGGCCTTGCAGAGGGAAAAACCAACAGTGTCCATAAAGTCAGCTTCCTCAGGAAGTATAAGAAACAGAATTAGTTCTACTCCTGTCCATAAAGTCAGGAGTTTTGGTGATAAACTGAATACTGTGGTAAGTGATACTTAGAAGAGAGAACATATTACTTGAGCCCAGGAGGCATAATTTCTAGTTTCCATTTTCACAGCTGACTTAAACACTTTGGTTAAACACTTTTCTGTGAGTGTCATCTATGACAGTTATCTCATTTGCCGTGCATATTGTTGAGACTCAGATGAAAAAATTTACATAAAATTCACCTATTTTTTTTGTAGAAGACTGAGGTAGCTGAGGAGATAAGAATTTAAGGCAACTAAAAAGTTCACAATCATTAGAGAAAGGGACAAAAAGAGACTGCTGAAGTGGAATTTTCGGAATTATAAGGGGTTAAAAATTGTAAGAGTTGGAAGGGAGATGACAGAATGGGGTAGAGAAAGGTTACTCAGTAGAGCAGAAGAAAAGATACTTTCATGGCCAAAAAAAGATATTCACCTATTGAGCTTACATTTGGAGAAGAGACATAAAACGAAACATGAGGGAGATGGACAGCATGTAACAAGATATTGATATTCCTCATGTAACAAGTTTTTGTACTGTTCATAGGAAAAAACACACTGGAAATTCTTTCAACTTTTACACACCACACCTTTAGAATAACCAATCTGTCTGTTCGCACAAAAATCTTTTAAGTGTAAGTCGTACCACTAATTTAGGTAATCAGGCAACATATTGCCAGTATTGGGGCTCAGAAAACAATACCCCAAAATATTGCACTTTGGTAGGCTGATTACTTTGAATTAAAGGAGTCTGGAGGGCCTCAGAAGTAAAGCTCTCTCTGACCACCTCCTGCCCCTCTTTCTCCATTGAAGAAGTCATAGAAACCAGAATTCCTCCTCCCCTGGGCGGTATATTACAAACTACAACCCTTCTTCCCTACAAAAAATCTAGAAAGGTCACTTTCCCTTCCGCCCTGAAGACCCTCACTCCATATGAGCCCGGGCCGGTCCACTAGAGGAGTAGAAAGTTATACAGAGAAGCCAAGAAAAATCTGAACAAACAGGCCTTGGTGGGTTTCCCCTACCTCTGTCTATTACCATTACCATACTCTTTTTGTCCAATCACATTTCTACATGGCTGTCCATTCTTCATTGAACCTAATCATAAATACAGACAGTTTTCCTTCGGTCTCTGGGGCTTCATTTCTGAAGGCTCCCATGCAGTGTAAAACTTTGATTAAATAAATCTGTTATGCTTTTCGCTTGTTAACCTGTCTTTTGTTACAGGAGGGTCAGCTGTGCCCCTTATGACTGATGAGAAAAAATATCACACCTTTTCCATCTTTACATCAGATACCATACAGACAGATTATTTTTTACCTCCCAGCTTACAAATATATGTCATTATTTAAAAGGGTGGACTAACAAGAATAGGTGAGTGGCATTTTCCAGGATTGTGCCATTCTTTGAAAACTGGAAGCATATGACCTACTTAAGTGTCTCCGGAATTATTCGAGTATAATTTGTAAATGCGAAACATCTCAATAAAACTTCAAGTGTTTTTATAAAAGAACTTAAAACAATAAAATACTTAGTTATTTGTTCATAACACTACAAAATAAATTACATTATCTAATGTAATCATGTCCAATCATACGTTCATAATTTCTGGTTCAAAAAATAATACATAAAATGAATCCTTTCTGTATCCAACTCCGCGTATTTACTGATCCTCTTAAGCCAATTCCAGAACTCTTTACATTAACAATTGCTGCTATAGAATCTCACTTTATTTGGGAGGCCAAAATTATAAATTTCACATCAATTACTTCCCTTACTTACCAGCCTTAGCAGCAAGAGACTTTGTAGTATTTAAAAAATTAAACTCCAACCTCGAAGAAAAAAATTAGTCAGCATTGAAAATATTTAACATAATACTACATACTAAGGTTTAAAAGCAATTAATTCCAAAAGTGTGGTTCTAAAAAAGTGTTTCTGCAATAGCAGGACTGGTTTGGTATATAGTCTACCAAGGTAACAACTTCTAAGGGAACAAACATGTTAAAAACGAGTCCCCTTATTTTATAAGCATACCTTGTGAGAGTAGCTCTTAAAGGTCAGTACAGAACATGATTTGGAGTAAGAGTGACTTGTAAGAACTTTGCGAACTTAATTTTCCAGAATGAAAGCCACCAATAACAGCCTGCCATTCTTTTCTGTTAAACAGCATAAAATTTCACCTTTTGAAAGTTCTGAACAAACAGAACAATTGAGACAACGAACCAAGAAACACCTAAAGTTCAGTCAGCATCAGGCCTTATTTTAGCCAAACTGATTTTGCAGTAAATTTTTCTATTAACTAGACTATTTAATTAAAAATTATTCCATTTTAAATAAGAATTATTCGATATTATCTGAGGATACATATTTTTTAACTGTATGAAAATAATATTTTTAAAAGGGCTAGGAGCCCGGCGAGGTGGCTTATTCCTGTAATCCCAGCACTTTGGGAGGCCGAAGCGGGTGGATAATCTAAGGTCAGGAGTTCGAGACCAGCCTGACCAATGTGGTGAAACCCCGTCTCTACTAAAAATACAAAATATTAGCCGCGCATGGTGGCGCGCACCTGTAATCCCAGCTACTCGGAGGGGTGTGGGGAGCTGAGGGAGGATGATTGCTTGAATCCGGGAGACGGAGGTTGCAGTGAACCGAGATCGCGCCACTGCGCTCCAGCCTGGGCAACAGGAGAGCCGTACCCCCGGCAAAAAAAAAAAAAAAAAAAGGGGTTAGGGACTTAACAATGTTGTCATCTTTATTTAAAATAGTGTGAAACTGTTAAGTAAATATACTTGCAAAATGCATAAAATATAAAGAAGCAGTTCTAATTTTTGAAAACCATTAGAGACCATAGACATTTGCAATGTAAAAGGCTGCAGCAAACCAATTTACAGTAAAAGTTGAAATAATATGAATTGTAAAAATATTTCTAAACTGACCATGATAAAATGAAAAACTCACAGGAAGACAACAGAACAATCAAGATGAACATAAAGTAATTCTTGAGCGTGGGGACAAGACTATGAAAGAAGTGAGAAATGTACATGCACTGGTCGCTGTGAGATGGGGAGAGACTGCTCCAACAGGGTAAATCTTAGAGACTCAAGAAGACTGACTACGTGATAAGTGACTCTCAGACGAGAAGCATTCACTGATGAAAACTCTGGCTTCCCTTTCCTTTGATGTTGCAACAGTTCTATTTTCCATTCTTTGTGAAACCTGGAGATTACTCTTCACAATTGTATTTTAACAATTCTGCTGACGCGGCAATCAGGTGGGCAAAGGGAAAGATCAGTGGCGAAGCCTGGGCAGCAAGGGATACTGGAAATAGACTATGAGAGAGATTGAGAGATTACAGTCAGCAGCTATGTGTCAGGAGGGATGAGGAAATCCGAGTTAGAAGCGCTGAGCAGTGGTGCGGCAGGAGGCAGGGAGGGTCCGGAGGAAAACAGTAAAAGGGGGCAGGAGTGGCAGAGCAAGCGTGTGACCCACAACCAAGGGAGGTAAACCACATGAGGAGCTGGTGGGGAGCAGACTGAGGCGCTGTGAGGGTGGTTAGGACAAGCCCGCCCTCCCACCCTACTTTTTCCTCCGGTGGAGAGGCAGCGACCAGTCACCTGGAGTGTGAGTTCCGGAGGGACTCGATCAGGCGCTGCTTCTGCTGCTGGAGGCTGGTGAGGCCACCGGGGGACCCAGCCGCGGAGGAGGAGGCGCTCTTGGTCAGGGGAAAAAGCCAGCTCATCCTCCTCGGGTCCACGGGCCGGAGGCCCTGGAAGGCTCTGGCCTGCTTCTCCCAGTGGCTCGGCCCGGCGGTTCTCCAGCGACAGAGGAGCGGGGTGGGACGTCCGTGGCCCAAGCGCTGGGGACCGCGTCTTCTCTAAGCCTGTCCTGCCTGCGCTCCCCGAGTTCTGGGGGACATGCTACGAACGGCGGGCGGCTGGAGAGGGAAACTTGCGGCCCGGAACAGGAGGTCCCACCTTCACGGCCCAGACGCCCAAACCGGCCAGCCAGGGAGCCTGGCCGCCCAGCGCTCCACCACCCGCGCCGCCGTCACTTGCGTGCCCCGCCCCCGGGGGCGCTCTCCGCCCCCTCTGCGTGTCGCGTCATCATCTAGCGCCCCCGTCAGGACGTGCGAAAAGCGACGGCGCAGCACGGTGCGGCGCAGCTCCTGCTCGCCTTTCCCTTCGCTGGGCGAGAGGTGTCTATGGGGCACCCGCTGCCGCCGCCGCTACCGCCACCGCCACCGCCACCGCCGCCGAGTGCTGTCTCTATGGCGAGGAGGAGGAGGAGGAGCGCGAGCTCAGCGACACAAGTAGATCTTGCATCCGCTGCAGCCTTACGGGGGGAGGGGCGGGTTAGGGAAGTAGAAAGGGGGCGGGGACGATGAACCTGAGAGGGTGCGCGATGGCGCCAGCTGGAGTGCGGCTGGCGGAGGAAGGAGCCTGGCGGCGGGTTGGGGGCTGGGTAACTGGGGCTGGGGGTTTGTCAAGGGGTTGGCGCGTAGTGATGACGCAAAGGCTTTGTACCTGGGGCTTCGCAGTGGGACGGAAATTGGGAGTGGAGGGCGGTGGCCTAGATCCTCACCTCTTCGTATTGTTTCACGCGGCAGTGCTTGGGAGTCAGTGTAGCTCCAGTCAGTGTTATCAGCACCTTCGCACTGGCGCTTTGCCAGGGAAGAGAGTTATCTATGGCTTGAATACCTCGGTGCCGTCCTCTCGTTTCTCTGGGAAACTGCAGTACGGAGATGCTTTCTCCAGTAATGAGAAGGCCTTTGGTGTCTCTTCGGGGCTTCTGGGACTGCAGTAGAGAGAGAGGTGGAGGAAAACAATGTTAGACTACAGGGTCTTTCCAAGTCTTTGTGTTTTTGTGCTTATGTGTGTGTGTGTGCCTATCGGGGTGGGAGAGTTATAAAGGAGGGGTGTCCTGGATCTCCTTTAGTTTCTCTACTTGGAGAATTGGAAGTTACATTTGTGACTCTTCAGAGTTTAGAAGACAGTCATAAGACCCTCTTTTTACTCTTGTTTTTTTTTTTTCCAATTTGTATGAAAAATGCAGAAGGATTTGAAATTTCCCTGCCCAAGAATCAACAGGAACTCTGTTTATAGACCAGAAATGTGACATCTATCTTTGGTAACCATGCAATATGCTCTAAGTTTTAGACGTTCTATTGTGTTCTTTTTCCGTTCTGCAACTGCGAACATTCAGATAATTTTCATGGCCGTTACTTTTTTCTCAGAGCATTTACAAACATTTTTGACCCCTCTAGTCTAGTTAGAATAAACGCCGGTAAAGTAGATCTTGTTATCAAGTCGGATTTTGGTTGTTTTATTAATGAGGAATAAAAATAAACACCATCTTTGCCATGGTAACATCTGATCTTGTCACATGTAAATAAGTAATTTTTCATTTTTTGTCTGGAAATGGATGGCTTTATAAAGTTTTATGCAGAGTAGTTGAACTCAGATAAATAATTAGTGGAAAGTTATAAAATATGATTAGTATGTATGTGTAAAAAAGCTATTTTAAAATAACTGAAATTAGGACCAGGAAATCTGTACTGTAGTCCTTTTTTTCCTATAGACTAGCTGTGTGACCTTAAGTTACTTTCTAAACTTTGATTTTTTTTTTTTATGAGTCAAGAACTTTGAATAAATAACTTCTTAGGTTCCTGCTGGATCAATTATTCTGTGATTCAGATTTGATATATCTGGTCTTCATATTGTTTTTTTATTTTGACAGGTACATAAATAAAGGATAAAATATTTTATGAAACAAATCTTCAATCAAGTATAACATTTTGATGCTTGGCATCTAGACTCCCTTGTGCCCTCACTATGCCAGCGGCAACTGTAGATCATAGCCAAAGAATTTGTGAAGTTTGGGCTTGCAACTTGGATGAAGAGATGAAGAAAATTCGTCAAGTTATCCGAAAATATAATTACGTTGCTATGGTATGCCCACAAGCAGATCTTTAAAACGCTTCATATAAAGGAGGAAAAGGAAATTTTAAAGTCTTGAATTCAACCCTTTTGGTTGATATTTTTAGGGATTAATTTCACCATGAAAAGTAAAATTTGTCACTGCCCTCCAGCCAAAATCCATCAGGAATACACCTGTGATTTGACAGGTTGGGTTTATCCCTCATTGCAGTGAGGGAAAACGCACTGGAATTCATGGGAACCATGGGCCGTTTGAATAAGAGTTAGGAAGGATTTGGGCTCGTGTCAGGTGGTCTTAGGGGAAGGTAAGGGAAGCAGAGCTTTACTGTGGATTGGATGTGTTCGGGAAGCTGGGGTAATTCTGTGATTGGGTATCTTACTAAGTCTTAAATGAGAGACTAGAATGAGGTTAAAGCTGCAGAGAAGGAACAGTCATTCATTTAGCCAGGATGGAGATACTTGGTCATTTTGTGGTTTGACATTTTTATTTTTTTGTCCTTGTTCAGACATGATTACAGAGTGGCCTTATTTGAGGTTGAACTTTTGTGAAATTGTGTTCAACAGGAGAACATTAGGGCGTGGCTATGAGTGCCAGGTCTGCTCCTAGCAACACCAAAGCCTAGCTGGTAGTACCACATGAGCTCCCAGAAGCTAGGGTGCTCTTTCTCAAACAAAAAAATCAGATGTGCCAGTGAAACGTTGTTGGTCTGCAATTTGTTTTCATAATTAACACTGGAGTTCTGTGAATATACTGTGTTACTAAGCAACTCTGCTTTTGCACGTGCTGTTTGGTCTGCCTAGATTGTCTATCCAGTTAATGATTTTTCTTCTTTACCATTATACTGTCTATATCTGTTAGCTACCCTACTGTTTTCTACATCCACTGGATTATTATTAGCTCCATAAACCAAGTGTTTTAATCCTTTCTCTCCCAACACCTAGCATAACACATATAGTATTCAATAAAGTGGCTGTTGAATTGCACTGAATTTAGAGAAATATTGATTTCTTTACTATTTCATAGTGACTTGATAGGTAGTTTTTATTCTTAGCTAGCCCTAGTTTGAATTCTAATACTAAACCGATGTATCTTTGTCTCAGTATTTTTAATAAAAATAAACAAATGCATTACTTTGGGGAGGAGCAAGTTGATTGGTTAAAATATGACTGTTTCTTTGTAGATGACATACTATTTGATAAAGGTGTACTTACCCATGATTAGAACTAAAATTGTTTTCTTAACCAATGGAAATTCATAGTGATCATTGATTTCTCAGATGATAAAGAGTGGCAACATAGAGAAGTGATAACATCCTACAAGAGTGAGTAGGTGGCATGCAATTCTTGACAGCATGCTTTCTGTGGACTATAGAGAGAATATTGTTTAAGCCAGAGAAATTAGGAAGCTAATGATGTTTTTCTTAGGGTTTTGGTGTTGAGAAAAACCTTGTGTCAGAGAAGCAATTGGAAAGTACAGGGCGTTTTCCCCTCTTTTGAACCAGTTCTTCAAGAAACTTGGTTTTAGCATTGGAATACTGTGAGCATCATTTCATGTATCCTTTGGGAGACAGGAATTTATGATTTTCCCCCCTTTCTTGGTTATAGAGTAAGTATTTGGTTAAATTTATCACATGTATCTCGTATAGTAACTTTTTGGATATATTTAAGGAAAGGTTATTAAGTTTATAGAGTTTTATGGTTCTAAAAAGTGATGTTCTTTCTAGTTAAAATATACTTTGTAATTGAATATAAATGTGTAGAATATCATCTGTAGGATTCTTTGATTTGCATCAAAAATTAAAAATGTGTGGATTGTAGTTTTGACTGTTTAGTACATAATGAATCTTAAAACTATTTTACAGGACACCGAGTTTCCAGGTGTGGTTGCAAGACCCATTGGAGAATTCAGGAGCAATGCTGACTATCAATACCAACTATTGCGGTGTAATGTAGACTTGTTAAAGATAATTCAGCTAGGACTGACATTTATGAATGAGCAAGGAGAATACCCTCCAGGAACTTCAACTTGGCAGTTTAATTTTAAATTTAATTTGACGTAAGTGGGAAATAACTGTATAACCCAGACTTTTTTTTTTTTTTCTTTAATCTTAGGAATTGATTTTCCTCAAGTATGGTGACATGCTAGGTGAATTTGGTGTAGTTATCCTGGAAATATATAAAACGTAACATTTCAAAAGCGTGGTTTTCTTTTTTACTATGGGACCAAAAAAAATACTTTGATGTTAAAGATGTTATATTTAAAATATGACTGCAGCTTTTTTTGTATTTGGAAGACTGGGTATTGAAAGTACTTCTGATAGAAAAAATAATCCTACATTAGTTTTACTTTCAAAAATTTTGTGTGCAATTTGAAATATAGCCTTTTATAATATTTATCCTTCTTGTGAAGATTTTTGTTGCATTCATATTCCAGTTTATGAGTAGATTACATGTCAAATGCAGTAAGACGTTTTCTGGAACCTTGGGTACGTTTTCCTTTCAAGTCAGTATTATCATTAGGTTGCCACTTCAGCCCACAAAAGCTCTCTTAATTTACATATAGGAGAAGTAGTAGTATCCTTGAACCTGGTGTTTATCATATGTCAGAATCTTCATTCTAACTCAAGCCCTGGGTCTTCACCCAGTTTCCTTAGTTATAATATTTCTGTATTATTAATAGAAGTAGTCTTGATAGCTAAGGGAAGTTTTAGATGTTTTTAGAGAGGGGCAGATTATTTGCAAACTAAGTTGGGTAAATAAAATAATACATTCTTATTACAGCAGGACCTCAAATGACATTTTCTTCAACATTGTTTCATGGTAACCTTCATAAAAAATAAAATTGATTCCTGACCCGGGCCACTACCTGAGTGGAGTGTGCACGTTCTCGTGTATATGTGGATTTTCTCCCGGGTCCTCTGATTTCCTCCCACATCCCAAGGCTGTGCACGTTAGGTGAAATGGTGTGGCTAAGTTGTCCCAGTGTGAGTGAGTAGGTGTATCTGTGTGAGTGCACTGTGCCACGGAACGACATGCTGACCAGGGTTGGTTCCCACATTGTGCCCTGAGCTGCCAGAATAGGCTCTGGCTTTCTTCACCCCTCAACTGAATAATGGAGCAAATAATTATCTTGTTTTTATTAATTGTTCTTAAATTTACATATAGCTCACATTTATTTCATTGTTTAATATTAGAAGTATTTTGGTCTTTATCTAGAAGTTTGATGATTTTTTTGTGACCAGAAATATGCCGTAGGAACTTAACTCTTGTTTTTATCAATTAGCCTGTGGTAAAAATTGGTTTCGTTATCCATCTTTTGGCTTAAAGTTGCAATTTCCAAGAACTTATTGATAACGTTGAGTGAGTACTTAACTGTATGTTGCAATATTGCATTGTTCTTCTGTTTGACATCCTACATTTGTGTCATACATCCTAATATCTGGTAGGTAAAATAGTGAAAGAAACTGTAGGCAATTAATGGTAGTGCCAATGTATGAATTCTTTCTTCCTGTTCTTTGTCAGATAAACAAAGATATTTAGTATACACAATTTTACGAAAGTAGGGCTTAGGAAAAGCAGAGTAATGATGCCTGTGGTATAGTAGTGTGGCTTGTAATTACACTGTGTTTAGCCTGACTCTCCATTTCACTCTTTTGGGTTTAATAATATACTCTCCATTTGGAGACCAAGGCAGGAGGATTGCTTGAGGCCAGGAGTTCTAGACCAGCCTGGTCAACATAGACTCTGTCTCTACAAAAAAAAAAAAAAAAAATGAAACTAAGCCAGGCATGGTGGCTGTGTACCTGTAGTCCTAGCACTACAGGTACAGGTACAGGTAGCTAGCACTACAGGTACAGGGAGGCTGAACCAAGTGGATTGCTTTAACTGAGGTGTTCAAGGCTATAGTGATCTAGATTGCACCACTGCACTCCAGCCTGGGCAACAGAGTGATACTTTGTCTCTAAAAATACCTGTATCTATACACACACGCACAGTCTACAGAACCTTGTAAAGTAAACTTGTCCAACCCTTGGCCCAGGATGGCTTTGAATGCAGCCCAACAGAAATTCGTAAACTTTCTTAAAACATTATGAGATTTTTTTGTTGTTGTTTAAGTTAGTTTATTTAATGTGTGGCCCAAGACAGTTCTTTGAGTATGGCCCAAGGAAGCCAAAAGATTGAACACCTCATTTATAAAGGGTGCAAAGTACTCCACTCAAACTGAAAACCTTTTATAAGAACTACATCTGTGAAACACTGAAAATTGCCTCCTATCCTTTTTCTCAAATGATAAACCTTTATTAAAATTAGTGCTTTACCATTTCATTTGTTCCATGTTAACTTTTTGTTCAAGTGAATTAGAACATTGTTTTTAAATTAGATACTATTGTGATCTCAGTACGTGAGAAGGAGGTAACCCATCAGCTTCTCAGTTTGGATAAAATTGACAGTTTCCTTTTCTAGAAACACCTTTGTTCGAGTAACAACTGCTTTCTTAGTACAGCCTGTAAGTGACATTTTTTCTTTCTTACTCAAAAATGACTGCTAAAGTTTACTACCAAGTTTTGCTACCATTTACACTAGGGGTGTCTAATCTTTTGGTTTCCCTGGGCCACACTAGAGGAAGAATTGTCTTGGGCCACACATAAAATACACTAATGCTAACAATAGCTGTTGAGCTAAAAAAAAAAAAAATCTCAAAATGTTTTAAGAAAGTTGACAAATTTGTATTGGGCTACATTCACAGCCATGCCGGGCCACATGTGGCCCACTGGCTGCAGGTTGGACAAGCTTGATTTACACTGATGTTAGGAGATGTTTAAGGAGAAGGATACAGTGAAAAACATTAGGTAGAAGAAGTCATTTGGAAGATAAACGAGTAATGCCTAATATAGAGAGAGCACCGTGAAGAGAATCTTGGAAATTTGGAAGAAAGATCAAAATTGACTTTTTAATGGGGTGGCTAGAATGAGTGTCAGTTACAGTGCTAGACACTAGGGATTTAGTACTGAGGAAAGTTGGTCGTGGTCTTTATAACTCAGTGTTTTGTAACTCTTCTGTTTTCTCTCTATTGCCTAAGTCTAAGAATTACAATTGTAACGTATGGGAATTCTCTCCAAACTGAATTTGGAGTTGATACATCCATGAAAATTGAAGTGGAGTACTGATGAGCTGTGAAGAAGAGAAGCATTCTGTGGAAATAATGTCACTGATAAAGAGGATTAAAACAAATTTTTAACAAATTCTCACTTTTAGGCTGGGCGTGGTGGCTCACGCCTGTAATCCCAGCACTTTGGGAGGCCGAGGCGGGCGGATCACAAGGTCAGGAGATCGAGAACATCCTGGCTAACACGGTGAAACCCTGTATCTACTAAAAATACAAAAAAAATTAGCTGGGTGTGGTGGTGAGCACCTGTAGTCCCAGCTACTCGGGAGGCTGAGGCGGGAGAATGGCGTGAACCCAGGAGGTGGAGCTTGCAGTGAGCCGAGATGCCACTGACTCCAGTCTGGGCGACAGAGTGAGACTCCGTCTCAAAAAAGAAAAATCACTTTTGGTGATTGCAGTAATTCAATAGGATAGTAGAAATTACAGGGCACCTTGGGTTTGGTGGTAACAGAAAGGATGCTGATGCTTCATTTAAGGAAAGTGGCAGTGTAAAGAAGGAGATAGAGAGTGCCATAAGAAGGAAGGCTGGATGCAGTAGCCCATTCCTGTAATCCCAGCACTTCGGGAGGCCAGTTGGAAGCCAGGGTGGGCAGATTGTTTGAGCTCAGTTTAAGACCAGTTCGGGCAACATGGCAAAACCCTGTCTACAAAAATAGAAAAATTAGCCAGGCATGGTGGCTCATATCTGTAGTCCCAGCTACTTGGGAGGCTACAAAAGGAGGATTGCTTGAGTCCGGGAGGTCAAGGCTACAGTGAGCCGTGTTCAAGCCACTGCTTCCTGGATGACAGCCAGACCCTGTCTCAAGAAGGGAAAGCAGAATCAACAGAATAGTGGTTTTTATTTTGTTTTACAGATAATACACAGACATATTTGTGTGTTCATGAGTTAGTTAAGGAGTTGTATGTTAGGATAAAGATAGGCACTTGACAAGTCCTTTGAGGAATGGCATGGAATAGCGTCTAAGGCATTGGTAGCAATTAGCTTTGGCGATGAGGCAAGCTGTCTTTGTAGTCTAAGTAAGAAAGATCTTCACATACGTAGATGTAAAGAAAGACAGGAATATTAATCTGATGTTTCTTTGTAAAGCAGGTATGGGGTGAAGCCATATGCTGCAAGTAGACAGGTGAAGGGTGTTATTGGAAACTTAAGAGAAAAAGGTCTAAACTACTTGTATACCTATACCTTGGCAAATGGCCAAGAATGATGTGCACCTGGAGAAGAATCTGTTTTTTATCCCTTTCATTGCTTATAGTTGCTAAGGCATGCCTCAGTGTGAGCACTGGGACCTGATGAATGAGATTCTAATTTTTTGAGGTACATATTTTTAGCATAGGAAAGCTGTGGTTTCACTGGAAAAAAAAAAAAAAAAAGAAACTACTTCATTGGGTTTATTCTGTTACCCTTCCTAAAGGATTTTCCAGGGGAGACTGACTTTTACGTGATTGTTGTGGTTTCCTTCTCTTTTAAAATATTTCCATTGTTTTGTAATTTTTCAGACATTTAGAAATAAATTGATTTCTAAAGGACTAACCATAACGATACTTTTTGGCCCAAGTGAAGTGAACCCCATGGTTTAGATTTGTCAAGTGTTTAATAGGAATTCCTTTTGCCAAGAGGTAGAAACCAGTATTCTTACAATTTAAAAAGTAAATAAAAAAACACTTTTTCACGTATTCTCAAAAATGTATCTGTATTTTGGTAACTTTTTTGTTTTAATATTTCAGATACAGATATATTTTGGAAACTTTTAATATTTCAGATACACATATTTGTGGTTGGAAATATATTTGAGGTTGGAGATGGCTTTCTTTTTGGCTTAAGTGAAATCTTGAAGAATTGGTTTATATTTAGATTTCCTGGCTTGATTTTATAAGGCAGTCTTTTAGGAATAGGATTGTTGGCAGAAGAAATTATTGCTATTACAGTACAGTCCTTTATACAGTGTTGCTTATTGGAGGCATTTGCAAGGCTCATTTGTGAAAGGAGGCATCTCCTTCTTTAAGATGAAGTGTAGTTTAACTCATCCGCATGAGACATTTTCCACTGGGTCTCCTTACTGGTGCTGCTGAGAGCACGGGAGATGGGCATATGCCCCACAGCTATGGCTGCAGCTCCATCTGGGAGCATTACAGTGGCTGCTGAGACTGAGAGTCTCTGAAAAAACTTGTCTGTCACTTTGCGACGGTAGCCCCTGGTGAATAGGAGACCCTTTTCCAAACCCAGTTAAATGTATTTAAGTATGAAAGGCTAATAGAGTTAATAGAAAAAAGATTAAAATTGCACCTTTGGACTCTCTGAATGATTTTTTATTCGAAACACTTTTCTGAAATAATGACCTTTGTATTTAAATTGCATTTTTCTTGCATATATATAAAGCATTGAAACAGGTGGACTCAAGCCATTCCTCTGTCTCTTTTCTGGCACTGTAGTTATAGATGTAAGCAGAAGAACAGCTTGTTTGAAGTAATGGCATGTTTGAATGTTGTCTTTCTCTTTCTTCTGCCAGGGAGGACATGTATGCCCAGGACTCTATAGAGCTACTAACAACATCTGGTATCCAGTTTAAAAAACATGAGGAGGAAGGAATTGAAACCCAGTACTTTGCAGAACTTCTTATGACTTCTGGAGTGGTCCTCTGTGAAGGGGTCAAATGGTTGTCATTTCATAGGTAAAACGACTACATTGAAAATGGCATTTGTTTTTCCATCTCATACTTGCTCCACACTTACTTGGGTCACTATGTTAGCAATTTCAGGTTTAATTCTGGAAAGAGTTGACTGCCATATAGAGTTGTCTCCTAACTCTTAGGAGGCTAATGTTGGTCTGCTTAAAGGTTAATTTAAAATATGGGATCCATTTTTGCCTGTGAGAAGCATGTTGCATAGTGGAAACAGTACAGGTTCTCTAAAAAGTGAAAGACCCTGGTTTAAATCCAGCGGCGCCATTTGGAATTGGTGTTACCCAGGGTTTTCTTTTACTATTTCTACACCTTAGTTTTTAATGTTCTACGGGGGAAACCATTCACTTACATTTACACAACGTTATTGAGTATTTACCATATGGCAGGCACTGAGATGAGATTCTAGGAACTAAGGTGTGAATAAAACAGATGAAAATTATTTTCCTCATGGAGTTTATATTCTCATGGGGGTGGGCAGACAGTTTTTAAAAATGGAGTTCACGTTGTGATTTGTTAGATAGTGATAAGTACTATCTCAAAACAGCAAAGAAAATGCTAGGGATGGGTGTGGAGATGGATTTTAATTTTTTTTTAAAGTGATAAGGCATCCCTTAGAAGAAATAGCTTGAAGACTTGTTTTAATGGTCACCAAAATACTTTATAAACAGTAAATTCTCAATAAGTGGTGGTTCTAAATTCTTTATTGTTATGAAACTAGATTATTTAAGAGTGTTTCTGGTAAGGAAACTATTCCGATTTTGTGAAATAGACTTCCAGGTATGAAAAAGAGTTTTCCCATCTAAGTAAACTAAACTGACGTTCCAGGGACTAAAAGTAACCTTCAGAATGATATTGGCTTTTGTTAGGTTTTGAAAAAGCATTGTGTTACATAGATGTTAATACTCTCATACTTGGTCCACTTCACACATGTATCTTAAATCTGAGTCTCCTGCATGTTTAGTTTCTGTCTCTGATCTGTGGGATGTTTATAGTGAAGGACTGTTCATGTGGGCAACTTTGATGTGTACTAACCAGAAATGGTTGAGTTGTAGGTACTGAACACACTCATTCTTACCTATCATCTTTTTTGTCTCTTCTGCACTTGAACTTGTACCTTAGGAAACATAACTTAAGACTCTTGATACAAATACCTTTTTTTTAGTCATTTTTCTTCCCTAGATATGAAGGTGCAAAAGAACTGGAAAGTATTGCCCTTCCCTTTTACTGTATATGACATACCCTTTCATTTAAAAAATACTCTGACAAAATACAGTGCACTAGGCACTGGGTATTAAGATGAACAAAAACAAACAGGGTTCATTCATGTCTTCTTGGAGTTTAGAATCTAAGTTAGACTGATATATTTGAATATTTATCAAGATAGAAGATTTTATTCCATTAAATATCATTAGTTGTTTTCCTCATATTCTAATTTCAAGTAATGAAGAATAGTTTAAGAAGTTTATAAATCCTAAGCGCTAATATAATCTTTTAATGTTAGTGAGCAAATGTCATATAGGCTTCCTGTTAGAGGTCCTTGGAAGGAAAGGTAGACAAGGGACGGACGTGTCTAAGTGGCCTGGGAGTGTAGGGAGACAGAAAGCTGTGCGAAAGGCCGGACAAAGGGAGAAGAGTTCTGGATTTGAGAGTGTAGGAGTTTGCATTTTATGATCAAGAGAGTAGTTATTTTTTTACTACCCTTCACTTCTTCCATGTGCAGCATTTCCATTAATAATGACTCTTAGGGAGCCACACTGAAAGGAAGAGAATTGTGAAGGAAGAAAAGGGAGAGACTACTTAACACAGTCATTTAAGAGAAGTGAAAATACCTTGTTACAGTCTTATTCTTTGGATAAAGTATATGACCACCTTATGTAAAAGTGGGATGACTTGCATTACTTTTGTCTACCGAATGCCAGTTCTCTTGCTACCTTTGCTAACTCTTCTGGCCAAGTTTCCATTCATCTTTATTTCTCCATTTCCATAGTTACTTTAAAAAATATTTTGAGACATCTGTGGGCAGCTTGATACTCTTCTTGGTGTTCTCTATTCAGATATCAACAAAATAGTATTTTATTGACCATAGGCTGGTTTGGTAGTGTAGGTCTGTGTTGATATCTCTGAATAATAAAGTGATAAAGTTCTTAATACTGTAAGATGACGACATTTTCTCATAGTTCTCAATATGTTTGTTTTCTCTGTTCTTGTGTGCACTTCTCTTTAATGTTTTTGGGAGGGCTCTAGTGTGACTTGCTTAAATTTGAATCAGAAAAACTTTTTTTTTTAATCTTTATAGTATTTATATGTCCCTCTTCTCTATTCTTTTAACCCTTTTATAGCGGTTACGACTTTGGCTACTTAATCAAAATCCTAACCAACTCTAACTTGCCTGAAGAAGAACTTGACTTCTTTGAGATCCTTCGATTGTTTTTTCCTGTCATTTATGATGTGAAGTACCTCATGAAGAGCTGCAAAAATCTCAAAGTAAGGCTTCGGATGGCATTATCTACAGCAGCACACTGTTCAGACCAAGTGACTGTCATGCGAGCCTAGGCTGGGATGTTGTTTTAAACCATATTTTAAAGTATTACAGTGAATGCAATTATATTATCTGGTCATGTGATTTTTTTTCTTGCATACATAATTTGTAGGGAATCCTTTTTTCAGAGCTTCAGTATGTCTTGGCAGAAGGCAGAATTTTCAACACATTTCAGGCTTAGGTCCGGTTCTTGTCACTGCTTGCCAGATTGAAAATCACAAACCAAAACACAAATCTGAGGACATTGAGGCTCTCATATGCACGCCATTGTGAGTTGTTACTTTCTCCCAAGACGCATAGAATCTGTTCTTACAAGGTGGAATCTAAGGTGGCCAGCGATATGCAGATGTATTTAGTAGTGTGGCAAAAGTTTTTCTTTCCTTTTGGCTTATCTTGGCTAGAAATTATTTTGTCAGTTCTAGTGATAGGATAATGCTCCTAGGATTAAACTATATAGCTAAAAGATTTTTCTGTGGCCAAAAGATGTCAGCTTGTTACAGTTAAGTACTATGGGAAATGTGTAGGTCCTGCCTAGATAGTAGTAACATTTTGACGCTGCATAACATGTATTTTTAAATTCTAAACATTAATTCTTTTTTTGTTTTTGAGACGGAGCCTTGCTCTTGTCGCCCAGGCTGGAGTGCAGTGGCGTGGTCTCGGCTCACTGCAACCTCCGCCTCCCGGGTTCAAGTGATTCTCCTGCCTCAGCCTCCTGTGTAGCTGGAATTAACAGGTGTCCATCACCACACCCAGCTAAATTTCGTATTTTTAGTAGAGTCGGGGTTTTACCGTGTTGGTCACGCTGGTCTTAACAGATAACTGAAGATGAGAAGCTTTCTTTTGGCCAGTGTTTACCTTTAATACATGATATGGTCAGCATATGACTAGAGAAATTTTCAAGAAAGATTATTTTATGTTTGTAGCAGTAGACTTCTGTGTAATTTGAGGGGACTTCCAGGAAGTGAACTTGCAGTAGGGTATCCCTTGCTTGAGAAATTCAGCCCACCCTGTGAAAGCACTGCATGCTGAGGCCTACATGTTTTCATCTGACTTTTTTTTTAATTGACATGTCTGTATAATGATAGTTTTCAGGAACAGGGAACCAAATTATTGCTCATCATGTGGTTGTTACTGGGAAGTTTCTAAGTACAGATATTCTGAATGTGTCCTGAGTAAGCTGCTGTGTTAAAATTCAGGTTAACGACAAAGGTGCTTTTTGACCTATAGTCAGCCATGCTGTTCTATTCAGTTCTAGTTCTGTTCTCCTAAGCAGCTGCTAACGATACCTAATCCTCGTGCTATTTTTAGCGCAGAAGCAACTGCTGTGCAAAGCCTTGTTTCAAGCTGTGATGCACAGAAGGGCCATTTTGCCGGTGGAGGCCTTAACAAGTTAGAGAAGAATTTTTGTTTTGTTGTTGGTGTTTCTTTCCTTCACGCTCTACTTATTCTCCCCTCCCTTTACTCTCCTTGCCTGTCCTCCCACTTTCTTTCCTTCTGTTACTGTCTTTCTCTTTCTTTCTTTCCACTCTTTCCACTCTCATCTTTCTTTTTTAATCTTAGGAGTATTAACATAGGTGGATTATAGCAGACCACTCTAAGGAGTTGTGTGCATATACTCGTCTTAACTAAGAAAACCATAGTGAAGCATTTAGCATACTCTTAATGATTATTCATAATGGCTTTGTTTTGTAAAAATTAAGTGAAAACTACAAATGGATGGTGGGAAGTTTAAGAAAATATGAAAAAAATGGTGTTATACTAGCTTTTCAGTTTTATAATTATTACTGGATTGATAGACTATGAGTGTACTTGATAAATATTACCCTATATGTGGTCTGCTTCCTTCCCATATCTAGGAGAGTATTTACCTGTCATATGCCCTAAAACATGATGAAAATACATTTTCCCAATTAGGATCTTGTTTTCTATTAAATGATACTTTTTCCGCATTCAACAAATACATTAGTAATTCACATTCTCTGTTTCTTCCCCCCAATCTTTATAAGATTCACCTTTACATACTAAAGTTTATTTTTATTTTGGTCAGCGTCTAAGTTTATAATTTGTGAATTTAGGCCTTGTAAGATTTTTCTTCTTGACAAGCAATTTTTTATTTTTTCTAGGGTGGATTACAGGAGGTGGCAGAACAGTTAGAGCTGGAACGGATAGGACCACAACATCAGGCAGGATCTGATTCATTGCTCACAGGAATGGCCTTTTTCAAAATGAGAGAAGTATGAAGACATCACTGCCTTTTTCTCAGTTGGTTGTTAGGTTGAGAACATTAAAAATCTTGTGGCCAAAGATTTTGGGCAACAAGTACCTACTAAGTAAAGATATAATTAGAGATACCATATGAGTCACATCCACCACACTTAAAAGTATTCAAAAATAAGTCATCTTGAAATGTAGTTCAGAAGGAACTGGGAGAACATGTTCATCATAGAACCAACAATTTTAAAACATAAACTACCTGAGAAGTCATGTAGGTCCAACCATATTATTTCTCAGGTGAGAAAACAGGCTAATAACTTCCATGATTAAACACATTACTAGTGGGAGAACTCCAGAGTTCTTTTCTGACTCCCATTGGTGCTCCTCCTACAAGGCAAGGAATCTTTATATTAGGTTTATTCTAGCATGACCCCTTTTAAGGTTTAAACTGGTGATAAATATATTATTTGCTCATGTCATTCTTCAGTGCTTTGAAGATTTTATAGAGAAGAACTCAGGCTCTTTTACTGCATTGAGTCTTAAAAGGGGGGTTGAATTCCGAAGGGATCAAATAAATCCAACGTAGTAGTTGCATCAGAAACCATATTAGGAAAACCCTCCTTAAACGGCAAAAGGCAGAGATCAGTTCCTTGAGTATAAAGTGTTAGGGATGGAAGAATGAAACTAAATGAACCCATTATCTACTCCTAAGTAATTAAGTGATGTGCACAGATACACCTAGCTATAGGTAAACAGGAAAATTGGTTGTGCAAAAAACAAGTGAGGTTTTTCTTGACTATAAGTTTTCCCTTTTGGAAAAATTCGCTGTGGATTTGAGTATATTTTCTCTTAGACATTAAATTGAGACTGAGAATTTAAAACTTTTTGTAGCAATGTATTGATAATAGAAAGCATTAAAGCTGTTTTGCTAAGTAGTGTTGTTGATTCAGAAGTGATTTGGACTATCCATTCATGACACGTAAATATTTTGTTTTGGACTCCTTCCAATTGTTTCATTAGATAATTGAAACAACCTTTTGGATTTTTTAGCTTTGCATTTTAAAAATGTCTTAATGGTTTATTTAACTAAAGGTGGATTTCTGGCACTAATTTATCTTTATTTTTCTTGGCTTCTTCAAGGACAGTAATAGAGTGTGAATGTTTGGATTTTACTGTCCATGACTTTATGGTTTGATCATTTATAGCCAGCTCAGCCTTGCATACAGATTTAAGACAGTTTATGAACCTAAACTTTTTTTCCCCCACCATCATTGGCTTTCTTCATTCTTGAGTATTGTTAAATTAATGGAATAGTTATTTTTCCATGATGAAAAATTCTTATAAAAATGGTCTAAATGGAAAAGACATGCATTTATACACTTTTTTTGTAGTCTCTTTCTTTGGTTTCTGAGCTCTGTACTTTTGAGGACATTAGTCTTACTCATTGAACTGAAATGCGTAGCCTCAAAGGAACACCATAGAAAAGAGCCATCATTATTGTCAGTGAACAGTCAGTACTTACATTGCTGAAATATAAATTACAAGTGGTTCCTTTTGGTTAAAATTATCTTTTTTTTTTCTTCAAAATTCCTTTTTAGATGTTCTTTGAAGATCATATTGATGATGCCAAATATTGTGGTCATTTGTATGGCCTTGGTTCTGGTTCATCCTATGTACAGAATGGCACAGGGAATGCATATGAAGAGGAAGCCAACAAGCAGTCATGACATGAAATAGTCCTTTTATTTTTATTTCGAGCTACACACATGCTTGTATATAGGTTTTATCTCTGGTTGAATCCCTCGAACAATAGACAGTACCTTTCCCCCCCCTTTCATGGCCCATTTTATTGTCTGCCTTTCAGTACTAAGTATGACCGTTCCTATCTCAGATCTTAATAAAAAGAAAAAAAAAAACGCATTCAGGTTAAATTTGGCCTTAATTTAATATACTTGTTAGCAAGCGTGTGTGACAGAGAGTGGGGAAAGCTACATCATTGAATATTTTGATAAACTTTACCGACTTGAGTTTGGTTTATTTTTCCCTTTTCCTAAATTAACTAGCACTGACTGTAATTTATTTCCCTGTTTCACGTCTCTCCCTTCCATTCTGCAGGAGTTTTAGCTATTTGAGATCGTGGACCATCAGTTTTGCACTTTAGAGAGTGTTTCTGACTCTAAACCTGTTTTATCAGAAAATTTGTTTTTTCTTGATCTTAGCTGGAAAAATCTGCCAACTTTACACAGTATTTACTTGGTTTTGACCCACAGAATATAGCACGTTGTGCAAACTGTCGATTCAGCGAAACTTAAAAAAGACAAGAAACTACTGAGGAGCTTAGTAACTGCTGTTTCTGTACGTAGTGTTTAATCTTCCAAGCACATCTAGTGTCTGTCAGTTTCTAATTGGCATGTGTAGGCTGCTCTGTGACTGAAGAATTTTCAAACCAGCTTTACACCCTTCAGGAAAAATCCCTTGTGATTGGATGTTTACTATCTGCCAGGAAACTGGTACTCAAGATGTTGAAGCTACAGTTATTTTATGATAGCACACTTCCCTTGATCTGCTTATTTTTATTCCATCACCATTTACCCTTTTTTTTTTTTTAAATTTTGTAGCCATTCTTATGATGCTCTTGATTTGTTGGTTACACAAATCAATTTTATTAAAAATCCAAAGATAAGTCTTTAGGTATATTTTGTACCAAATTAAATTAGAAGACAAAAATTGTGCTTTCATAGTTGCTACAAAGGTAAATAATGGAGAGATTTGGTACAAAACAACAAAATATATATATATTCTCATATATATATATATAGCTGATAAAATTACCTGAGGAGTGTAATGCTTATTTTTTTGTGTATATCTTTGCAATCTATTTTATATATATTGACAAAAGAGACTGTGAAATACTTAGCCATGCAGAATATGTGACCAGACCAGAGCATGTGTAGGAAGACTTTACGGTAATCATTAACTCTACCCCGAAATGATGGACTACAAGTTATAATGTGTGTTACCTACACTTCAATCAGTAATATTAGCAAATCTCCAAATGTTAGTCACATTGGTTTGTCTCCCTTGTACATTCTTTATTCATGATATTACAGTGCTGTAACTGGGTGGTCCTTTTTAAACAAAACATTATTTGCAAAACAGAGGGTATTATTTGTTTTTAAAGCTTTTGTAAATAAAGGCTTCAAAATGTTTTCTTATAAATGTTGATGACTGGTGATTTTCTTTTGGAAATACTTATTTGGGGGATATTGTTCATTTTTATTTGGGCAACTCAACAGAATTCAGTAACTTCCTTCATTAACCCTAGATGATTATTAGTCCATTAATTGAAAAATCAGTCTGAGTTTTCTGCATTTCAAGTGTTGGCTTATTCTTGTTCTTTATGAGTACCTCAACTAGCTAATTAAGGACTGACTTCTGTTTCTCCTTTCCAGGAATGCATTTATTCCGAAGGATATACTTCACAAAGTAAATACATTTGGTATAACTGTGGCTTTTTAAAAAATCTAACACAATGTAGTAAGTTTCTAACTGGCTTCTTTTGTCTTCGTTAAAAAGGAAGTGAAGCTTCTTTTCGCTTGTGATTTGTTAGCTGAGAAAACTAATATTTAAATTCTGTTCAACTATTTGAGAAATCAATGCTGGATTTCAAATAGGAATGATAAAGATTGCCTTTTTATTAGCCACATAGTTGCTCAATCTCATAACTTGTATCATTTCTGGCTTCTGTCCCTAAAAAGTATAGATAATCCCTAACTTACTTTCGACTTAATGATTTTTCAACTTTACAGTGGGTGTATTGAGAGGTAACCCCATCAAAAGTTTAGGAGCGCCTTAGGACCAAAGATGGGGTTATAGTTTCTACTGAATGTGTATTGCTTTTGCACCATTGCAAAGTCAAAATTTATAACTTGAACCATCGTAAATTGGGGGACTGTATGCTGTTGCCTGCATTAAATGCATCTTAGTATTTTTTCAGATGTAACCTCATTGTAGGTTGAGCAACCGTATAGTGTAACTTTTGTAGAGGAACATTTTGACTTTTACTGGGTCTAAGTTTTACTTTTTTATTTTGTTCCAGACAGTCTCAATGTTTGTAAAGTCTAGGTTCCAGATGTAAGATATTTGGCTGATATTTTAGTGTTACTGAGCCATTAATTAATTACAGGCTCATATATTCTGTTAAATCTACTAGAGCAAGGGTTGTCAAACTATGGCCCGTAGCCAGAATCAGCTTGCTGCCTGTTTTTGTGTGGCCCATGAACTGAAAATGGCTTTTAAATGGTTGGGAAAAATAATCAAAAGATTATTTCCTGACATCTGAAAATTACATGAAATTCAAATTTTAGTGTCTATAAGTTTTTATTGGAATGCAGCCACACTAATTTACATATTATCTATGGATACTTTTTTGCTATAATGGGAAAGTTGAGTAGCTGCTACAGAACCTGTGTATGTGTGTCTTGTTTCACATTGCCGCTTGGCAAGCTACAGAATCATGGTGATGCAGATATTACCTGAAAGCATTTGGAATGCCCTGTGTATTGCTAGATTTATTACTTTTTCTGCTACCAGTTCATGCCCTGTATCTCAGAACAAGAAAAGTACCTTTGAATGTTACACTTTCAAGGCACATTGGAATATGGACTATTTTATTATATGCTGGTACATTGTGTTTATAATGCAGTGTCACCATAACTGGTAAAAGAATAGACTGACAGTATCAGACTAACATCACAATATTCCCAACTGGTGGGAAAGCAACAGTCAGAAGAATTAGAAAATTTAAATGAAACATCACAGCAAAATTTCACAAAAGTAATAAAAATGAGGCTGCAACCAAAATGTTTACAAGTAGCCTATTTGTTAGCCAAGCAAAGAAAACCATTTACTAATGCTGAATTACATCGTGCTTGAAGATAGTAACCAACCCAAAGACATGTGTCCAGAGAAAATTAAGACATCAGCCCTTTGATGAGAACAGTAGTTTGAAGAATGAGGATTTTGGACACAACATCAAATGACACTGTTAATTCTTTGCCTCTTACTAGTCAGTACTGCCTAGCTTTATTTTTTGAGAAACCATTGCTGGATTTGAAGTGATCGAAGAATTTGTATGGAACTACAAGTGGGAATATTTTCAAAAAAGTTGATAAACAGTACAACCTGAAGTGGAATCTACTAAGATGTGATGCAACCGATGCTGGGAAAAATGCATGAAGCAGAAAAAAAGTTTATTTGGTCAAATTTTAAGGCTTGTGAAAACGTAAGTTGTTTAAAGCCTGTAGTTACTCACTTGATTATTCATCAGCAGGTACTTCACAGGAAATATTGGTGTTACTGAACTGGTCAACAGTTAACTTCATTTGCTCTTGTGGACTTAACCATCTTCAGTTCCATGATTTTTTTTTTTTTGTGAGAAACAGAAGCTGAATATCCTGATTTGATTTGCCACACAGGCGTTCAATGGCTTAGCAGTGCTAAAGATTTATTTTTATTTTTTTGGGCTCTGGGCTGACATTGAAATTTTTCTGAATGAGAAAAACCATCCTCAACCACTGTTTTTTAACACTGAGTAACTTTGGAAATTAACTTTTGCCACAGACTTGAAAATGTTTCTTAATGAATTTGACCTGAAATTACAAGGTACAACAACATAATATGGTAAATTCATTTCAATAAAAACTAAAACTTAAGATTGTCAAGCTGCTTTATATACTTTCTGTGCTATGAGAAGTCAAAACAGCGCTGTATTGCCAAATCCATTTTTAGTGGATATATTTTCCTGTAGCAGTTTTTTGGACCTTGATGCAGTGCAAAGAAAATTTTTAAATTTTAAAAGCATTTAACTGCAATTAAATGCTTTTAAAGTTTCCTCTTAATCTTCTGTTGGAAATGAATCATCTTGAATGAATGACATGCTAAAGGGCAAATACCAAAAAGATGAATCCTACAAATGCCTTACAAGTGATGAATATGCTTAACTAAAATCACATGCTCATGGGTGGATGTGTCAGTATTTAGCAGTACCTTGACCTGTTTGTGTGAAAAGACATTTTCAAAGATGAAATACGTGAAATCCCATTACACATCAGCATTAACAGATTAACATTTTCTATTTATTCCAATGAGGGGATACCAACTTTCAGCCCAAATTGAGCAAAATGTTACCTCCCGTCCCCTGCCAAAAAATCCCATTATTCCCATTAGTAGAACTCTATTACTAAAAAAAGAAAAAAAAATTGTACTCAATATTTTGAGTTTTCAATTTTTAGAATAAAAATTTGGTGAAAAGTTTCCTTGAGTACCTAAATAATGTCCTTCATTTTGTCTTAGCTTGCAAAGCCTCTAATATTTGCTACCTGCCCTTTTCAAAAAAAAAAAAAAAAAAAAAAAAAAGGCTTGTCCACCTCTCTACTAGAAGAAACTCAAGGGTCTATGTCTGTCCTGTTTGCTATTTCATCTGCATTGCCAAATGCAGTGGCTCCTCTGGGTAGGCAACCTGAGGTGGAATCAAATTATGAATGCATATGTTATCTCATGTCTATAAAATAAATGTGTTAGAATTTATAAATAAAGGGATAGGAAAAATGCTGATTATTCTGTGTGTCGGTGCTTTGTAGTGAAGGCCAGTTCACACATGCCATTTGCTATGTTGGTGTAATTTATATGAGAGTTTCTTTTATAACAACGTTACCTGTCATTTATTTTTCTATTAAGACATTATAGAAACGTAGGACTGTACACATCCAAATCCTGCAGAATTTTCATTTCAGGTTTTGAAAGTTAAAAAAATGTCACCATAGAATGAAAATTCCAAGAAAACAAGATTCATGTACATTATCACTAGACAATTTCCATTTGTTTTAAACAGTTTTCTACAGCATTAGTTACATTTAACGTTTAGTATAAAAGCAATTGAGCAATTTCTCTTTAGAAGTCCATTTCATTGCTTTGTAGCCATAGTCTGTAGGTGAATGAACAAGCTACATTTCTCCAGAATTACTCATTTTCTTTTTAAAGATAAACTGGTCAATACTCTCCTTCCTGGTATGGAGGAATTTTTTGTATATGAGAAGCATTCATGAATATAATCTGCCCTCTTGCTTTATTGTCATAGGAGGGGAAATTCACTGCTTTCACACCCTTCTGTTTTGGCTCTTTCTCCCAAAAGATAAGAATCTTTATTTAGTATCATACCAAGAAATTGGAGTTCCTTTAGCTTCAGACTATCATCATGGCTTCCAAATTGTTAGGAAATACAAGTTTGCAAGACCCCAAGGGGACTTAATATTTTACATCTTACTAGCCATGTCATAGGTTTTAAGTGCTTTTAATGGGGAACTGTTTCACTCATGCCATATACCTGTTTTGTTTTTCTAAAAAATTAATACTGTAAGTTGTGAGCAGGTGTCTTGTATCACTGCGAAACCCATGCATAATAAAAACTTGTTCTTGAGCTATATGTGTGTATACAGACTTTCCTTCCATTCATTGTAGCCATTCTGGGGCTGTCCTCTACTTCTTGCCTAAGTATATGTTTTTTAAATAACTTTAGCACATTTGCATGCTACTCCAAGATGAGTTTATAATTAAGGTTGCTTTTTAAAGTATTCAGCTTTCACACAATAAGTGTTTGATTAGTTCATTTAAGATGTTTTCAATTAGGGAGCCATACATACTGACAGAAAAAGACACAAAATCTAAACTGACAAAATAGCCTTGCTCTCATAACTGAGAAAAATACAACAGGAGAACTGACGCATTCTGTAGTATCTTTTTAAATTCAGAATCAACGGAATTTTACCTTGAAGCATTATGCGTTTTTTTTTCAATTGATTAAGCACCTTTATCAATCAAACAGAAGCAATATATTAAGCATTAATAATTTCAGGTAGGATTCAGCTCCTTGTACTGTTAAACCTTCCCCGGAAGATGCAACATAAATCATAGGTTTTCATAAACCATAAAGTAGTACTATTTTTCCTGAGCAAAAGGGAACTAGCCATAAACCAGGGCTTAAAATAACTTATTAAAAGTTTCCCTTTGGTTTAATTGCTACTCAAATCACTCAGATGATTAGCCTTAACAGACATTTTCCCCCAATTGTAAACAATACAGAAATACTGAATACTGGCTATGAACATCAAAAAGATCTATTTTTGAACATTTTTCACCAGTTTGTTTTTGCCCTCACTTTCCTGCAACAAGAAAGGTCTGCAAATGATTAAAAGTGTCTTCTGTTGGCATTGCCCAGGTTATTGTATTTGAACTTTTTGCTGGTATAAGAACAATTCTCAGCGGTGTTGGTGATTGAGCTATTAGATACCTGGACTGCATCATCATAGTTCTTTGCTCACATTTCAAGGAGACTATTTTGAGGAAGGAAAAAAAAAATGGGTGCCCTGTTTCAGAGTCTCCTGAAACACTCAACATTGTTCTGGGAGATACTTCATATTCATAGTTGATTCACAGGAGTCTCTTTGAAACAAGCCTACTTGATTTCATCCTTTCAGTGATGTCCACTGTTTACAAGCCAGGGCACTACTACAATAAAAAAATCTTATGGAAAAGAGAAAAGGAAAATGCATGGTTTGCAACATTATAAGGTTTAACAATTTCCTGTGTTCTGTAACAAAATAAGATCCTTTGGTAATAAATTCTAAAGGAAATCTGGTGGGGAACAGATTGCTCAGTTGTAAAATCTAGGTTAATGTTGGCTTCTACTTAATGCTTTTCATGGCGTTACAAGATCATATTGCTAACACTTGCAATAAAAAGTAGAATCTAGGAATTTTTACCAAGACAGTGAGAAAATTCTAATGGTATCTTTGTAAAAGAGTAATACTTCAGGTATGTAACATAGTCTCCTTCCACATATAAGAGGAAATCGGTGCTGAACTGGCTAAGTATGTGGAAAAGAAGTGTAAAACATTTGGGATTAAGCCACGTGGTTTTCTGCTTTAGAAGAACACGTTTCTGCAGAAAGATATTAAACACGTGTTATTTGTGAAAAATCCACTTGTTTAAATGTCACTTTGGTGAAAATATTCACAGATCAGAATCTGTAGTCTAGGTGTGTGGGTGGGATGGTTGTGCTGGAGGACACCATCATGATTTACAACGTAAACTGCTTTGCATTTACCATTTTCTGAGGTTTGTATCTATGTTTGATCAAAGGTATCAGAACCATCACTTTTACAAACAAGTATTTGACCATATAAGTAAATACCAAATGATACAGTACAATTTCAGAATCAGCCGAGCCCGTTTACATGCATTTCAAAATAGGGAAAATCTGCTAGTTTATAACATAATGGAGTAACACTTTTTTCATATATTTTCTTGAAGCATGAATCACATGATTGCGTGCCTAATTTTTTATAAACATGATTTATATCTTTGATTTCCCTAGTTAAGTGTTTGTCAACATATGCCATATTTCCAATAGTTGTCTATTGATTACAGTGTAGTTGAGTTTTATAGTCTGTTTCTAATTGTCCTCAGAATCACTTAACTACTACAAAGTAAATACCTTATTTTCTCACCACCCCTCCCAAGACCTATGTTATGGCCACATTGAAGACATGAATTTTGCCATTAGTAGCTCTAATAAACTATTAGGAAAATTTATGCTTAAAATAATTTACATTGTCAGTGCAAAGGCAGTTTCTTATAGACAGATAATGTAGGTGATCAACCACTTTATTAGGGTATATTAGGAGTGAATTCATGGATATGAACTTCATTGAATGCATCATGATTATATTCAGATGCAACTGTTCTTTAATATATCTTTGAAATAACAATCCTCTTCCCTACATAATAGCAAATAACTAACGTATATGAAGCATTGGTACACTATTTTTAATGCAAAATTTCTTAAATCTTGATTCCTATATAGTAAAATCTATAAAAGCAAGAAAAATCAAAATTATCAGTTTAATGGACAATAAGGACAGTTGAAGTATGTGTCTTCAAGTTCGAGTTAAGCCATTAAATTTTTTAAAGTAAATACTTAAAGGTAAATTTTATATAAATATGTACAAAATGTAGATCTATTTATTTAGCACTTTGTTCACTCAGATAAATTTATATTGCATATCTAATGAGATATGCAATCATCTCCAAAGATTATAACTCCTATAATTCAAAACAAAACAAAACAACCCTTTAAAGGTTATTCACTATATGAAAACAGAAAGGGAACAATTACAACAATGAAATTGTTTTAACTTTTTCAAATCTGATTCTAATGTGTATTGACATATATTTAATTATATAAAAGACTGTGGGAAAGGGGCATTAACAGTACTCTAGAAGAGTAAAGGATAAAAATCCCTCTTTTTCCCCTAGCTTCCAGTTTGACAAGAGGGAATACTTAATCGAATCCTGTCCACAAAAACAGCTAACAGTACTGTGCTTTGAAAAAAAAAAAAAAAAAAAAACAAACCTGACTTCATATAATTCTTAATACATCCTGTGCTGCTGTTGGTTTTTTTAAGACTTCTAGCAGTAGCTATAGGTTCCGGTCTGGCACTTTAGGTATTTTTAAAAATGACCAAAACGTGCTCTAAAATGAAAGTTAAAATGTTATCATATTTTCTGAGATTTCTTGAAGCAGATTGTCAGATGAAACTCTTCAGCATAATACAAATCTGTGAAAGACTGCAGATATTTCTATTGTTCAAAGAATTGCACTCAAACTATAAAATGGACTTGGCTGACATTGTTTCTTCCATAAGCACAATTAATATAAAACTATATTTTTAGGAAGGATAAGTAATTGCAATGATCTTTTATTCCATTATCCTCTGGCCTTCTAGTTTATTTTGTGTTGAATGTTTGGTTTAACAAAGATTTTGAAAAGTTTATTACCATTTTCTCTTTGATTAAATACCAATTACTTAGTTGGTCCAGTTTTAAAAGGTAATCTGCTTTAAATTCTCAAAATCAGTATCAAAAAAGCATACAGAGTATTATTCTAATTGTTAACATTTACATGAATTATACTGGACTCAAATAAAAAAAACTTTTTTTAAATAGTGCATACAAGGCACAAGAGCTTATTATATTTACTGAAGCTGAACATTCTGGCATCAACACACTTTAGTTTATCTCAAACTAAATTTCCAAATAGCATGCCATTTTAGTTCATGTTGAACTAACTTTCCAAAAGTTGTATGATTTTTATTTAATGATTTGCATAATTTAACTGTAATAGGTGTTTAAGGAAAAATATAGTTTACCTGTCATCATTTTGATGAGACGAGAAAGAAATAATATAGATATCACTGGAGGGTAAATCTATTGACCTATTAGGAATTCTTAAGAGAAATTCAATAGTTTTACTATGTTCAACAGGAGAAATAATCTAAAAAGAGATTTTTAGAAAGCCAAACTGACAAAAGAATGTCATAAAACAATCTTCATAATTGCTATCATAAATTTCCTCCCAATTTAACAAGAAGAGATGAAAATATATTTCTGATGTAATAGAAATGTACCGTATTCTGACAAAAGTATTCCAGCCAACTGCTTTGAGAGCTCAAGCTTCAATGTCCACACTTATTTTCCAGCAGAAAACAAAAGGCTGGAATTAAGTGAGGCAAAAATGGTTGATGATCTTCAACTGCAGGCCACCTGGACTCTGTAATGAATTCATAATTATTACAGTTCACTCAGTCTGAGGCTGGATTCACATCAGAGGAAAAAAAAGAAGTATGGTTTGCCACTTCCACCTTCTTAAAGGTAACAAGTTTTATGAATAATGCTTATCATTATAATGTGACTTGAAATCTCTGAAATCCTAATATCTTAATAGTCTCAATTTTCAGATTCGGAAAATCAGATGATTAATGGAGTTTCTATGTGATAAACTGTGCTACCCATATATTTGGGTAAAAACTGGTCCTTGGATTTATTCCAAGTTTTTTGGAGAAGATGTTTTCCCCGTTGATTAATAAACCAGAACTACTTTTAATATTTAATAGGAATTTGTGTTAGTTGTAACAATGTGTGTATTGGATCCAAAACATGTTATATTTTAAGCAATGGCTTGGAGAGAACTAATCAATTCATATTCTGCATTTCCAGCCAAAGGGACATAGGCACAACTGACTGGTGGCACCTTCCTGTGGGAAGCCTCTTCCATCCATCTACAGCATTGATACCTTGAAATGAAACAGAAAACATGAAACTACTATGTTAACCATAAACACGCAAAACAAACCAACTCATTTCATAATCTGTTTCAATAATATCCCTCATTCAAAACTGTTTACTATGCTAGCAGGCTCAGTAGACGTGCTCTTGAATATGGAACTCTACATCAATACTGCTCAAACTTTAATATGCATATACGAAAGGATCCTATTAAAATGCAAAAAAAAAAATTGCAGACTCTGATTCAGTAGGTCTAGGATAAGGCCTAAGATTCTGCATTTCTATTAATCTTCCAGGTCATGACAATGTTGCTGGTTTGGGGCTTCAATGTGAGTGGCAGGGTTCTATGTTGTTAGTTCTGCATTCATCTGAGGCTGAATGGAGTTTAGGAGTGGCAACTGAGTCAGGAAGGACATTTAGGGAAATGATTTTGAAACTTCATGTGCATAGAAGCACAGCTTTGTTTTGTTTTGTTTTGTTTTTTGAGACAGGGCCTCACTCTGTCACCCAGGCTGGAGTGCAGTGATGCGATCTCCATCTCAGCTTACTGGAAATTCCGCCTCCCTGGCTCAAGTCATCCTCTCATCCTCCCACCTCAGCCTCTGGAGTGGCTGGGACCACAGGCACATGCCACCACACCCAGCTAATTTTTTTTCTTTTTGTATTTTTGGTAGAGACGGGGTTTCACCATGTTGCTCAGGCTGGTCTTCAACTCCTTAGCTCAAGCAATCTGCTTGCCTTGGCCTCCGCAAGTGCTGAAATTACAAGTGTGAGCCACCACGCCTGGCCAGCATTTTTTATTTATACCATATGATAGGAAAGGTTGGTAAGCTAAATTTAATTTACTTTTTAGTACTAACTATGGGTTTAGGCACATTATAACCATCTGGAAACTGCTGAACAAACAAATATTTTATAAAAAGGTGACATCATTTACTATTGTAGTTCAAAAATAGGAGAAAAAATATGAAGTGTTTTTTTTCTGTTTTTTTTTTTTTTTTTTTTTTTTTTAGAGTCTTGCTCTGTCACCCAAGCTCCCAGGCTGGAGTGCAATGGCACGATTTTGGCTCACTGCAACCTCTGCCTTCTGGGTTCAAGCAATTCTCCTGCCTCAGCCTCCTGAGTAGGTGGGATTACAGGTGCGCCACACCACATCCGTCTAATTTTTGTATTTTTAGTAGAGATGGGGTTTCACCTTGTTGGTTAGGCTGGTCTTGAGCTCCTGACATTGTGATCCACCCATCTCAGCCTCCCAAAGTGCTGGGATTACCAGGCGTGAGCCACCGCGCCCGGCCAATATGAAGATATTTAATATAAATTAGGCACATCAGTATCAAACTATTATTTGATATAAATACAACTGGAATGAATTGCAAATCTGAGATGTAAAGCAGGAAAAAATTATTTTTAAAAGTCTAGTTTCTATTAGCTACTTTAGGGAAAGTTTAAGAAAACAAAACATGTTACTGCAACTGGTTGTATCGATAGAATAGAAAACATGACATCAGAAAATCGGGTATTTTTAGATCTATAGCGCTGATTCATGCTGCCATTTTGTGATTATGCCTAATCATGCCATATTTGAATTAATAAAATCAAGTTTCTGTCAGATTTTTAATTTCAATGTTTTAATTTTGTCACTTATCCATCAAATGTTGAGAAACTACTATGTGTCTGGCATTGTGCAAGGTGTTGGAGATAAATAACCACAATACTGGTATTGTCAAAATACTGGGAAGTCTCGATGGCTTTTATATAATATTACCATGTAAATATGTAAAACACTTAACACACAGAAAAATTCCTAATAGCACTGACCTTAAAAACAATGGTTATTGCAACTGATGATTTCAAAATATTGAAAAAAATCCTGTGAAATTCTATGTCTTACAGAACTATGTTCTGTATATTTTATTTGTGGTATTGGCTGGTAGTGACTCATATTTGCTATAGCTATACTCTAAAATTACATTCATAGTTACATTCTAAAATTATTTTCAGAAATTTAATAATGTCTTTGCTATTTAATCAAATTCAGATGAAATTTTCACTATTTTAACCAGTTATAGTCAGTCTGACCTACTGTAGCAACAGGTATTCAGAGCTGATCCTGCTCTTCCCAAAATCAGATACTAGTCAGCTGGCAAATTGCCAGGTCAGCATTTTGCTGACAATACATGGCTAACTTACCAAAACCAGAACAGACAAATAAAAACAGATATCCATGAACTTTGATGCAAATCATTTTGTTTTACAAGTGAATCTCTTGCTTTTCATAGACTTTAGGATTCTAGATTGCCGTTATGTAAAGAGAGAGTTATCTTGCTATCTTTAATATTCAGCTCGGTAAACTGTTTATTATATAGTTGTTTGTTCCAAAGGGGTTCCTTATTGTAGCTTTTTATTGACTGCAGGCTTACAAACAGATCATATTTTAAAGAAACTGATTTGGAACTGCAGGTTTAAAAAAAAATAAGGCTTAAAGAAAATGATTTGGAACACCTATTATTTTAAGGTTAACACATGCTATAAGGCCCTACTATGACCCAAAAATGGGAATGACAGTGTGCTAATGAGTACATTAATGAGATATAATTATATTGCACTTCGACTTAGAGTTTCCTAATGGATGGTCAAGGATATGACCACTGTATATTCTGAAAGATGAAGAAAAATTAAAAATAATTATTCTAACTTCCTATAAAATGACAAGATAATTTTTACATATAGTTCAGTATTTTAGGATTGATCCCTACCACTTAATGCATTAATATAAAATGACTCTTGTTCATCAACTTATTTATATAATTAATCAAGTTAACACAAATACCAGCTAATACTGAAGCTAGGTCTGCACTCAGAAGCCCCAGCATGGCTAATGCAATCTCACAAGTCAGGTAAAAGATCTTCTATATGAATCACTCACAAATTATTAAAAATGTTTATGGAAACTATTTGCCCTAATAAAATTAGAAGACTGTTAAAAATATAAAACAATAAAGGGAAAATTATCGTACTTTTATAAAGTATGAATTTATCTTGCTTGAAGAGTTAAGTCTCATTTTCCATGGTTAATGCAGGATTGCTCATACCTTAATGAAAGCACATAAGTTAGCATTTTTGGTTGCTTTTGAACAAATAGGCAGAAACTTCTTATTCATCTATGAATAAGGAATCCCTTGGTAGACTTCCAAAGGTGCCTTGTACATAATAAGGGTATATATAAGATGGTGATATAGAAACACACACACACCCGTTATACAGTGTCAGTTACAACCACTATCTCTCTCCCACACACACAAAACACTAAAAACAGAAATAGACATCTGAGGAAGTAGAGAAACATAATAATGAAAGATATATTGACCCACACTGCTCACATCAGCTTACATCAACGTTTCCAAATTCTTCCTCTACCAACCTCATTCTAGTCAAACCAATCTTTGAGCACTTTCTCACCTCATTTTTCTTGCTTCTTTTCCTTCCTATACATCATCCTTTACACTTTAAGTAGTTCTTCATTTCATCCAACTAACAAAAAAATTAATCGAACATGCCGAAGAATTATAATAGCATGTGAAAATCAAGAAACCACTGCTATTTTAACATAAATTATGTAAGATGAAATGTGAATCCCTTCTGGATGAAGAGGAATTCTTTGTTTTTCCACGTCTCAACAATTGACCCCCAACTATTTATCACTTCTCTGCCTCTAACGAAAATGATGGATTCAAAGAACAAATCAGTGTCATCAACTTTTGTTTAGGCAATGCCTAGTCCTTGCCATAGATTAGAAAGTGAAATGGCATGTGTGAAGGTCAAGAGAGTGACCAAATTATGAATAGTCAAATAATGGGACCCTCTGGGAGGCAAATATATTTCTTAAAGATAAGGCTAAAGAAAGCTTCTATTTTAGGAGAAGATGACTGATAATATATTAAATAATGACTAGAATATTTACTCAGGATCATCCATTTGTTTTTCGCTACCACTAAATCCCAGAGGTTTCTTCAAACTCTCGTACTACCTGACTTTGGTTCATTACACTTTAAAACGTTGACTGGTTTATTTGAAAAGACTAGAAACGAAGGAGAAAAGGTTAGTAGTCAATCTGAAGATTTTCTGGCTAATAACGCCTTAATCACAGATGTATGGCTTTAACTCCTTTATGTGGACAACACACATATATACACACACATGCATGTATGATCACCCTATTTTGTCTACTCCTTATCAATATTGAGAAATAGGTAGTCTTTTGAAAAGAACAAAGCTAAGTCTAAAAGATGTTAGGTAACGTGACACATATCACACCCTACTAGGAGCCCAAATTAGGGTTTTTAAATCAGGTCTGACTTCGGAGCCTTGCTTGTTCCTTGCTAACAAACTACACTGACTGAAGAAAACAAAAGATTGAAATCAACAACAGTAACAAGAGGAATGTGAGTGGGATATGAAGAAATCGCAGGCAGCTGAACTTATGGTACACAGTAACTTTACTCAGACATTTTGAAATTGGACAGAAATCTTGGAGTAAAAGATAGAACTGAATAATTTAAGGTCCTTTTCAGTAGATATTTATCTTCTATCTGATTTGATTGTAGTTTTTTCATTTTTATACTTTATATTTTGAATTTACTTCTATCATTTTATTTGAGGAATGGTGATAAAGATTTGGTTCTTTAAACAGAAAAAAGGCAATGCAGATCCATCTTTCACAAAATGATTTTCTGCTGCTAACAGGTTATTAACGAACCTCATAAATAGTTCTTTGAAAATAATTCTGAATTTAGAATAGAAGTCTGACTCCAAACTAAGAAAACATCTGTAGGTAGTATAATGGATTTTTTTTAACCACGTTTACCTTCTAAAAATAAAATATGTCAAAAAACAGCCAAACAAGCACACCCTTACCAGCTTTGCATTTTCCTGGGTTTATGCTGCTCTCCGTCCAAGACTGAGAATCAGTAAGAAGGTGGCTCTGGGACTCTCTCAATGGCTTTGCAGGAAACTGATGGTTTTCGAGACTGAATAATAATTGAATAATCATCAAAATCATCATAAGCTAATTTTTGATAGTAAAGTTGATTGTTTCTCAATGTATGGAACCAAAACCACTTGCAATGCAAGATGATGCAGGAGGTACCCAAAATAACGTGGGGAATACAAGAATAAGACATTAAATAGCACTGACTCGCGGTGAGAAAAGTGTTCTATCTTCAGTCTCTTTTCCTTCTTCTGCTTACCATAAGATGATAATCTCTAACACTGGAAAATCTCCAGAGAATAGTCTTCAGCCCCAGGCTTTAGCAGGTACTTAGAACTTAATAACAGTATTTTATTATCAATTTTATGTATGTATTTATTTTTGAGGAAGAATCTCACTCTATTGCCCAGGCTGGAGTGCAGAGGTGCAGTCATGGCCTCAACCTCCTTCGCTCAAATCAATCCTCCTCCTTCAGCCTCCCGAGTAGCTGGGACCACACCACCACCCTCAGCTAATTATTTTGTTTTATTTTTTGTAGAGTGGACTCTCTATGTTGCCCAGCCTGATCACAAATGCCTGGTCTCAAGTGATCCTCCTGCCTTAGCCTCCCAAAGTGCTAGGATTACATGCATAGGCCACCACACCGGGCCTATTTTTAAAGTTATATTCTATTTATAGAAAGTTACGCGAGTTTCTCATTTATGAGAGTGGTATAAACTTTGGTTTAAAAAAAGCATAAGTGCCAATTTAAATACAGAAAAATATTAATTTTGTAAGTGATATGTGGATATGGAAGAAAATATGAATGTGATGGTAGGAAGACAAAGTTGAGGAAAAAATGGCCTACAGCTTCTAAAGTGGCCTAACTGGTCTTGAACACAATTTTCTCTATCTTCTTCTGTAAAACTGAAACAACAACTTTGAGCAAACTATTTTGCAGGAATATAAAAAACATCTGAAATTATCAGGTCTTACAAACCCAATGTTCAGTCTGGGGAATGAGCAGTCTTCTAAGAAGAATTTTCTTTAAAATTTAGGTGGAAATGCCATACATCAACATATTGGATGGCATGAAAAAGTATACATAAAAATATTTCACTTAGGAAACATTATTGGCATAGAAACTATTAGTGATGTTTTATAATGTTCTGAAATAGTAATTGTAACAGTATTCAAAAGAAAAAAACGACTTAAAACTCTTTCAAGAATAATTTCACATATTTGAGTTCAATTATATATAGTAACTATTATGTTTTTAAAGGATATATGCGTATGCTTTTTCTTCTTAATTACCTCATATCTAAAATTTTAGAATATTTCAATTTTGTGCAGCTTTAACAACTACCTACTAAAATTTTGGAGGTAAATCTTAAAAAACAGAAAACAGCATATCTCCACACAGGTTTAAATATATTATATAAAAAATCTTACTTTAATTCTTATTCTTCTTCAAGAAAGGGACCATATAACGGGTACAGAAGACTAACCAGATCCTGGGATCCTGGTTTAGGGACTCTGAAGATTCATTACTGCTAACAGGACTCTAGCAAAGGGCAAGAATCCATTCACTGAACAATGTTTATTGAGCACCTGTCACTTTAATAAACAAAGTCTTTGTTCTTATGGAAATTTCACTGTTATGGAGGAAGAGAAATAAACAATATATACATATATGAATGAAATAAGTCAGGTGATAATAAGAGCTATAACAATCAAAAAAATCAGGCTGGGCATAGTGGCTCATGCCTGTAATCCCAGCACTTTGGGAAGCTGAGGCAGGTGGATCACTTGAGGTCAGGAAGTTCGAGACCAGCCTGGCCAATATGGTGATACCCCATCTCTCCTAAAAATACAAAAATTAGCCGGGCATTGTGGTGTACATGTAATTCCAGCTACTGGGGAGGCTGAGGCAATAGAATTGCTTTAACCTGGGAGACAGAGGTTGCAGTGAGCCGAGACTGCGTCACTGCACTCCAGACGGGGTGATAGAATGAGACTGTCTCAAAAAAGAAAAAAAAAGAAAAAAAAAATCAGTGTAACAGGAAGAGGCGGAGAAAGTTACTATTTTACAAAGGGTTATCAAAGATTCCCTCTATTCTGAAGTTACGCCCGAACAGAATATAAATAAAGAGAAGACACAGCTCACTGAGATCTGGAGGAAGAATGGTAAGGAAAGGGAATTAGCAAGGACAAGGCACTACATAAGGAACATGCTTGGTCCATGTGAGGAACAGCAAGATCTGTGTCTGAGGATTGTAAGTGAAAGGAAAGTAAAAAAGAATGACATCCAGAAGGCCAAGGTGAGAGGACTGCTTGAGCCCAGGAGTGTGAGGCTGCAGTGAGCTATGATCACAAAACTGCACTCCGGCCTGGGCAACGGGCTGTTAATGGAGACATTTTATTATAACAGAGACATTACTAACTTGCTTTAATAGAGACAGGAAGACCCTGTCTCCATTAAAAAAAGAAAAAAAAAAGAATGACTGTCTGGGGTCAGATCAGTCTTGTTAAGTGATGGAACAGACATTCATTAGCTTTTATTCCGAGTAAGATGGGAAACTAATAGAGCTTTCAGCAGAAGAGTGACACAATCTGACTTATATTTTGAAGGGAAAATAGATTGGAGTGGGGCAAAAATGTTACATCAGTTAGAAAACTACTGAAGTAATCCATGGGAGCAGGGATGAGGGCTAGGACCAGGAAAGCTGCCTTGGAGGTGGTTAGAAAGTATTCAGATTATAGATATACTTTAAAGAGACATCTGATAGGATTTGCAAATGGAGTAAATACAAAGTAATTGAAAGAGAGGAATCCAGGATGACCCCACAGTTTCTAGCATGAACACGTGGGAGAATGGAGGTCACTAATACTGATAATGGAAGCATGGAGGAGATTCTGGTTTAGGGTGGTGATGAGGGTACACATGGCTGGGAATCAAATTCAAAGTTCTGCTCTGAACCTGTTTAGTTGGAGATGATTTTTAGGTGTCCAAGTGGGTGTGTCAAGTAGACAGCAAGATATTCAACTCTGGAGTAAAGAAGAGAACAGAACTTGCCACGAAAATTTTATCTGGGCTCAACATGGGAGATAGTAGAATTCCGCAGAAGAAAGAGACTTTAGCTGTCTAAATCTGACCTCAACATTCAAAGGAAAGGAAACAGAGGCCTCAAAAGATTATTTAACTTCTTCAAGATCACCCAGTTGGGTAACAGTGTCAGAACTAAGATTTCTCCCAAATCTCATGGTGCCCTTAGTGGAAGGAGAAATATTATCTCTAAAACCAAAATGATTTCTTAAATTATTAAAAAAAACACAAAGGGCAAAAAAGTATTATAAACTACTACTGAATTTTGTAAAAGCTTGAAACGTATTCTGAATAATTTATTAAAACTAGATTTTTCTGCATTGAGGTATATGAAAAACCATAAACATTTAGCTCTGTGGGATTTTCAAGCCCAAATGCACAAGGCATGATCTAGTAAAAAACTCTGATGCCCATGAATGTCCCTGTGAAATATATACACTGGGCCCATTCACTAACTGGTAGGGTCTGGCCTGTACATAGCTCACTCTAGGGATGGGGTGACAAATACCTTTCATCTCTTTTGACAATTTAAAAGGATTTTAAATATAAATTCCTTTTACATTTAATTCCCAATTTAAAAGGGCAGAGGCAGGAGGATCGCTTGATCCTGGGCGGTCATGGCTGCAGTGAGCCATGATCACTCCACTGCACTCCAGCCTGGGTGACAAGAGAGACCCTGTCTCAAAACTAAAATGGAAACAAACAAACAAACAAACAACAACAACAAAAAGAACTTTAGAATGGCTACCAGGAACACTGCCTTGAGGTTTATGGGGTCACTCCAGGCTCCCTAGGAAAAAGTCCTGTGATCAGTAAGAAATGTTCAATATGGAGTGTTGGTGTGGATACTGTGTATGTGGCACTGCAGCAACTAAGAAAAGCTCTAACGTTTAATGAAGAATGATATTATGGTTATGCTTTTGCTACTGGCTTTCATTGAAAAATCAGAGGAATGGTTATACTCAAATCTGTCACAAAGGTATAAAAACTGGTGTTTCAAACCACTGAAAATTCATACATAGCATTTTAAAAGTTTAAGTAACTTTTCCTTTTGCCAGTTGGTAGCACGTTCAGAATGAAATGTCAGGTCTTTCTCTGGCCAGCCTCAAATTCTTGATAGTCTGGAATCAAAACAAACTTAAAGCTGGAGCAAAAGTCTCCAGACAATGAATTTCTAAGACTCTGGCTTCTCTCTCCACAGAAATGGCTCAGATAATCCTTAGAGGTCTTCCAAGGGCACTAAGTCCATAATATACATTAAAATGGAGTTGTCAAGAAGGTGTCTGGGGGTCCATTTGATCTCCAAAAGCCTCAAGTTTCTTTACTCTAACAGTTATCACAGAAAGGAAAGATATGGTGGGTCAGGGGCGATTTTACCCTGTCTGCCTACCTGAGCAGTGGGTAGCTAATTTTGACTTACATTTTTTTTTCTTTTAAGCACTACATTTAAAAAATATTTCAGTCAACCAAAATGTATAGACAATTAACACCTTTTTACTCACACTTAGATTAATAACACCATTTTACAAGTATAATTGAAGCTTCCAATGTATCCTCAATCATACTTTCTTTTTTCCCTCATTTCAAGTGGAAACCATTGCAGTAAATTTTCTTATGGTCTTCATTTTTTTTCAAAGGAACATATAACCAAAAGACACAATATGGTAAAATATCTTATTTGAAAGTAAAATGAAAAAAAATATGAGATTACTTTTTAGCTGTGGAATTCAGCCCTGCAGGAGTAGATGCTTGTTCAGGATCCTGGTTAACAAGGCAAGTTGGAAAGGAGCAGCCATCACCTAGACTAGAATTAAAATAAAAATTTAGAACTGAACCATACAAAAGACAACGGAGTGAAACCCTGCCAAAATGCTGATGTCCGAGAGCAGAACATGCTATACTCTAGGCAAAAAAAATGTGTATTAGACATTGAGCTCAACATAGTGTTCAGGAAGATGATGAATTAACTGACTTCCACACTGATATTATGGTGAATCATAGAATAATATTTTTTAAAAATAAGAGTTCCTACACAGAATTACAAGCCTATGGAACTAGAGGCTTTTCCTGAAACTATCTTTTGCTGTATTATTTTCATTAGTTTAAAGCCTGAAAATTTTAACAAAGAAGTACCTTGAAAAAATGGGTAGCAACCAGTACTTCTTCTCATCACCAAAAACTTGTCGCATGTTTTTACTGAAACCCAAGCTGAATCCATTCTTATCTGTTCCATGTCGAAATACTGGACTTCTGAATGCCTCTAAAAAAAGATGGTAAAGGAATCACATGAGTAAAGAACATATTTACTAGCAATCCTGAATATTTATCAATAATTGAAGTAAATGAAGAAACTCTGAAAATCAATGGCTAGCTGACTGTGAGGGCTTATGTGCCTGTCAACAGCCCTGAAATATAGGGTGTCCATTCTGTTTTAAAATATCATAAGATATACCTATTTTAATTTTAAAATATGCCTTTTTATTATAATAGTACATGTGCATTGTAGAAAATCAGAAAATACAAACTAGCAAATAAACTAAAACTGCATCTTCTGGATCTTTTGATCAATAGATAGATAAATGGATGGATCCATAAACATAGATCTACAAATCTACACGTGTATTTTTTAAGAAAACCACAATCAGACTATCTTTTACATACATTCTACAACCTTTGTTTTTAAGTAAATCCATTTGTTTATTTTTGAGTCAGGGTTTCACTCTGTTGCCCAGAGTGGAGTACAGTGGTATGATCATAGCTCACTGTAGCCTCGAATTCCCAGGCTCAAGCAATTCTTCTGCCTCACCCTCCTGGAGCAACAGGTGTCATGCCACCATGCCTGGCTAAGTATTTTCCAATTTCGTTGAAATTGGTTCTCATCTAATAAAATTTTTCCAGCTGACTATAAAATCTACTTTTAAACTAGTTTGTCCAAACCGGGATCCAGTCCAGAACCATGTATTGCATCTGGTGATGCTCATTCTGCCTATCGAAGCTGGTTCAGAGAGGCTCTGGGACTTGCCTAAGGTCACACAACAAACACACGACAGACTGAGACTTGAATAAGGTCATCAACATTCCTTCAAAAATACTACATTTTCTTCTTGAATCATGCTGAAATACAAAATGTAAAATGTTGTTTTTGGAATATGAACATGGAGGTATAATGATTTTTCTCCATTAAAAAGAAAAATCTAACCAGCAGAGTTAGGCACTATGAAAAAATGTGGTCATTTGCAAGATCCTTAGCATTCTTCATCCTAGGATACATAGCTTTTTCTAAAACATTTCAAAGGATCATATTATCCAGGGGAAGTCCTTTCAGTGCTACAAGTTAAATCTAGAGGTTTCCAGAAGTTAAAAACCTCTAGAAACAATAAATTTGCTTTTGATGAATTACAATTTAACTGCCTAACACATAATTTGAAATAAAATTCCTGGGCTTAGAAATTACTTTATCAGTATTTTCACCCTAATAGTATTTGGTGTAATGATTTCATTTGAGAATTCCATAATGTTTCATTTCAAAATACTGAAAATGAACACTAATTGACTACCCACTGTAATTAATCCTCATTGCATATTATAATAACTGAAGCTCACAGCTTGGAGTGTCCTTTATGATCATCAGCATGTGTGGTCCTGGTTGCATTCCCAAACTCCTATCCTTGAGCTAGAAACTCTACATAGCTTAGTCCTTGCTTACCTCTCCAACCTCATTAATGTATTTCTCAATCTTTAGCTTTCTATGCTTCAGCCACATGGAGTGTTTCTAAAATATTCCTAGTGCCCCTCATTAGACTGTTTTGCCCCTGCTCACCACTATATCTATATATCTATATGCCACTATATCTATATATCTATATATAGATATATATATAGTCTCATATATATATACATATATATGAGACAATCAATAAATATATGGAATGAGCAAACCTGTATGTGTCTAAGCGACATATCAAAAAAACAATGAGGAAAATAAGAATGACTTTTCCCACCACTTCAGGGCAAGTTGGCATTTAATCACATAGCAACTGTCAATGAATGTTGGTATACGTATTTAAAGTTCTGTCAACTACAATAATTGGATACTCACCTAATGTAGATTTATTTTTGCTGACTAGCCAACAATGATAGCCAAACAGAGAAGACAAGCTGACAGAAAACATAGCTGCAGCAAAGAATAAAAACATAATATGGAACTTGGCTTGAGTATCAGGTAGGCCATTCTATAAAGAAAGGAAGAAAATAACATGTTTTGTCAAAGGGATATGTATTCCCCTACTTTTATAAGTAAATTAGTAAGATTTTTTTTTTTGCTTAAAATTTTTCTTAAATTTAATATAAAAAAATGTGGCTTTATGTTAAAACTTTAGGAAAAATATGCATATATTTCATCAGGTTAAAAGTTTACGAGAATATGAATATATATGAAAATGATATTAAAATTTGGAATATAAACTGTGTTTTTCATAACCAAATCATAGAAAATTTATGGTAGTATATGTATAAACTGTAATACGAAGCAAGATAAATGGAACTATAAAATGTAGTTTTAAATTTATTAACGGAGTATGTTTTGTTAACATACTACAGAATCACAAACGTTTAAATAGTTTCATTATAATGCCAGAAAATGAAGGCTAACTGGCACAATTTGGCTACTATCCTTATTGATGTTTTATGTTACTACAAACAACAGCATCAACTAAATGAATACATATAACAACACATTCACAATAATGCTTCAAGCTATCTTAAATAATAGCACCACAGAAAAGATCAACACCAGTGCATAACACCTGTCTAAAATAAATGTTAATATCCATGGGCTGAAACAGTCCATCTCAAAGAAAACCAGTTAGACTCTCATTCTCTCATTGTTTATAAATCCAAAGAGACCTGGAATGGCTCTAGAATGGAGGGCTTGGGGCTATGGACACCTATCGAAGCACCATGGCTGCCACGAGGTGTCTCTTCTGATAAATGGTCCTGAGATTCCAATACCCTGTCGTCCCTGACCAAATGACACCGGTCACAAGACCTCACTGACAGTTTTCAACAGCAGCAGGTTTTTTTGACAGCGAAAATTCTGGTCATTCCTTTTCATATATGTTTGTGGTTTGAAACTAAAATCATCCACAGGAAGGAGGAGCAGTGAGGTAATGCTCTCCCAGACATTCATTACGGTTCATTTTTCAAGCTGGACACTGAAAGAATCCTTGAATGTTAGCAGCAGGTCTCTTCACTCATGTCTTTCTATGCTTAGCAATAGAATTGGCACACAGTAGGCATTCAATAACTCTTTGGTATTAAATTTGGTTCAAATCTCACATAAGTGATCTAGCAATTTAGAAATTCTTACCATAATAAAGATAATTTAATGAAAATAATACATCAATCCTGGCAGCAGATAAATTGCTTTTTTACTGTCATTTGGTGTTCACAAGGAGGACCTGTGGATATCTTAAATCCTCAATTTTAATTTCTTTTTGCCTACATTTAAAATATATAGTGTATAAAGCATAATCAAGAAATACCGAATAAAAATTCAGGATATTATAGGCATAAGGACATTATAGGCATGATAGTTTAAAAAATAATCTTCTTACACATAAAGAAAATACTTCTATTTTTAAATCCTGAAAAAAATCTTATATAGTCATCAATTCTCGTTATTTGCAGTACTTATTTTTTATAAACTTTCCACAAACACTGAACTTGTGAACACTGAAAAACTGCTCCTAGGGAAGATACAGGGTTAGGTTTCTATGAACCTCTGGTCACAACATCTTTGACAACTGATCAGTGTGTAACCTTGTTTTATGTGTGTTTCTACTTAAACGCACCTTATTTAATATACATTATTGATTTATTAATATAGAACTCATAGCTAACAGTACTATAACTCATGCCTGAATCAAGCTTATCTAATACACCTATTTTCTCCATAACACACATCGGTTCTCTTTTGTTTAGAAACATTAGACCACACTTCAGCACTACACTTTAAGATTTTTTGACAGCAAAATCACCAACAAAAAGCACAAAAATGGAAAAAAGCATGGCACTAAATAGACTGTGGAAAGCACACTTGTTTATAGTATGAGAGCTGAAGCAAGAAGGCAAAAGCATCGTCTTGTTCAACCTCAACTGGGAATGGGCATGGGGGCAACTCAATGTTTTTGCCACTCTGCACATGTCTGCAGATGACGAAAGCTGTCAGTATCGATGTGGGGGTTACAATTACATCTTACTGAATTAACAAATAAAGAATCTGCGAATAATGAGGACTGACTGCATGTCAATGAGCTCTGGTCTATAAAGTCAGTGTCGGAAATAATTCTGTTCTGAAAAGCCTATATTATCTATTATTGTATACCAAAAAAAGAGTTACCAAGTTAATGACTTACTGTCCAAAATTTGATAAAATACTGTAAATCTGTTGCCGCAATAAAAAGGCAGTAGAGCAGAGAATAAGCCAAGAAAAGGAGAAAGAACTTATAATTTGAAAATCCAACACAATTGTTCACCCTGTTAACAAAACAAAAACATTTCCAGTGAGTTTTACATCTTCAACCTACATGTGCATATGCTCAAGCAAGTGTTTAGCTTCCTCTCACTTCTAATTTATTGGCATTTCTTTAAATATAACTCATAAGATTTCTTTATGCATACAATCATGTAAAAATCCATTTCACTAAAAAATCTGCTTCTATTTTTAAAACATGATATTTAATATTGCTTTAGTCAATCACAAACAATGTAACTGCATGTCATCTCAAATTACGCAAGTATGCACATCCCTCAAAGCACAGAGCCTGCGAGAAACCGTATCAGGCCAGGCAGCTTAGGTGAATTTACTAAACCCTTCCTCTACGCCATCTTTGGGTTTGATATCCAACTATGATTAATTAAGTTACAATTTTTCAAGTATTCCCAAATTAGATGGAATATCTTCACAAATTACTCTTTGCATGCCTTCATTGAAGCAAGCGGACTGTCAAAGCATATTAAATGGGAGCTTTAAGAAAAGAAGTAGGCCTGGCAGTTAGACAGCTGGGTCAGAAGGCCCATTTGACACTAAGTAATGATGTGGCCCTGAGGAAGTGAAATCATCGATTAGAATTTCATTTTCTTTATCTGTAAGTAAAACACTCTGAGGTCATTTCCAAAAGTCGGCTCTAAATATGCTATAATTCCAAATATGGAAATTTATAAATCTCAGTTCTCACTCCAAAGTCGTTATCTGAGGGGGGACAAATCAAACTATTGTATCAATAAACCTAAGTACAAATACAATTCATTTTTATAGGCTCACTTTCTTTTTGTTAAGATTTTTCTTTTTTAAAAAATTATTTATTTATATTTTATTTTACTTTAATTTTTGGGATACAAGTGCAGGTTTGTTAGACAGGTAAACGTGAGTTGTGGGGGTCTGTTGTATAGATTATTTCATCACCCAGGTATTAAGCCTAGTATCCATTAGTTGTTTTGCTTAGCCTTCTTCCTCCTCCCACCCTCCTCCCTCCAAAAGGCCCCAGTGTGTGTTGTTCCCTCCTCTGTGTCCATGTGTTCTCATCATTTAGCTCCCACTCATAGGCTTATAGGCTCACTCTCTTTCTATCAAAGTTTTTGATTTCCTTTTCATAAAGACAAGGGCACTACTGGATGACCTTGTGTCAATGTGATACATCACCCATGTGGAATTGGCTAATACCTTCATGGGTTGAGTAACTTCTTGGTTAACCGGTATAACGAACCTATTAAATAGAACATACAGGTTTCCTTTTCTAGTATTCAGCCTATTGCACAGAACATACACATATTGTTTCCTTTTCTCAAACGTTCTTGTTCCCCTTCTAACGTAGGTAAAAATCATCTCACTCTCCATTGACTTAGCTACTAAGATGAAACACTTTTCTTTCTAGATTTGTAAAAATGAAACCATGTTCATGTGAAAAAAATGTTTACATCATCTCCCTCAAAAAATATAAGGTAAAGGGAATAGCATTAGATTTAGTAATTTGTAAACTTAAAGGTCTTACATATGGGCAAATAATTTATAAAGAAGCCACAAGTTGGCTGGGCGTGGTGGCTCACACCTGTAATCCCAGCACTTTGGGTGGCCGAGGCAGGCAGACCACAAGGTCAAGAGATCAAGGCCATCCTGGCCAACATGGTGAAACCCTGTCTCTACTAAAAATACAAAAATTAGCTGGGCGTGGTAGTACACGCCTGTAGTCCCAGATACTCGGGAGGCCGAGGCAGGACAATCGCTTGAATCCGGGAGGTGGAGGGTGCAGTGAGCTGAGATTGCGCCACTGCACTCCAGCCTGGCAACAAAGGGAGACTTCCTCTCAAAAAAAAAAAAAAAAAGAAAAAAAAGAAGCCACAAATTGTGCGTGCACATTGTATGGAAACAGTTACATCTGCATCTCTAGAGGTTCCAGTGGGGGGATGCAAGCCTGTTGCTGAGGTTGCCTTTTATGGTGTTTGAATGGAATCATGGCAGGAAATAATACTGGAAACAGCCTAATCTAACTGTATTCTGTCTCAAAAGGATACAGGGTATTCCCTTTGCTTACTTATGTTGGTTTCAAGGGGAAAGAATGGGTAGGCAAAAGCTGGGTGCTTTAAAACTTTGGACAATATGGGTGGGCGTGGTGGCTGACGCCTGTAATCCCAGCACTTTAGGGGGCCGAGGCAGGCAGATCGCCTGAGGTCAGCAGTTCAAGACCAGCCTGGCATGGTCTTGGTGAAAACCCGTCTCTACTAAAAATACAAAAAATTAGCCGGGCATGGTGGCACATGGCTGTAGTTCCAGCTACTCGGGAGGCAGAGGCAGGAGAAGCACTTGAACCCAGGAGGCTGAGATTGCACCACTGCACTCCAGCCTGGGCGACAAGAGCAAAACTCCATCTCAAAAGTTAATTAATAAAGTAAAATAAAAATACAAAAATTATCTTGGCATGGTGGTGCACGTCTGTAATCCCAGCTACTCGGGAGGCTGTGGTAGAAGAACTGCTTGAACCCGGGAGGCAGAGGCTGCAGTGAGCCAAGATTTCACCACTGCACTCCAGCCTGGGTGACAGTGAAATTCCATCTCAAAAAAAAAAAAAAAAGACTTTGGACAACATGGGTGTAAATAATGACTTGTGGACTAGGAAGAAATTGGAAGGGATAGAAAAGATTGTTTCTCTTCCTGAAGGAATATAAGCAGCAGCTCTTGAATTAAATAATAAAGAGTATTTTTATAAAATGATTTTGATCACAGATTTTGTAACAACTAATTTAGCTTTGCTTGAGGGGATGGTAAAATTTGCCATGCTAGAGCTAGGGACAAAGGAGGTCAGTAAATGAAGACCATATATTTTAGAGTTTAATATGTATATACATAGAGTATGTGTGTGTGTATGTATGTGCATGTATATGTGTGTGTGTGTGTGTGTGTATATATATATATAACTAGAAGAAATATAGTGACATTTATTTTGAATAATACCTTACTGTCTTCACAATAGACAGCTTTTGGCTAGACATTTTAACTGCCTATTGCTTTATAGACTCAATATAAAAGGAAGAAGACTTATTCTGAATCTATTTCTCCATCTAGAAAAGGAATGATTTCATATGGAGAAACAAAACACGTTCTAGGAAAATATTCTTCTTATGTTGTTTAAGTTCAGTGTAAAACACAGCTGTTGGCCCTGTTTCTGGGCAATTGCTTTCTGACTTTAAATTTGAAAAAGAACATAATACATTGGAAGGAGTGTGGCCTTTGAAGTAAAAAAAAATTTCCTATGTGACTTTGAGCCCTCTCTTTCTCTTTTCTGAGACTCATTTTTTTCCCCTGTAAAATGAGACAAATACCCAGGAGGTGGAGGTTGTAGTGAGCCAAGATCGTGCCACTGCACTCCAGCCTAGGCAACTCCGTCTCAAAAAAATAAGATAAAATAAAATGAGACAAACAATTTCTACTTCTGTCGCTGTTAAAAGTATTACAGATTATGTGTATGGCCTCTAGAACATAACCGGCACTCAATAAACTGAAGCTCAAATAATTTGTTTTTATTTGTGTTACTTAACCTTTGGCAAGCATGTGAAAGTATTATTAATATGAAGTAATTAACTAAAATCTTATACTAAAGGAAAAAAATACTTTGATAGAAAATCCCATAAAGCAAATACTACGGAATCTGTTTTAGTTAAAACACAAGTATGAGATTGATCCCCAGAATTCTGGTGGGTAATCTTAAGTGGCCAGAGCAGAGATTGAGAAATCACTGACAAATAGAGAGGTATTGTTGATCCAATGTTTCAAATATTCAAAGTTGACAGATATGAAGGTTCAAAATACCTGTTTAAAATACCTGTATAAAAAAGCTGCCCTGGCCGGGCGCGTTGGCTCATGCCTGTAATCCTACCACTTTGGGAGGCTGAGGCGGGTGGATCACAAGGTCAGGAGATCGAGACCATCCTGGCTAACACCGTGAAACCCAAAAATACAAAAAAAAAAAAAACCAAAAACCGTGAGGCGTAGTGGTGGGCGCCTATAGTCCCAGCTACTTGGGAGGCTGAGGCAGGAGAATGGCATGAACCCAGGAGGCGGAGCTTGCAGTGAGCCAAGATCGCACCACCACACTCTAGCCCAGGTTACAGAGCTAGACTCCATCTAAAAAAAAAAAAAAAAAAAAAAAAAAAAAAGAGAGAGAGAGAGAAAAGGCTGCCCCTGGGTCTGAAAACATCCTAAAAGTCCTATAAGTGACTGCCATTAGATGAATACATTCACACAAAGCCTGTAGAAAAAGATTTTTTATATATTCATACGGAAACATTTCCAGGATACATTAAGTGAAGAAAACAAAAAGAAACAGATTCAATCAATAGTGTAGTCACTTGTACTAAAAATAAATAAATAAATAACAAGGGGGTTTATAGGCTATGCACACATACATTGAGATCTGAAAAGTGCCATGACGTTAACAATCCTGGTTCTCTGTGCATAGTGGAAGAAGGTGGGGAGAGGGACTGGGAAGAACATGGCTACCTGTTTTATTTTTGAATTTGGAACCAAAAGCATGTTATTACCTATAGACTTTTTTATTTAAAACTTTAATTTGAAATTAAAAAATTAAATACAATGGCTGCTCCATTCAGCTGGCACCAAGTGAGTAACAGACCCTTGGCATCAAATCCTTCACAAGTCAACATGGCTGCTGCTTTCTGCAAGGGAGTACTCAGAGCTAGGACAGTGGTGGAGACAGTGGATGCCGCAAGGGAAGTGATGGGGAAGTGAACAACGACACAGGTTAAAAGGTACCGCAGTCAGTTCATTCACCTTCCCACACTGCCACCTAAGGGTGGAGTAACAGCAGGTGGTGTGTAGGCATGCCATGGAACCTATTTTTAAAAATTCTAGGGTCTCATTTCTGTTGTTCTCCTTCACTTATTTAACAGAATCTGTGAAAACTGTAAAGGCTATCAGACTGTAAGTATCTCATGAGGCCAAATTAACTGTTGATTTAGCAAAATTACTATAATGATAAATTATTATTTTCTCTTTTTGTAATTTTGTGAGTACAGCAAGGGCATGGGAAGCTTTATAGGTATGTACTGACCTGATTTTTTTCCACCTCTCCATTCCTTGTCATCACAATCCCTTATTAAGGTCAGACAAATCAAAATCAACACTATGCCTATGATGACTACCACTCTGCTGAATATATCTGGAGTATACAGTTATCCAGAAAGGAGGGTGCTTAACATGGGTTTACCCCAAAGCAGACTCTGAGACAAGAACTTGGATGCAGTTCATTTGAGACAGGAAGGATAAAGCATTTTTTACCGGCCAGGCTGTCACTGGTTGAGGGTTGCCCCTGGAGGTATGAATGCCTTGGCACTTCTGGACTGCCTGGCTTGTGAGCTGAACGAAACTACCCAGGTAGAAGAGACCCCCTCAGGCAGAGAAGAAAAGAAACACAGGTGCCTGAATGGGGAGCTGCCAGCAGGTACGGGAGATGTTCACCAGATGCCATGAATTCAGCAGGTGGGTCATGGGGATACAGGTGGGGCACTGACAGCAGCTGCAGGGGAAGTCAACAAATGAATGTAAGGAGAATTAAGAAGACGTTGGCCAGGCATGGTGGCTCGCGCCTGTAATCCCAGCACTTTGGGAGGCCAAGGCGGGCGGATCACAAGGTCAAGAGTTCGAGACCAGCCTGGCCAATATGGTGAAACCGACTCTACTAAAAGTACAAAAATTAGCCAGGTGAGGTTACAGGCGCCTGTAGTCTGGCTACTCAGGAGGCTGAGGCAGGAGAATCGCTTGAACCCGGGAGGCAGAGGTTGCAGTGAGCTGAGATCACGCTACCGCACTCCAGCCTGGGCGACAGAGCGAGACTCTGTCTCAAAAAAAAAAAAAAAGAAGAAGAAAGAAGAAGGACGAAGAAGGAAAAAGAAGAAAGAAGGAAGAAGAAAGAAGGAAGAAGGAGAAAGAAGAAAAGAAGAAGAAGAAGGAGGGAGGAGGGAGGAGGGAGGAGGAGGAGGAGAAGAAGAAGAAAGGAAGAAGAAGAAGAAGAAAGAATAAAGAAGAAGAAAGAAGAAGAAGAAGACAAAGACGAAGAAGACGAAGACGAAGACAGAAGACGAAGACAGAAGACGAAGACGAAGACGAAGAAGAAGAAGAAGAAGAAGAAGAAGAAGAAGAAGAAGAAGAAGAAGTCTTATTAAAGACACTGGGGGAGAGGGAACACTTGTTGTAAAAAAAACCAGAAAAGAAAACTGGGGGCAGGGGGGCAAAAGAATGAGTGCAAGTATCAATTAGTACGAAGGGGGCGTTATTTATTGAGACCTTTAAGAAGAGTGCCATTCTTGTATGGGTTGACTAGCCTGAACGCTTTAAAGGAGAAAATCGAGGTGGAGAAAAGAAAGAGGTATACTGGTGAAAGATACAGGATACCATAATCCTACATTCCCCTGGGAATCTTTCCTGCTGCTAAGAAAACCATTCCCTACATATATTTCACCCTATACCTACTGTGGACCTGTGGGCATGTCTACCTTTCTGTAGAGCCATCCCTGAAAGAAAGCTTGAAGAATAAGCATTACTCACGCCCAAATCCAACCTGGCCAGCAACCTGGGCATGACTGTCAGAGATATGCCTACACTGAGATGAAAAATTATAGGAAAAGGAAGGAAAATTAACCTTACTAATCAGATCTTTCAAATAATCCTCTGTTAAATTACCTGATTTCGTGACTGAGAAATATTAGCAAATATTAATGAATTCTATGTGGAAAATCTTGTTTAAATTTATGTGTGCATTTGTATATCTGTGTAGTTGTATTCTACTCCTTAATGTCAAATTCTGTGTAAAATAAATTGTTAAAAAGCTTTTGATGACTTAATTCTTTATAAAAACCTTCCAGTGAGGTACTATGTATAATTTACTTGTACATCTTTGTGTGTATTTCTGTGAAGTATTCTGGAATCTCTGTTCATGCACATGCATACAAACAAAATCCTTTGTTCTGAGCTAACATGCGATATTAACTTTTAGGTTGTTAACCTACTGGTTTTAAAAGTATTTCATGGAAACTCCCCTAAATAAAGGCTCTTTTAAGTTAAACAAATATTAGAAACTAAATCCAAAAGTTCCTGCTATGTCAACTCAAGTAATATTTCATGTGTGAAAAGATTTACATGGATAAGTGATTTAATTTATTAACATTTACAAGGGACACAAACTTGTTTAAATATACAGCCAACTCACCATGGACAATGATGATCCATCTTCAAAATACATCTAAAAAACAAAGCAGAACACAAAACCTAATACCCCATGAAATTTTAATCATATTAAATTATAAAAATATAAATTATGGTTAGTTCAAACAGCTGCGGCAAGTAAAATATTGCAAAATTATTTACTTATCTAAAAATTGGATAATAGCAGAAGTTCTCATCTAAAATAAACCCTATAGCCAATTCTTATAATAATATAACTTGAATTCAAAATATACATGCTTAAGATGCAAAGCAACTCATTTCCTAAAAACAATATAATGTATTAATATACAACTATCTTAGGCTAAAGAAAGAACAAAACTGCAACGGATTTACGGAAAGTCTGGATAAAACTTCCCCTTCAATATCAATCCTTATGCCAAGTCATACTGTCCTTGGAGTATATTAAATATATAACAACGTCTGACTGTCCTGAAGTCAACTGAGTTCTCTTTATAAAAATGGAAAACACTCATAGAAGTATTTCCTAAATTGAACCAGCCAAGTCAGAACTGCTAAAAATCACATACTTCAGGGCACCGTGAATCTGGGGGCAAATTGACACTTGACTGTGGCCTTAGGCCTCACTGGTATGAATGCCAGCGGGTTATACCAACTCCATTTCCTAAATCAAGGGCTGAGAAGCGAGAATATGGAGAAGATAATCAGGAAAACAGTGAGAAAAGAAACATAATGAAGAAAAAGACCACCAGCATGTAGATATTTTAGAAGTTAAAGGTTCTCTTACTTATCACAGACGGAGCAGTGATGGCAGCGATCTGGTTTTATAAGTTGGCATCTGTCACAGTATCGGATGGCTAGGGACAAAAAGCTCCACTTAGTCTTAGAGTTAACACTGAATTGAAAATACAATTAAATGGCTTTTATCATCTCTCCAAATTTAAATTTTAAAAAGCATATGAAATTTAAATATGGTAAAAAAATAAGATATTTGATGCTGTTTAAATACAAAAATGGAATGACTTGCCTACAGCCACAGTTCTCTGGAGGTTTAACCAGAAGAGAGAACCTCCTAAGGAAATTTTTCTGATGCTTTTTCAATTGTCAGTAGTTATAATAAGGCTCACAAAGGGTACAAATATGTCCATGTTAATCAAAATAAATAGAATGTCTCCCTCAATTAAACCAATTTATTTCTTGTACCCTGTTATTTATCAAAAAAAGTTTTAAACTGAACTAGGAATAAGGACACCAGGTTTTTGCACCTTTTACTGTCACTAACTAGCTTTGGAAACTCAGCAATGATTTATTTCTAGGGGGCTTAAATTTCTGCAGTGTTTGTTTAGCCTTACAGGGTAAATATACCTAAACATATATAAGCACATCTCTGTCTTTGTAGGGTAAAACTAAGGTCACAATATTAACCAGGAAAACATTATGTGTGAGACTTATAGTTAAGATTCAATTATGATTCTAAAGTGAGTCAGAAACAAATATAAGTAATATAAAAACCTCTTTTTTTTTTTTTCTGAGACGAAATCTCACTGTCACCTAGGCTGGAGTGCACTGGTGTCATCTCAGCTCACTGTAGCCTCTGCCTCCTGAGTTCAAGCAATTCTCCCACCTCAGCCTCCTGAGCTGAGTAGCTGGGACTACAGGCATGCGCCACCACGCCCAGGCTAATTTTTTTGTATTTTTAGTAGAGATGGGGTTTCACCATGTTGGCCACACCGGTCTCAAACTCCTGACCTCAGGTGATCCACCTGCCTCGGCCTCCCAAAGTGCTGAGATTACACGTGTATGAAACACCACACAGAGTCGCAAATCTTAATGAGTTTTTCCTGTTTTTTTTTTTTTAAACATTTTTTATTTATTTTATTTTTTAGAGACAGGGTCTCACTCTGTCACCCAGGCGGCAGTGCAGTGGTGCAACCACAGCTCACTGCAACTTCTAACTCCTGGGCTCAAGCAATCCTCCACCTCAGGCTCCCGAGTTGCTGGGATTATAGGCACAAGCCACTGTGTCTGTTCATTAATGAGATATTTTATATATATTTTTCATACTAAGTCTTTGAAACCAGTGTGTATTTAATACTTAGAGCACATGTCAGTTTGAACTGGCCATACTTCAAGCGCTCAACAGCCACATGGGGCTAGCGGCTACCATAATGGACAGCACAGGTCTGAAGTCACAGAAGCTCTGGGCAAGTCTTGGTGGGTAAGCATCACTAGTCCATATACATCAGTTTTAAGACAACTGTTTAAGTGGATAGTTGTCAAATTACCTTAAAATATGTCCCAAGTAAGAGATTTGTTAATTTATTGCATTTGTAAGAAAATTTTAAAGATAGATAAAAAATTATACCAATACCTAAATGAAATTTTACATCACCTATATGACTGTTCTAAGTTTACGAAAAAATACATGTAAAAGTATTCATTTTATATTCATTACAGATACTGCTGCCTTAAATTAAATATAAATAGGAAAGTCTACAATTAAAACCTTAAACATGAGTACTACCATAAATCAAGATTTCAGCAGTTCCCACATCTTCACTGAGTCATAACTAAGTAGGCAGAACAGGATTAAAGTCAGTTCTGATTTCCTTGCGATCTCTGTGCCACAGTGCTATTCGTGTTTCCATTCTGTTTTATGGAATCACACAGGAAAGATTTAACAGCAATCCAAGAAATAACACAGCATTCTGAAATGAGTGTTTTACCATTTCAAGTACATAAACACACTTTCTTACAGTCACCTTAATGATGTTATTTGCATACCATTGCAAAGCACTCATTATCAACATTTACCTCCAGACATGGTCCTGGTATAGATGGGAAGATCCTTGGCTGCTCGCCTAAGAACTTCCTGATGGGCTTCTCCTCTTGGCTCTCTCTCCAACAAATCTTTCTCTGCATAAGAGAGATGGAACTGTGGAATACATTTAAATCTTAATCAGTATTTTCAAAGAAATTATAACATATTGGTCTTCTCTACCATACCCGGAAAAGGGTATTTATAAAATATTAATGGTATATTGTACATTCAAAGAGACAATAGAGTTTGAAACGTGGGCAAGTCTGTTCACCTCACAGGTCATTCATTTATGCATCTAGAAAAAGGGTATAATAATCATCATCATAATACAACTGTACCTACTTCCTCTGGTTTTTGTGTAACTCAAAAGGAACAGAGTACATAAAAATGCTTATAAACCGTAGAGTTCCAACAAAATATGAGTTACATTGATAGATAAGATGGCCCAATGAATAAACATAACTCAATGAATAAATTTTTCATTTAGATCATTAAGAACAAATGTAGAAAATCCATTAAGCATATCTTCTTACCTAAGTGAGTTTTAACTTAGGGATAATCCTTACATAAAATCTCCCCCAGCACTTCTAAAGGGTCTAATTATTTATTTTACTTCTTATACTGACAATTTTGCCCAGCTAATTTTAAAATATTTGAGAAAAAGAAAATTTGGGCTTCTGTTTAATAATATGTATATAAATACATATCTTCCACACAGACACACATACACCTGTATAAATTTCTATAAATGTGCGCCAGGAGACATGTACAAGAAAAATCTCAGTATCATTGTTTGAAATACAAAAAAAAGAACACAACTCAAATGTACATCAAAAGGATGATGGATAAATTGGAGTATGATATATCCAAATAATGGAATAGTACCGGCATTTAACAATTAATAAACTATAGCTGTGTATAGCAAAGGAAAGAACCTCAGTATACTGAACAACATAAAACAATCTTATAGAACATATATACAATGATTCATTCATATAATTTTAAAACCAGCAAGCTAAACAACATATACACTGTTGTTGAGAGATACATGCACATGTGATAAAATTATAAAGAAGAAAGAATAACAGAAACGCAGGATAGTTGTTAAGTTTTGAGGAATAAAGGGAAACAGCTGGGAGATGCACAGCAGAGATGGAAAATATGAACAATGTTTGACATACTGGCTCGGTGGCTGCTTAGGTGTTTTCACTTAATTATTCTTTAAGTAGTGCATTATATATACGTTCTTATATATTTTGTATATATATATATTTATATATTTATATATTTTGTATATATACAAAAATATGTATAAAATATTTTACAATTTAAAAAACTTTAAAAGTGATATGTCAGTGAAAGAATCTACTATAAAGACAGAGGCACACATATGTTTATTGCGGCACTGTTCACAATAGCGAAGGCTTGGAACCAACCCAAATGCCCATCAATGATAGACTGGATAAAGAACATGTGGCACATACATACCACGGAATACTATGAAGCCATAAAAAAGGATGAGTTCATGTCCTTTGCAGGGACGTGGATGAAGCTGGAAACCATCATTCTCAGCAAACTAATACAAGAACAGAAAACCAAACACTGCACGTTCTCACTCATAAGTGGGAGTGGAACAGTGAGAACACATGGACACAGGAAGGAACATCACACACCAGGGCCTGTCGTGGGGTGGGGATCTAGGGGAGGGACAGCACTAGGATAAATACCTAATGTAGATGATGGGGTTGATGGGTGCAGCAAATCACCATGGCACGTGTATACCTATGTAACAAACCTCCACGTTCTGGACATGTACCCCAGAACTTAAAGTATAATAAAAAAAATGCTAATAAGCCACTGATGGACTATTACATTTAAAAAATGGGAACAGGTACACTCTGAATACCAAAAAACACTAAAAGGTTTTTGACTGCAGTCTTTGGATCTGTGATGGCATCTCTGAACCCGGCCAGGGCCGGAGCAAACTCTCTACCCTGAAGGGAAGGACCCAAGCCTGGCTGACTTTGCTACCTACTGACTGCAGAGCCCTTCAGCCTTGAGCAAACGCAGATGGGGGAGGCAGGCAGTGGACATAATGGGCCTTGGGCGAGACCCAATGCTATCCTGACTTCGGGTCTGACTGAGCACAGTCCCAGTGGTGTTGGCCACAGAGGTGCCATGTCACCCCTCCACCAGCTCCCGGCAGCTCAGCAGAGAGAGAGAGAGGCTCTGTTTGTTTAGAAGAATATAAGGCAGAAGAACAAGAGTCGCTGCCTGGTAATCCAGAGAATTCTTCCAAATCTTATCCAAGACCACCAAGGCAGTACACATCTACCAGTCTGTAAGAACCACAGTATTACTGGGATTGGGGTATCTCCTAATGCAGATGCAGCTTAGATCACAACACCTAACCTGGAAAGCCTTCCCAAGGAGGACAAATACTAAAATGTATATGGAATCACAAAAGACCCAGAATAGCCAAAACTATCCTGAGTAAAAAGAACAAAACTGGAAGACTCACATTACCTGACTTCAAATTATACTACAGAGTTTAGTGTAGGGGAGTAACCTAAATAGCACGGTACTGGCGTAAGACTAGCATTCGTACACAGTAACCAAAATAGCATGGTACTGGCATACATAGACCAATGGAAAAGAACAGAGAGCCCAGAAACAAATCCTTACATCTACAGTAAACTCATTTTCAACACAGATGCCAAGAACATACACTGGGGAAAGGGCAGTCTCTTCAGTAAGTGCTGCTGGGGAAACTAGATATCCATATGCAGAAGAATGAAATGAGACACATATCTCTTGCCATACGCAAAAATCAAAATGGATTAAAGACTTAAATCTAAGACCTCAAATTATGAAACCAGTAAAAGAAAACGTTGGGGAAACTCTCCAAAGCATTGGTGTAGGCAAGGATTTCTTGAATCATACCTCACAAGCACAGGCAACCAAAGCAAAAGTGGACAAATGGGATCACATCAAGTTAAAAGGCTTTTGCACAGCAAAGGAAACAATCAACCAAGAGAAGACACAACCCACAGAATGGGAGAAAGTATTTGGCAACTCCCCATTTGATAAAGGATTAATATCCAGAATGTATAAGGAGCTCGAACAACTCTATAGGAAAAAAATCTAATAATCCAATTTAAAAATGAGCAAAAGATCTGAATAGACATTTCTCAAAAGACGACACACAAAGGGCAAACAGGTATATGAAGATGTGCTCAACATCCATGGTCATCAGAGAAATGCAAATCAAAACTACAATGAGTTATCATCGTACCCCAGTTCAAATAGCTTTTATCCTAAAGATAGGCAAAGGGCAGGTGCAGTGGCTCATGCTTATAATCCCAGCACTTTGGGAGGCCAAAGCGGGAGGACCATTCGAGCCCAGGAGTCTGAGGCCAGCCTAGGCAACATAGTGAAATCTCATCTCTACAAAAAATTAAAAAAAATTAGATAGGCGTGGTGATGCATGCCTGTAGTCACAGCTACTTAGGGGGCTGAGGTGGGACTATTGCTCGAACCCAGGAAGTCAAAGCTGCAGTGAGCTGTGATTGCAGCACTGCACACCAGCCTGGCCAACAGAGCAAGACCTTACCTCAAAAAATACCAATAAAGTAAAATAAAGGCAATAACAAATGCTGGTGAGATGGTGGAGAAAAGGGAACCCTTGTATACTGTTGGTGAGAATGTAAATTAGTACTACTACGATGGGTTTCTCAAAAAACTAAAAATAGAGCTACCATATGACCCAGCAATTCTACTGTGAGTATATACCCAAAAGAAAGGAAACAAGTATGTTAAAGAGATAATCTGCACTCCCATGTTTATTGCAGCACTACTCACAATAGCCAAGATTTGAAAGGAAACTCAGTGTCCATCAATGGATGAATGGATAATGAAAATGTGGTGTTTACTTACACAATGGAATATATTCAGCCACAAAACAAAGAATGAGATCCCATCATTTGCAACAACATGAATGGAACTCGAGGTCATTATGTTAAGTAAAATAAGCAAGGCAGAGAAAGACAAACTTTGCATGCTCTCACTTACTTGTGGGAGCTAAAAATTAAAACAACTAAACTCATAGAGATAGAGAATAAAAGGATGGCAACCAGAGGCTGGGAAGGGTAGTAGGAAACTTGGACATAAGTGGGGAAAGTTAACGGTAACAAAACCAAAAAAGTTAGAAAGAATGAATAAGGCTGGGCGCAGTGGCTTATGCCTGTAATCCCAGCACTTTGGGAGGCCAAGGCGAGTGGATCACTTGAGGTCAGGAGTTTGATACCAGCCTGGCCAACATGGCGAAACCCCATCTCTATTAAAAATACAAAAATTTGGGCCAGGTGCCATGGCTCATGCCTGTAATCCCAGCAGTTTGGGAGGCTGAGGTGGGCGGATCACGAGGTCAGGAGTTTGAGACCAGCCTGGCCAACATGGTGAAACTTCATCTCTACTAAAACCACAAAAAATAGCCGGGCGTGGTGGCAGGCACTTGTAATCCCAGCTACTTGGGAGGCTGAGGCAGGAGAATCCCTTGAAACCAGAAGGCAGAGGTTGCAGTGAGCCAAGATTATGCCATTGCACTCCAGCCTGGGTGACAGAGCGAAACTCCATCTCAAAAAAAAAAAAAAAAAAAAAAAAAAAAGAATGAATAAGACCTAGTATTTGACAGCACAATAGGGCGGCTACAATCAATAATAATTTAATTGTACATTTTAAAATAACTAAGAGTATAATAGGATTTTTTGTAACACAAAATACAAATGCTTGTGGTAACTGATACCCAATTTACGCTGATGTGATTATTACACATTGCATGCCTGTATCAAAATACCTCAGGTACCCCATAAATATATATATCTATTAGGTACTCACAAGTTTTTTTTAACTACAAAGAAATTCAGAATGTAAAGTGCTTGAATTGGTGTAACGGATTTTTCTCTTTTTTCTTTTTGCCTAGTCTTCATTTTCAAAATATAATTTAGTGCGGTTGTATTACTTTTATATTGAGAAAATCTTACCAATGAAAAACTATTATCACTTTAACAATCTTGCTATGAAAAGGGCAAATTTTAATTCACATGTTTTCAGTTCAGGATCCTCATTTTACAAGCGAGAGGTCTCTAACAGCTGATCAATTAAAAGAATAGCCCAAGACCTTGCGTTTTATAAAGGGAATATTCTAAGGTTCTTAACCACCAGACAAGGGCTCTTTCTTCCTAACAGTGGTCTCCAAACTCTTTTGATCATGTTCCCCTAACCGTAAAAAATTACGTGAGATCACACTGCTAACAGATGAGTATTTATTGGTATATATTCTTTTCTTTTCTTTTTTTTTTTTGAGACGGAGTGTCGATCTGTCGCCCAGGCTGGAGTGCAGTGGTGCGATCTCGGCTCACTGCAACCTCCGCCTCCCAGGTTCAAGTGTATTGGTATATATTTTATCAGCTAATAGCTTATGTACCTCATATACAAAACTTTAAAAAATAAAAATATTAAATGAATAATACGTAAAAAAATTTTTGCTATTTTTCCCCCATGCTTCAATTGAAGTCCTGGGCACTCCCACCCATTGTGCTTGCTCTCCATACTAGAGCATGGTGTAGTGAAAAGAAAGTGTCCTTAAGGGTTGAAAGGACTTTTGGTTGAACCTTAGCTCTCCCACACAGTAGCACTAGATACCTTAATTGTTTCATGTTCAAAGCCAGTGGCTCCATCTGTAAAATAGTAAAAAATAGTATCTATCTCAAACAGTTGTATGACTAAGGTACGTCTTTTGTAGAAAAATCACACAATGAAGCCTGATACCGTTATAATGTCACTGTCATCGATTTGACTGCTCCTTCAATGCTGTGTTCTTTCTTCCGTGTGTTTCATATCCTTTTGCCACTCTGTCCAATCCACTATTTCAAACCTTCTCTACTCTCCCAACCCTTAATTAACCCACTTAGGTCTTCACTGTTAGCCAATGATGTCATATATAATTTTAGAGAGAAGTTAGAAGTCACTTCAACTTCCTGCCAAGGCCATAAAAATAAACCTGCATGTGTATGAATAACTTCTTCCCTACTTTTAGTCACTTAAAAAGTATCTCTTGAGTACCTTCTATAGGTCAGACACTGCTTTAGGCACTGGTGATGAAGCAGTGAACAAAGATACATTTCACGCCCTTATGGAACCTACATTCTAACGATGGTGTATTTTCAAAAGTATTCAACAAATAAATATGCAGTGTGTTGCCATGATGGTAAATGTTATGGAGAAAAATCCAGGAAGGTAAGGTGCAGGGAAAGCCGAGGGTAGTGGGGTTGCTATTCTATGTTGAGTCATCACAGACAGCCTCAATGATAAGGTACCATTTGTATAAAGACATCAAAAAGGTGAGAGATTTGCCTTGTCTTTTGAAAGGATCACTTTGGCTACTGTGTTGAAAATACACAAGAGGAGGCCAAAAAAAAAAAAAAAAAAACATAACAAAACACCAAAAAAAAAAACCCAACAAAAAGAAACCTGTTAAGAGGCTACTGCAAATCTATAAATGAGAGAGGATGGTGGCTTGGACCGGGGTGGGAGCAGGGAGCAGTGCGGCACATGAGTTCACATTGTGGCCATACTCTGAGGGTGAGGGTATAGAATTTTCTGATTGACTAGATGTGGCGTCCGAGAGAAAAAGAGTAGCCAAGGATGACACCAATGTTTCTGGCCTGAACAGAAGAGTGAAACTGTCATTACTGACATAAGAAAACTTTAGGACTAGAAGAACTGGGGAATTAAATGAGAAATCAGAAGTTTGTTTTCAGTTGTGTTGAACCTGAAATTTCTATTAGATGTCAAATAGGGAGCTGGAAATGTGTCAGGCGTTTATTAGCAAGCACCAGGCTAATATATTAATCTGAGAGCTGCGGCACTGGGGTGACACATAAAGTCACAGAACTCAATGAAATCCACGAGGGAATAAATGCAGGTATATAAGAAGAGAAGTCCAGGGATTAAGCTCTGGAACATTCCAATGCTTTGGCAGTCTAGGAGCTGAAGAGGAACCAGCAAAGGAGGCCAAGAAGGAGCTGCCAGTATGAATGGAAAATAAATATATTATTTCCATGAGAAAGGGGTAAGAATATTTTGGAAAGGAAATAATGCCATGTTGTATACAGGAAACTATGTGTAGTTAAGAACTACTAGAGTATAAAGTATAAAGTCAGAAATTGAGACAAGAGCTGCTATTGCTAGGCAGAAGAGACTGAGCTTTCCCCTGTGGGATATATGGAATCACAATAGATACAAGCAGTAGAGGGAAGGCGTTACATTGGTTTTTAGGAGGACCACTCCAGCTTCAGGGTATTGGATGAAGTTTTGTGGGGTTCTGGGAAGGAAAGGTAGGCCAGGCTGTAAACAGAAAACCTTAAGATGGTTTTCCAGTATGACCAGACAAACATTGCAAAAAGTAGATGATAGGCCATTAGGCACACAACTAAAATGAGAGAAACATAATTATCATTATAATATGCAAGTACAGACTAAAATTATGGTATTCACAAATGATCTGCTTGTTTTAAAATAACCAAATTACCAGGAGAAGAATACAATATCTCAGACAAGGGAGATGATGAAGACCCAGAATTAGAGCAGTGATAAACTGCCCATTAACTGACATAAGAAACAGATGACTCACAGTCTGGGGAAGGAGAAGGTGATGACGTCTGTTTTTGATGTTTTGTATTTGAGATGTTGGTGGAATTATCAAGAAGCTATGCTTGGCAGGGGGATACATAAGTTTGAAATTTAAGGGGGAGTTTAGAACTCAAAACAGATTTGGGAGTTATCAAAACAGAGGTTGTATGTAAACTACCAGAGTGGATGAGACTACCTATGATAGAAGTCAGTATTTTTCTTCAAACCTACTACTAGGGACAGGATGAGGGTAAGAGAGATGATGGAAAAGAAGCAAATATGGTAGGAGGAAGGAAAAAAAAAGACTGGGATAGAAAAAGAAGTGGAGAATAGAAGAAAAACAGGCAATAGATAGGCATTCTAAGCCAGGCATACCATTAATTCTGCGCAAACATCTGTGGTTTTTACCATCCTCTCCCAAGCCAAATAGCATATTTATTGGCTTTTTTGACCAAAGTTGCATTTCAAACTGATTACTTCAGTAAACAGTCTACAGTGATGCTTTTTTTTTTTAAACTTGGCTTACTAAAACTACACTGTTATTAGAGTTAGCAAAGTATATTTTTATTCAACAATGTACTGGGCTATACGCCAAGGATACAAAAATGAGTGAGACACAATTCTTTGCTCCAAGAACGTTTAACCAGGATGCATGATCCAGAAACAAACAGAATGATCTTTTCAACATGCAAATTTGATCCATCACTCTACTTAAAGCCCTCTGAAGCAGAGATTGCTAGTTGTCTCTCAGTAACCATATTTCTCTTCTTCTCTCATGTTTAACATGGTCATCGAGAAGAAAGGCTACACTCCCCCCTTCCTTGTGGGTAGATGTGGCCATATAACCAACTTCTAAATGTAAGTGGAAATGACGTCAGCAATGTCTAGAAAGTGTTCTTGAAGAGGAGGACATTTACTTCTCTTTCCTACTTTCTTTGGTCTGCTGGCTACAATGTAGATGTGATGGTTGGAACCGCAGAGTCCCCCTTAGACCAAGAGGGGACCTTGGAAATGGAGGCTACACGTGGCAGAGAAACAAGATAGAAGGAGTGTGGGCACCTGGAAGCTGTGGACTAGCTACAGACTTTTTGAATGCAGAGAAGATTAGCTAAGCCATTATTTTGTTGTTGTTGTTTCTGGTGGCTGATAACCAACTAATACACCTTTAATGTGATAATTATCATAGAATTATGTCTACCTTCTAGCTCTATTTTATTATCTATCTTTGTCTACCTATCCATCCATCCTGATGTCTGACTCTAAAGTGGAAATGGAATTCATAACAGATTCAATACAGAAAATGCAGTGCTTATCTGGTGAAAACACTAATATTTCCAGGTGAAAATTCAAGTATTTATTAACAGAAATACTAATTTTTTTAATCTAAAAAGTCACTAAACTCAATAAGTTTGCAACATTAAAATAAAATTCGTTCTTCAATAATACATCAGTATTATTGATTTCTATTATTAGAATAATTTCGTTAATATTTTAACTTACTTCTTTTGAAGGATTCATTGGTAATGTAAAGATAGTTTTCCAGTATGACCAGACAAACATTGCAAAAAGTAGATGATAGGCCATCAGGCACACAACTAAAATGAGAAAAACATAATTATCATTATAATATGCAAATACATACTAAAATTATGACAGTCACAACCGATCTGCTTGTTTTAAAATAACCAAATTACCAATTATAATACATTATGAAAGTTCCTTTACTTTATACTAGAATAAACACAACTCAACGAATTTATTTCCAAAGCCAAGAGTTTTTTACAAAAATTCCTAAATGCATAATGAGATCTATGCCCATGAATAAAAGCCTCCCATCTGTAGACAGACCATCTATTGGCAAAATCACTAACAAGGACCTTTTCTAAATTGTAAAAATGAGGCAGTTACGCCTCCAAATTTAAACAGCAAACACAGCATTAAAAACAAGTGTTAAAACACTCAGGCTTTAAGAACTTTGCTTTACTGACACAGATAACAAAGGCAGTTCCTATTTGAGAAGCTGTTTGCTTATTTGCTTGGCTCTAGTCAAAGCTGGTGTAATGATAACACATTTAAATGGAGAACATCTGGACAAAGAGATTTCCTTCAGTGGGAGTTCAAGTGTCTTATTTATTACATGGGACAATTGTTTTAAAAAAGTGTTCTGAATACTTTTTTCAGTAATGCATATAAACACACTCTGGGTGGTGTTATAAAGTCTTGAAATACTATCCAAAATTTTCTTTTCTTTTCTTTCCTTTTTTTTGAGACAGGGTCTCACTCTGTCGCCCAGGCTGGAGTGCAGTGGCTCACTGCCACCTCCGCCCCCTGGGGCTCAAGCAATCCTCCTACCTCAGCCTCCTGAGTGGCTGGGATTACAGGCATGCCCCACCTCACCTGGCTAATGTTAGTATTTTTCTTTTTTTTTTTAAGTAGAGACAGGGTTTCACCATGCTGGCCAGGCTGGTCTTGAACTTCTGACCTCAAATGATCTGCCCGCTTTGGCCTCCCAAGGTGCTGAGATTACAGGCATGAGCCACTGTGCCCGGCCCAAATTTTAAATATTAATTTTCTATATGGTGATAATGCTTCCTTCTGGGTAATACATTAATACACAATTTAATTCTGTAAGATATCATTGAATAAAATATGCTAATTTAAATATAGCATATTTGGCATTTTAAAACTTTAATAGCAATTTTAAATTTTTCTAAAGAATGAGGATACTCATAGAATCATTAAAAATTTGAATTATTCAATAAGGCACTTAAATCGGTGTGAGATGACTAAAGCCAACAATATTTTTCATAAATTATGTAGGTGACTCAGTTATAAGTTCATAATCTGAATTAGGAAAGGAAATTGTTGATATCCCTATACCTCAAAGCCTTAAGAATCTCTGGCACAATGACAGCCATTTCAGGATAGAATTCTTTGCCAAGGGTCTGACAGAATTCAATCTGCAAACTTAAGAGAAATGAGACATCTTTAACCCTAGCTTGTCTCCACATTCTCAAACAACAATTTATTAATCCCAACCAAATCTAAGTGAATACAATTTTTTTTCAAACTATTTAAAAAATCTATAACATTAATATAATCTAGCTTACCTTGTTCGCCAGTGTTTTCCATGGACACTGTAAAGAGAAAAAAAGGTAATAGGTTACATGAAGCTTATGGCAAACGGGGCTTGACACAGACATAAGGCATTTAAGTAGCTTAATAATGTGGCTTCCCTTCAAACCAACATTCTCTAAATATTTATTCAACTTTATTTGGAGGAGAGGTGAGCACAGTGTGGAGAGGGTGCAGGAAACGGCTGGAGGCTGCAGTCAGCCATGCCTCCATTGCGCACTTCAGCCCTGGCTCCTGTCCTGCGGAACAAAACTTGTCAAGTGTGCCCCTTGCGGGTCTTATTTCTGTATCATTTGGTTGACTGGTTTTCCTTCCAACTATAGAGTTCAGATAAAAGCAATGCTCTCCAGGTCATTACATTTCCGCAGGCATTTATTGCTCTTGATAAACTGGCAACCACCTGGTGAGCTTTCCACAAAGAATAAAATGTGTCCACAGCACACACTTTTTTTCCCCCTAATTTCTAAAAGTACAAATGCTTATGCACAGTGACTTTACTTGCTCCCTGTTGCACAACGAAAGGCCAGGCAGTGCTGGGAAACTGCCACTCCTCAGCGGCTGTTGTAAATATTCCAAGCTAGCAGGTATTATAGATGAGGACAGGGGCCACAAGCACTAAAGCAAGCTGCGGCAAGAAGTTGTATTTAGTAATCAAGACATATGTACGCCTTTTGTATTGTCTATTTGTTTTCCCATTTGGTCTCTCTCTTTGTACTAGAGTCTTTGGAAGTTTTGCCCTATCTCAGCTGTAGCAAGTCTGACTTTGTATATTTTTGTCCTTATTCAGCTTTTCAAAAGGGCACGGGACCTCAGGCCTTGGTGCTGGAATGAAATGCGCTGCCTTCTGAAGCCTGGAACCAGAGGGTAGTGTGAGAAATTTTTAAGATTGCTCAGTCCAACCAATCTCCTGCCCAAGAGAGCTACCAAATATAAGTTCAGGCATTTCTAGAGCTAGCAGAAGCCCGTAGTTTCTTGGAGGGCAGCCCGTTCCACTGTTGGATTGCCCTAAGAATAAGAAAATTCATCCTTCCAGGGTGTTGAAATTGGCTGCTTTGTGACTTTTACCTGTGATACTGAGGCTTCCAAACCATAGCAACAAACAGAAGATCTAAATGACAGATCTTCACATATTTGATGTTATAGTGTCCCCCTTAAATGTTCTAGTTTACACCAACTAATATATGGTTTCCAGATCTCTTACTAACGTAGATGTGGCATCTGTAAATGCTTCCTAGGTTCTCCACTCCTTTTAACATTTCTGATCTCCAGAATGAGACAGGCAGGCCTGGATGACCTTCGATTTACAAATGGCCTGTTCTCCAAGTCCGCTTGTAAGTCAGAGGCTAGTCAGAGTTTGCTTTCTCATAGAATCCCTGAAGCAGCTCATCTGAGGGCACAGGAGAGGCTTGAGGCAAGCCTGTTTTTTAATATCTGAACCTACCGCCACAGGTATGCATTTCTTTCTAGACACTGACTACACCCTGTCTTCAAAAGTGCTCCAAAATTGACAACTCTTTTCTGGATCAAAATTTCCAATCCTTCAGTGGAGCCAATCTAAGGAAAGGAAAAGCAATTTGACTCCATTTGTGCATTTATATATGAATGACCCTTACTGACCATTCCAGAGGTGCTGGTGCTTGCATACAAATGTGTTTGCTACTCCACTGACTCGAGTGGAGAGAACTGAAAACTAAGACAAAGTGACATTTTTGAAAAAGGTATAGTTAGGGGCTGGGCACGGTGGCTCACACCTGTAATCCCAACATTTTGGGAGGCCAAGGTGGGTGGATCACCTGAGGTCAAGAGTTCAAGACCAGCCTGGCCAACATGGCAAAACCCCGTCTCTACTAAAAATACAGAAAATTAATCAGGTGTGGTGACACGCGCCTGTAATCCCAGCTACTTGGAGGCTGAGGCAGGAGAATCGCTTGAACCCGGGAGGCAGAGGTTGCAGTGAGCCAACATCACGCCACTGCGCTCCAGCCTGGGCAACAGAGTGAGACTCTGTCTCAAAAACAACAACAAAAAAAAAGGTGTAGTTGGTACGAGTTGCTAATCTTTTTGACCTGGACCACTACTCTATAAGCCTGATATGCATTCAAAGACTTTGTTTTTAAAGCTATTATTATTATTATTATTATTGCCATTCACAGTTTGCTTTTCCCTAAATGTAATTCAAAATCCACAGATGTTCTATTTTTTTAAAAGTACACAACTTACACATAAATTCATCTTTATAGTAAATAATTGTGTAACATTTGTAGAATGAAAGGGATCAGTTCAAAAGGCTGTATCCAATTACACTTTCGCCAAGATTATGAGCCGGTTCAATTTCCTGTAAACGTAACTCTGTTTAATTTTTGTCGACATCATAGGCCTAAATAAAAATCATTATTTTAGCATTCATTTCCCTTATTATTAGTGCAGTTTGGCATTATTTTTAAAACACTATGATTGGGATTTCCTTTCTCTTCTATGTGAATGATTATTTTCCTATTGGCCTACTTAGTTACTGAGAGCCTTTTATATATTCTGGACAGAAATCTCATATCTGTTATATATATATTGCAAATAAAACTGCATATAGCTATTTTAAATGATTTAATAAGTACTAGCAACATTTTTATCACTTGCCACTGATTAAGTAACATTATCAAAGTTTGCAAATTAACTTATTTCATTAACAGATATATGGACTATGCAAGGTTTTGCTTTGTGATACTCAGGAAATGAATGTTCTTTCAACCATGGTTACTTAATTAGTAAATCAGTGATTTACCTTGTAATTTTCAGTTTAATGGCAGAGTTGTCAAGTTCAAAGTTTCCTTTCTCACAGAGTAAAAACACATAAAATACAAAGTTATTGTCAAATGCAAATATTTTTGTTCAAAAGTAACTGTTCAAGAAAAGATTGCTCAAATTTAGCCTCAAACACTTTTCTAATATTTATGTATATAAAGATAACATATGAAAAATAGAGACTCATTTTTGAAACAATATAGATGGTAATCAAATATAATTTGATTATTTATAACAATACAAAAACTAAATAGCAATACTGAACATAATTGGGACAGGTCTTCTAAAAATAACTATTGGTTTTAATGTGGATTTTGAGTTTTAATCCAGGATTATTTAATTTTCTTACTTCACAGACAGAATTTCAATTTGTTTGATTTAACAATGATGCTGATACCTATTCTTCAATTTTTACCATAGAGAAATTTCAAGTGTTGTATAGCCTTCTTTATCTCATTTCCTTTAAACCAGTTATTGAGATAAATTAATAGTTATTTCAATTTTTGTCAACAGAAAACTGAGGTTTACTCAGTTTTTACTAAAGCAAATGAGCTTTATTCTCAAAGTCACGACGAATAGCACATTAATTCTACCTTAGAAATTCTTTTATTTTCAATTTAAACATTTCCTGCCTGTAACAAAAACGTTACAACTTCCAGCTCTGCTGGATCATATTAAAATTAATTCCTCATTAAAGCACAAGAACTGGCATAGAGCATCTGCCCCATTAATGTTTACTGAGTAAGAGACTGACTTAGACAAACAGACCATGACAACTAATTTGAATCACATAAAACTGGTATATCAAAGCGGACATATGAGAAGTATTCATTTTTCTTTTGTGGGCATGAAAAACTCAAGAGAAAAGTTATTTCTATTACCATGTTAGCTTAGCACACCATAGCACTCAACTGATAGTTGAAAAAAGCGAAAGTAATCTCTTCTGTGAGGTGAAGAAAACACTTCTCTAAAGAGAGGAGAGAGGGAGAAGACAAAATGGTTCCTGTTCCTTTAAAAAGGAAAAAGCTGAGGGAGATACTGGCTTCAACTGGGCTTCAAGCAACTTTGAAGACAGACAGGGTCTATAAGTTCACAGGGTTCCCTCCACCCCCAGCTTGGTTTTGGTTCTTCCTTAGTATTGTACTTTTTTATAGTTGAATTTGTCAAAATGGAAAAGAGATTATTACTAAGCATAATAGCACCAAAGAGCAATGGCTGGGGATAAAGAAGGCAAGGTCCAATCCTGCCTCTGCCACTTGCTGGCTTACATAAGCTATCCCACTTATTCCACTACAAAATGAGGGTGATTGCTGCAGCAGTAGCATTAGGGCTGTAGCGAGAATTCAAAGGGACAATAAAACAATGTACTTAACACAGTGCCTTGTGTAGAGTAAGCCCCATGAATGTACAATTATAATATATCATCTTTCATCTTGATAATATTAACTGTAATGTATAACGTATAGGAAAGGGGGCTAAACAAGGAAGACAAATTACAAAGAGAAAAGTAATATTTGTACAGGCTCCTGAAAGAAATAAATGCAAAATGTTGAACAAAAATAGACTTGGCGAGTGAAAATAAAAGGTGAAAAATAATGTAAATCTGAATTATCTTATAAGTCAATTGCCTTTTTAAACGGATGTGTCATTTCAGAAACTTGTTTAAACCAAAAAAGTGGTCTTCATTCTTAACACAGAGTAATGATGAGATGTTAAAACTTCGATCTTGATGTGCCAGTTAGTCCTTTTGAGAACTTAAATGTGAAAGAATCTATTTTGGATAGGCACTGTTTAACTTAATGAATAAAAACAATTACTTTAAAAAAAAATAAAGACCTAAATCTTATAATCACCCCAAAGAAGTTAGGTGCAGTTTATTCCTGGGAATTAAAAGCATTGCTATTATTACACTAAAATATTTACCAATCCTACATCTGGTGGATGGCACCATTCATACCATCTAAATACACACAATAGGAACACTGTGAATCACAATTTTAATTTTAATTTCAAACACTTATTTGCCTCATTTTATCTTGGATTAGCCTAATTTCTTTTTGGTCCATGCCCTACAATGATAATATTTTGCTTTAGCAATTTCTAATCTTCCAATATACCTCCAGAACTTCAAGTTCCTCTGTGATTAATTGTGGGAACTGCAGCACTTTCTTGGCCCTGACGGTATATAGGAAGAGAGAAAGTGAAAAAGGTAAATTACTACTATAGTTACCAAGAATGTTCCTGTTTGCCAAAAGTAAAATTATGGCCTTCAGGAATCACATTTTGGGCTGGGCGGCCCACGCATGAAATGCCAGCACTTCGGGAGGCCAAAGTGGGAGGATCACTTAAGGCCAAGAGTTGGAGATCAGCCTGGACAACACATTGAGACTGTGTCTCTACAAATAAACTTTTTTTTTTAGCTGGGTGTGGTGGCACTGCCTGTGGTCCCAGCTACTTGGGAGACTGGGGGCAGGAGAACTGATTGAGCCCAGTAGTTCAAGGCTGCACTAAGCTATGATCACATCACTGTACTCCAGCCTGTGCGATAGAGTGAGACCCTGTTTCTTAAAACAAAAAGAAGAAGAAATAAAGAAAACAAAAAAAGAACTTCATCTTAAAATCTAGAACCATCATCGATGCTACAAAGCTTGTAGATTGGGTCACCAGTTGTATTATCTGGCTGCGCTTTACGCTCACCCCCTCCACCGCCACTGATCATTCCCGTAAGAAAGACAGGACAACCAGGCACAGTGGCTCAAACCTCTAATCCCAGCACTTTGGGAGGCCAAGGTGAGAGCATAGTTTTGAGGCCAGGAGTTTGAGATTGGCCCGGGCAACACAGTGAAACATCATCTCTACAAAAAAATTTAAAAATTAGCCAGGCATAGTGGTGCCCACCCATGGTTCCAGCTACTCGGGAGGCTGAGGTGGGAAGATCACTTGAGCACAGGAGGTCGAGGCTGCAGTGAGCTGTGATCCTGCTACTGCATTCAAGCCTGGGCAACAGAGCGTGACCCTGTCTCAAAAAAAAGAGAGAAAGAAACAGAGTAGGACAACATATAAAAAGGCTGAACTAATCAGTCCTCAGTTTAGAATTGGTAAGACTGATAAGAGTGACAGTTTTTTGTTATAACATTAATTGTTTTTTAAGAAATCCTTGTGTAAAAATAAAACAGGTAAAATTGAAGTTAAAGAGTGAGACTGTCAAAGTAATAACCCATAATATAGAAAAGGATGACAAACTGCTCCTTAATCCAACCTGGCTTGAATGAAACATCCTTTCAAATGTATACCTCCCTTATCTCTTTTGACTGAACTACCAAGCAATCATTTAATCCTAGAACCCTTGGTCCAAACACAGCTAGATGCCTGTTTCTATAAATAAAGTTTTATTGAAACATGTATGCATCCATTCACTTACATGGCTACTTATGTGCTACAATGACAGAGTTAGGTAGCTGAGACAGGGAAAGTATGGACTGCAAAGCCTAAAATATTTACTGTTTAGCCTTTTATGAAGAAAGTATTCCAGCCCTATGTATTAGTCAGGGTTCTCCACAGAAAAAGATTTAATAGGATGTGTGTGTATGTGTATATATAGATACTATATATTAATATAGTCTAGAATGATTTATATATATTAATTTAGTCTAGAATGATTTAAATTCAACCTTGATTAAAAGCAGGAGATCATCTCAACGGTTATTCCACTCGTACATTTTTTACCAATTGATTATTTAAAAATTGGCTTTGGTGATTATTATTAAAGTGTTACTGTCCTAAATGGTATCTAATGAGATACAGCAGCCTAGTAAACTGATGGTAACTTAAATCTAGTTGAACTTTTAGTCATAAATATATCCAAAATTCAAGCTTTCAGATACTTACATGGCTACTTGTGTGCTACTACACCTTCATAATAGACAAAAAATGAACTCCCCCTTTTGACTTAGCAAAGAACAGTAAAGTGTTTCTAAAACAATGTGATTTTGGGGTATTTTATTGCAAATGTATATTGCTGTGATTTTAACATTTATTTTCTTAATCTGAATTTTCTTTTTCTTGTCTTCAAATTCAATCTCTCTCCTTTGGAGGAATAATTTACCTTTATTGCTCATACACACTAACTTTTCAATATAAAACCACTATGCAATTTCCAGCCTAGCCTCAGACATCTGATAATGAAGAATACCGCCCCCCACCCCCACACACACAAACACACACACACACACACACACAAACACCCCAAAACAGAGACTTGGTCCTAATGGATGAATCTGAAGGATAACTTTATAGCCAAGCTCTACATTTTTTCTGTTTATCTTTAACTCATTTATTGAGAAACATTAATTGACTATACTGTGCTTACACTGTTGAGAACAAAATGGTAAATAAGACTCTACCTCTGTGCTGAAGCTTAGCATTTATGATATCATTTTAGTTAGAAGTAAAAACTAACTGAAAAAACAAGGATGTAGTTATGAAAACATTTTCAGTTAATTCACAGAAGTAGCTCACATTCAAAAGATTATGACAAAAATACTTTATGCTTTAATATCTTTACAATATGCTTTAACATCTCCTGTCCCAACAAAGTCTGTCCCCTGACTTCATGTCTCTAGCTGCCATCCCACTTTCTGGCCTTTTCACAGGAAAATTTAACAATCATCCAAAATCACTCTCTCTACCCCCAACCTCCTTTTACCTCCTCATCCAACTCCAATTGGTCTAATTCCCCAGCATTCCACTGCAATCACCCGTGTCAAGGTCACCAACACCCTCCCTAAGCTAATTTTCTGTACTCAAATTACTCTAACAGAATTAATTATGCTCTTCTTTTGGAAAAAGTCTGTCAAATTCATAGAGAATTCTTTGACAAAATTGGCCAGGGGAACCCCTTGAAGCCAAATCCTTTGTCCTTTTAGCTACTTTCCAAAAATCTCTGGTTCATTTTTAGTGTATTAGAGGTCAAAAGTGACACCCCTTCCAGACCTTATTTAATGACATGCAAGAAAAATATGTTATTCACGTTAACATTTTCAGTTTAATTGCAATGGTACCCTTTTCTTCCTAATACATTTTTGAATTTATTTTCTTTATAACCTATCTACTTATATATTTTTACATATTATATTTTTTATTATACTTTAAGTCAAACTGTTTCTTTTTTTTTCTTTGTTGTCCTTATATGTCATTGTGATTTTATTGATAACTCAAAACGCCTGCCTTTCTCTCCAAACTCACCTCACACGTCTTTCCTCTTGTGCATGATGCTTCTGTCACTCTGGGCTTTCTTGTGTCTTAACCAAGCTAACATTGTACCCTCCCTTGATCCTCTGCACTGGCAGTGAACTGGGTGGTAGGAGACCTGGACTCCAGCCCAATCCTCCCAATATGTGTGATCTTGATCACGGCACTCAGCTGAGCGGCGCTTTAATTTTACTGTTTAAACTAAAATTTGCACTTTATCTTGAAGGTTTCTCTGGCTATAAAATTATCTTAAATCCTACCGTGATGTATTCTCGGTGAAAAAATCTTGACTTTTGAAGACCTAAGGCAAAAGTCATTCTAACAACAAACTGATCAGTAAATAAGCAGGAACTGCTTTGTCAAGGACAGATAAGTAGCTTCAAAATAGAAGCAAAGGTTAGCAATAAGTCTTCGATGGTGCAAAACTTGAATTCCAAACACAGGGTTTTCAGTTTGTACTTTCTCAGTTAACATACAAGCCAGTCCTGATATTCCTAACAGTCTACTAACCACAAACACGGGGCAAGGCAATCGACTACCTCAATGGATCCCCACACAATTCCCTGAAAATTCATTTTGCAATAAGAAAACCATGATCTCATTTAAAATGCAATTCAGTGATATCATCTCACTAAGAACCCTCCCAAGGCTCTGCACTCAATTTACAGTAAAATAAAGTCCAATCTCCTCACTTCAGCCTCAGTGGTCAAGCATGATCTGGCTCTTCCTCTCTGTCCTCCAAGACCACTTCTGGTCACTAGTCCCTTTGCTCACTAAGCTGCAGCCACACTGAGCTCCTGTTTCAAAAACACACCAAACCTTAGCGTCTTTGCCCAGTCTGAAAAGCTCCACACCTGACTCCACGCTTGGCTCCTTCTTTCTCTTCCTTCAGGGTGCAGTTTAAATACCAGCTTTTCCTGTCTAGTCAGACACTATGGCAATACATTATTCGTCTCTTAGCATCTCACACAACCTGTATTTTCATTTACTTGTGTCTTTTCCATGACCCTCACTGAGGTTTGAATCCTGTGTGATGTTTTACGTTGAACAAGTTATTTAGATTCTCTGAACATTATCTCAATGTTTATCTCACCGAGCTCTTTTGAGAATTAAACTAGAAGGTAAAAGCACCTAGAATAGAATTTGGCGCATTATTAAGGTCTGTTCATCAAATATGGAGGATAAATTCATCACCAAACTGTGACATGTTAGGAGTAGGAGTTTCCTAAAGTTTAGTGCTAGCAGTTTATTAACAATCTAGGGGAAGAAGTGCATAGTGAATAATTAGCATGTAGTAACGCTAAAATTTTCTGCAGCGTGAAATGCCAAGTTGTTAGGAATAAACTGCTGGAAAGCCTTTTAAGCGTGAATAAGCAGAAAAATGCAAATAAATTACAATGTGGGTGAATTAGTAGAATGAGAAAAAAACTAAACCAGTAAATTTTTAAACTTTTGCCCTACGTCTCCCAGAGCTCCTTTCCTGTCAACCCCACCCACACCTGCAACCCACAACGCCCTGTCCAGATTCTAACAGGGCTTGGCATGCATTGGTCCTATGCCAACGCCCTATGGAGTCTGATGATTTCCCCAGCCTCTACCTCAGAACACATCTCTAAACAGCTATACTGAGCTAAACTATGCTAGAAATTATCAAAGAACGATGGAAAATGGCCCAGAAATTACTGGCAACCTTTTCCTGAAGAATAGCACAATGTGACTGGGTGCGGTGGCTCACATCTGTAATCCCAGCACTTTGGGAAGCTAAGGCAGCTGGATCGCTTGAGCCCAGGAGTTTGAGACCAGCCTTGGCAACATGGTAAAACTCTGTCTCTACTAAAACAAACAAACAAAAAAAACCCCACAATTAGCTGGGTGTGGTGGCGCACACCTGTGATGCCAGCTAGTCAGGAGGCTGAGGTGGGAGGATCCCTTGAGCCCAGGAGGCGGAGGCTGCAGTGAGCTGAGATAGTGCCACTGCACTCCAGCCTGGGCAACAAAGCCAGACTATGTCTCAAAAAAAAAAAAAAAAAAAAAAAGAATAACACAATATCAAACACAAAAATGAACAATACTAAGTTAAAGCATATAAACCAAGATATGGGAAGTCTCTTAAGGGTAGGTTATGACCCAAAAGATTTGCTTTCTGTGCTTTGGCCTCTAGATCAGCCATCAAAAGCTTCTGCATAACACTATTAACAATATAACAAAAACTAGTGACTGTGTGTTAAGGGAAGCCTACTGAGTGCAACATCCAAACATATCTCCCTTCCAGCACAGTAGACTCGAGGCTGCCCTGATTTTCCTCCCTTACCTGCTGGGCTATGAGATCAGGTGTTCATCGCATTCCAAGTCTTCGTGATAATACCTGTATTTGCTACAGCTGTCATAACAAAGTATCACAGACTATGGGCCTTAAATAGAAATCTATGTTCTCACATTTCTGGACTCTAGAAGATGGAGATAAAAAATTTTTTTTAAATTATAAATTAGCAGGGCATCGTGGCATGCACCTGTGGTCCCAGCTACTCAGCAGGCTGAGTCAGAAAGATTGATTAAATCTGGGTGGTCGAGGCAGCACGAGCTGTGATTACGCCACTGTATTCCAGATTGGGAGACAGAGCAAGACCTTGTTAAAAAAAAAAAAAGAAGAAGAAGAAGAAAAAGAATAGAGCACAAATTGAGGTGCCGGCAGGGTTGGTCTCTTCCTAGGTCTCTCTCCTTTGCTTGCAGCGACCACCTACTCTCTGTACGTTCACATCATTTTCCCTCGATGCCTCTCTGTATCCAAATTTCTTCTTTTAAGGACAGCAAGTCACGTTGGATAAGGGATTACTCTGGTGACTTCGTTTTAACTTAATTATTTCTTTAAAGACCCTTTCTCCAAATAAATTCTGAAGTCCTGGAGTTCAGGACTTTCACCTAAGAATTTTGGAGGCACAGAATATAGCTTGCAGCATCCTCCAAAATCAGACTGCAGCTTTACAGGAGCATTTGTTGAATGCTCTCTATGCCAGGGATTTGTGCTCAATTCTTTTTCTTTCTTTCTTTCTTTTTTTTTTTAAGACAGGGTCTTTTTCCGTCTCTCAAGCTGGAATGCAGTGGTGCAATCACGGCTCATGCTGCCTCGACCACCCAGATTTAATCAATCTTTCCGCCTCAGCCTCCTGAGTAGCTGGGACCACAGATGCGTGCCACCATGCCCTCCTAATTTATAATTTTATTTTTTTTTGTAGCGATAGCATCTCCCTTTGTTGTCCAGGCTGTTCTTGAACTCCTGGGCTCAAATGATTCTCCCACCTCAGCCTCCCAAAGTGCTGGGATGACAGGCATGAGCCACCGCACCCGGCCTTGTGCTCAATTCTTTGAATGTTGATCTCATTTAAACCTTACAACAATCTGTGAGGTTGGTATTATTATCATTTCAAATGCTGAGAAGACAGTCTCACAGAGGTATAACTTCTAACGTCATCCAAGTCATGATGGGATCTACATATAGGCCTGTTTGGCCCCAAAACTCATACAAGGATTCTGTGTGGCCTGCCAGGATCTGTGACATCGGATGCCTCGCAGCCACTGGGCTGCTTTGTCCTGGGCAGCCGTTCTCTTCCTTGCTTTCTCTCAGTTCTTGGTCTGTGCTTGATACTCTTGCCACTCCCTGTTACTTCTGATCTGGGTCACTCTAGAAAGTAGGGTTTAAAATGTCCTCTTCTGGTCACCCTTGCTCCACCAACCAACTTAAAACCTCTGCAAACATAATTTTACAAACTTTGGATACAAAAAATTCAAATATTTGGCCATATTTCAGGGCACTACCTGAATATGGACTTTCCTAACCATCCCACTTCAAGAATTTGGGGAGGAACCGGGCTCTGGGTTCCTAGAGCAACAGTAAAATGGTGATACTAGAAAGAGTAAGAGATGGGATAGGCTTCCTGACCTCCATCCAAAGCAGAAGAAAGGAGGAACGATAATTACTCCAATTTGTACTACACAGGCACACTCCTAAAACACATTTCTCACATGCAGACACTGACATTAAGAGAGACAGAATATGGATCTCTCCTGGTTGGTAGCTCTTAATCCTTACGTTTATAAAAGTCTCCAGGTTATAAGTGTTACTCAGCATTTCTTTATTATTATAATTTACTGCATTAAGAAGACTTGAGATCTACTCTCTGAAATAACTGTAAGTGCATAATACCGTATGGTTGAGTATAGGCACGTGGATGTAGAGCCGATCTCTAGAACTCATTCATCTAACGTACCTGAAACTTTGTACCCACTAAACTGCAGCCCACTCCCCATCTCCTTCTCCCTTCAGCCCCTGGCAACCACCAAACGGTCTCTCTTTCCTTTAGCTGACTATTGTAGATACCTCTGTTGTGCTTGAGCGAGTTAGAGAAAACGCCACACTTTGAGACGAATTAAAAGTCCGTATATTTAGCCGGCGGCCAAGAGAGAGCTAACGCTCAGTTCTCTCGGCCCTGAAAAAGGGGCTAGATTTTCTTTTATACTTTGGTTTAGAAAGGGGAGGCAGGGTCTAGTTAAAACAATTTTACAGAAGTAAAGTAGGCAAAAAAGTTAAAAGGATAAATGGATACAGGAAAGTAAACAGTTCCAGGTGCAGGGGCTTTAAGACTATTAACAAGGTGATAGACGCGGGGCTTTGGGCTTTATCAATCGGACGAATTCCTGGGAACTGCGGATATAGTTCGCCACAGTAGCTGATCAGTTAATTGCATTCTTGGATGTGCTGGGAGTCAGCTTGCACAAGTTAAGTCCTTGAGGAAGGGGCTGCCAGTGAAAGAACCAAGATGGAGTCTGTCTGGCTCTCTTAGCCAAAGGAGAGTCAACTCAGGTGCAAACAAGGCTAGGTGATTAAAGGAAAGGGAGAGTCTAAAAACAGGGTTAGTAAAAACAAGGTTGGGCATTACACCTCATACAAGCAGAAGAAGGCAGTATCTGTCCTTCTGTGACTGGCTTTTTCTCATGTAGCCCAATGTCTTCCAGGTTCATCCATGTTGTCACACGTGGCGGAATTCAACATCATTTCTGTAGCAATTTGATGACCAAATCATTGCTCTAAATAGCTAAGCAGCTCTACTCGACAGAAACAGATGGTGTAAAATCTAACTTATCTAATTGAAGGCTGGGTAAACATTCACGGAATGTTTGTATTTAAATCATTAGGAATGTGTCGGTCTTTCAATCTATCAGTTCTGAAAAAGGAATAAAGACGTCACCTCATAATGATGGCCATGAAAAACTCACTGCCACTTTCATCTTGGCAAAGGGAAGGACCATTTCTGAATCACTGACTGCACTAAGCAATGTAGATAAATAAGGAAATCTGATCTCAGGGCTGGCCCCCTGATCTTAGTGTCCTCATTTCAAAGCTTACTCAATGGAATCCTATAATCCCTGTCTCAAATTAAAATAGAAGAGGCTCCTAGTGCCAGCAAGTTGTGCAGATTTGAGGGCAGCTGTAAGTTTACTTCTCCTGTTTAGATAGAGTTGTATGGGTGTTTCCTTTTCTACACATGGCTACAACTCAACTCCAAGTTCCTACAACCACTGAATTGTTTCAGCCCCACCCCCCTCCTTTCCAATTCCAGATTCCCTTCTTGAGGAAAGACCACAGAGGCCATGACTGACTCAGTAGAACCATGTAAGTCTATGGTGGATACTACACCCTCAACAACGATCTGCCTGCTTTCCACATAATGGCTATTTACCACCCAGGGGAATGTCAACTAGGGATTTATGTCCTGAAATACTCCCCTTATTAGTCAGAACCAAAATTTTAGAATTGGAAGTGCCTCAATGATTATTTTGCCCAATGTAACACTCAACTTTCTTATATATGTGTGGATGTATTTATTTATTGGTAGCATGCAAAACGTCCCACATGTATATTGGTTATTTCATCATTTAAAAAATATATACAATCAAGTTGAAACAATTTTTGTAGAGTATTTTTTAATGTCCTTACATCAGTTTCTTATTATCTGGTATACTCAGAATTATCATAAAGGACAATGCTGAGAGTTCCTTATTTTTCATGACCAAACGTTATTAGCTGTTTGATTTATTAAGGAGAAAAACCAATGCATCTTTTCTGCATCTCCAAGGAAACAGGCAACGTTCTAAAACCATCTAGCAGGGTTAGCAGCTATATGTTGAGTACTATATGACCAGAGTACAGGCACACGTAACACATTTAAAAATTAATCCAATTATTTCTAGGTTCATAAAATTATTTGACACTTATGAGTACTTTACAACTCTCCAGAGAAAGAAACTATATAAGGATGTAATTCCTACATTTGTGTTTATGAGCTCATTGGAATAAAATTTACAGTGGCACACCGGAAGAGATGAAATCAAATATTTAAACCAACACTAGCACCAGCAGTAATTGCTGCACGATAGCACTGGGTCACAATATCTATTAAAACATTCGAGAGTATCCAGCTATTCACTAGCTCACCCTTCAGTATTGGGTCACTGAGAAGCACTATTTTCTTCTGTAACTTCACTGTCATATATTCATAAAGTAAACATACACAATCTTTCTTGATCCCAGCTGGAATTATACAATGCCTTTCTCTTCTTACTTGCAGCAAATCATACTCTCGCCCAACACTGCATTCACCTACAGCACTAGCCCAATCTCTCTGACAGCAATTGCTGAAACAGTATGTGTATTCAGTCACAACCAAAATAAATCTGACATTGTCATTATCTGGCCACCCACAGTTGAAAGATTTCCATGACTACTGCCTAAAGACACAACATATTGTAATAGTGTAATATTATACAAGTACCACCTGTTTATATACTAGATGTATTCATTAATGTAAGTGAGAAGTTCTAAAAAAAAATTATGCAAGGAATTGAAGAATCCAGTCATCAATATTTGGAATGAGTCTCTTCCTCTGCTCCATGTGTAAACTGCATCTCAGGTTTCCCGCCTGTATCTCTCCCCTCATTTTATGTATGGATTTATGCTTTCTCTTACTAAAATCATTTCACTTACTCTGGATCTTTGGGCAAAACAGAAACCTTGCTCTTCATTTATAAATCATGTTCAGTCCCTGTGCTGCGGATCAGAATCGAGTTCATGATTGACACCATGCACTCACATGTATTCACGATGCATTCACGGCATACTTCCCCTCCTTCCCACCCACTCCTCTTTATCAGTTTGCGTACCATTTCCATCTGCTAATATGTTCTTTCAAGATTTAATTTCCATCTGTCATTTCTGTGCTCTGGACTCTGGCTACTCAAAAACTGTTGTTGAATTCCTGCCTATATGCAGTAAGCTAGAGGCCCTCGAGTTTTCTGCCCTGGGCATGCCCGATGACCAGCACTCTCATAAGGAACACACTACCCAGTAATGAAGGCCACCATATGGGCAACATGGGATTCTTCACAATCCCCTGCCCATCAGCTTTTCTGCTGAACCATGAAATGGCAAGATGGTAAAAAAAAAAAAAAAAAAAATTGCTGCAGTGACACTGATACATCTCATGGATACCTCTAGAGACCTTCAAATTTGGACATGTTTACAAGGGCATATACAGGCTTCTCTGGGTGACACCTGCATCAAAAATCACCTGCTCCAGAAAAACCGTATGGTGTCCTCAAAAAATTAAACACAGAATTACCATATGACTGACCAATTCCACTCTTAGGTATCTACCAAAAGAATTTAAAGCAGGGACTCAAACAGGTATTTCTGTATACTGTTCACAGCAGCATTATTCAGAATAGCCAAAAAGGTAGAAACAACTCAAACCCCCATTAATGGATAAACAATATCTGATATATACATGCCACGAAATATTATTCAGCCTTTGAAAAAATGAAATTCTGACACATACTACAACACAGGTGAACTTTGAAAAAATGAAATTCTGACACATGCTACAACACAGGTGAACTCTGAAGATATTACATAAGTGAAATAAACTAGATTCAAAAGGACAAATATTGTATGATTCCACTCATAGGAGCTACCTGGACAGTTGGACTCACGGAGGCAGAAAGTAGAATGGTGGCTGCCAGAGGGTGGGGGAGGGAAGAATGAGGGTTAGTGTTAAACTGCACAGCGAAGCAGTTTGGGAAGATGACAAAGTTGGAAAATGGACAGTAGTGATGATCGCACAGCATTTTGAATGTACTTAATGACACTAATCTGTATACTTAAAAATGGTTAAAATGGAAAATTTTTATGTTATCAATATTTTACCACAATAAAAAATAAAAAAAAATCTGCTCTAGGGCTTATTCTCAAACCACAAATTAAGTTAAAAATCAACATTAGCTAAAGTTTTCTCACCTCTGGTCACTTCCATGGTTAAAAGTTTTCACTGTTGTTTAACATCTCATAAAAGTAACCCCAGAAGTGATAAGCAGAGAAAAACAAAGCTTTGTTGAGCTGTGTATGCCTAGCTAGGCATTTCCGCATGCTAAGCGGCTCATTCACAAGTTTCCCCAGATTCTCAGTGCTTGAGATTCAAAAGAATGCCGAGCCAAAATTCCGGTCTTCCTTGACCTTTTTCAGTCAATAGGAAATAGATGAAAGAGAATGTAAAATCCTCAAACTCCAAGGGTCTTGGAGAGTAGCTTGATACATGTATCTATCTCGGATTTACTGCCTTAAATCAGAGCTAAATTATATTCAGTATACTCTAAGAAGGCTGGGACAAGGAAAAAGAAGATTGAAACACATGTTAGAAGGTCTTTTTAAATCTAAAAAGGGTAACAATTTTAGCACATTAAGGGCGGGTGGGGGTTAATTATCTGAAACCTACTAAAACGGACTACAGTTATCTCTAGGCAATGCTGTTGGAGTGTTTCCTGCAAATGCATTTCACTCATTTTTTTGTGATTATTTTATAAGTATACTGGGGCAAAAATTTTACATTCTAAATTGTTCTTATTTATTATTTTTATTATAGATATATGAGGATATTACTTACTCTATTACACATATAATTTATCTTTTAAATTTTCAAGTGAGTTCTACAATTAACTTTATCATCTAAATTCTCATTACAGATAGCATTTTAATGTCCAGAAAGAAAAAAAGGTTTTTTATTGTTATATGTGAAACCATAAAAATATTACCAGCTTGTGGCCGGGCGTGGTGGCTCACGCCTATAATCCCAGCACTTTGGGAGGCCGAATCACCTGAGGTCAGGAGTTCAAGACCAGCCTGGCCAACATGCGGAAACCCCGTCTCTACAAAAATGGAAAAATTAGCCCGGCATGATGGCAGGTGCCTGTAATCCCAGCTACTCGAGAGGCTGAGGCGGGAGAATTACTTGAACTCGGGAGGCAGAGGTTGCAGTGAGCCAATATTGCACCATCGCACTTCAGCCTGGCTGACAGAGCGAGACTGTCTCAAAAAAAAAAAAAAAAAAAAAGTTAAAAAAAAAAGTATTACCAGCTTGTTTATAAACATCTGGATGATCAAACTGTAAAAAGCCAAAATAGATGATCCCCTCATGTAGGATTCAACATTCTTTGTTGCTTGAGATGTCCACCCTGCTCAGAGGGCTCAAACTGAACAAGTTTAGCTGGCACTCATCTTTTGATTCATCCAAGAAACATATGTCCCAAATGTTAGTACGTGTTAACCTCTGTGTTAGATACCAGGGCTATAAGAGTGCATAAACCAGACATGGTTACCGCTCACGAAATTTTCTGTAGATTATTTTCAGATAATAAGAAAAGTTAAGCTTGCCTAACAGGGTAAAGCCTTTTTAACTTGGATTGAATTAATTCAGATATCCCAGCAACTCGTACACTGGTATACGAGATTCTTTTTGGTAACCTTGTAAATTACATTGAAAGTCATCAGAGTCAGTAATAAGTTCAAAACAAGGGTTCAATGTGCACATTGTTAAATTCTCAGTCCTCCCAGACTTGATGGGCCAGTACATGTGGCAATGTTGATTCCTCCCTCCTCCTTGACACCCTTTCCTCCCCAGGTTTCAGGACACCACACTCTCTCAGTTTTCCTCCCCTTCATTGGGCGCTCCTTCTCAGTCTTCTTTGCTGGTTCCTACTCATCTCCTGAACTCTCAATGTTGGTCATCTTTGGTCCATTTCTCTGCTCATTTACATTCTCACATGTGGTAGAACAAATGTATCCAGTGCCAAGTCTTTAAATCCACTTATATGCTGAAGACTCCCGAATTTATTCCCACATTCTACACCTCTCTCCCAAATGCCAACTTCATGTGTGCAACTGCTTACTCAGCATCTCTATTTCATGACAGCACACCCATTCCAGATCTAATGCAACCCTCCACGCCACCTAACTGATGCCTTCTGCATCTCAACTGATCATCCTTTCGGTTGTATGAGTCAAAAACAATGGAATCATTTTTGACTCCTTTCTTTCTTACACAACTCAAATCTGTCTGTGAGTTCTGCTGTCGCTACTGTAAAAATACGTCCAGAATCTGACCACCTCTCACCATTTCCAGTGCCCACGCCACGGTTTCACACACCATCATCGCTCACCTGGATTGATGCAGTAGCCTAGGTCCACAGCGGCCAGAAAGATCTTTTCAAATCTAAGTCGCAGTGCATCACCTCTGGACTCAACACCCTGCAGTGGATTCTCATGTCACCCCAAGTAAAACCGAAGTCCTCACAGTGGCCTCTGGCCTGAGGCCCTCCATGATCTCTGCTTTCTCCCCACATCTCTGACCTGTCACCTACTTCCCTTTCCCTTGCTCACTACACTTCAGCCAAAATGACCTCCTTGCTCTTCCTCACACATGCTGGGCTGACCCCTGCCTCTGTGCTTGTAAATCAAACTCCCCTGGCCGGAGATATATTTCTCCACAATACCCGCATGGTTAAATGTTTCAGCTCCTTCAGTTCTCTGCTTAAATTTCATGAGTTCTTCTCCTTCTCTGGCTACTGTATTTAAAATCGAAACCTTCCTCTGGCATTCTCAGTCCTTCTTGCCCTACTTTTTGCTTTGTGTCATGCCACTGATGATCCTCTAACAAACTGTCTAATGTACTTATGTTTTTTATTTCATTTTCCTTCCCCCAATTAGAAATGTAAGCTCCAACATCTGTCAATAGATATTTTTTGAACGAATAAATTAAAAGGGTGTCCAATGAATTATGGACGGTTAAAATGCATTCAGTTCTTGGATTTGTAAAAGGGCAAGTTTATGGGAGGCTATGGTGAATCACTACCCTTCCCCCTCCTTTGAATGACATACAGTTCTTTGTTTGGTATATCTTAATTTTCAGCAGGTATTAGTCCTGGAGTAAGTTGCATTTCATTAAAATATGCTACAATTAAGACCTTGATTAAGTCAAACTGGTCCCTGCCCTTTATCTTTTCCCATTCACTGACCTCTCTGAAGATGCCCTGGCTAATCACTAGTCATAGTTAAGTACATAAATCCCTGACTGCCTTTATTCCTAAAACAGGTCACATGGAGTTGCCCACTTAGTAGTAAACTTGATCACAAGTTAGCCCCTGGAATTTGGAGCAAGCTTATGACTTTCAGTGTGAGACTCATAATTGAAATCTTTTTCATGCTCGCAGTTGGCCTCAGGTGTCTCTCATTACAGCTCCAGCTCAGCTGTTCTGGAGTGGACTGTCTTTCCTACCAAAATACTTCCAACGTGCTATGTACATTACAAACACAATTCCAAATCACACCATTCCTCACATCCCTACAAATCTGGTGAAAACCCATACCTTGATTCAGCTCTTTGAGAGGACTCATGGGATCCAAAGGGATGAGGGACACAGTTCAGTCTGAATTTTAAGTCACCTTACTCCATGTACTCACCCTTACTCCATGTCACATACCCTTCAAATATGATGAAAATCCATTCACATAATGCAGTAAACACAGAGACAGAATTTAATTTTATCTGTACATAAGAAAATAGGTAATCATGACAAAGCCATTCTGGTTTCCCAAATTTCACTGAATTATAATCACATACAATTTTTGAAACAATATGAACTTATTTTTATAAGGATTATATCTTTTATAACATGATCATGAAGATAGACAACTACCTAGAAACTATTTTATTATTTGGATGTTTTGTTTCAAAAGAATTAGAGAAAAAGGTTTTTTTTTTTTATTGTTTAGTGTATATTTTGCTGATGAACTCCTCTGCACCACTCTGTTCCTCTGGGGTGGCAATGCTAGTGAATAAAAGGTCTAATTAATTTAAGTATGACAGGAATGCTTAATTGTATACTTCACATGAGGAGAAACTTCAGGATACCAGGAAGAAATACTGGCAAAGAAATAAAACCCAGCCATCCATAAACGCACTTACTCATTTGCATTTTAAAAATGTAATCCAATCAATAACATACCTAAAATGAACTACCATTAAGTATGCACTTCAGAGTGAAGTGCTAAGACGAGAAATGCAGCATATAATTTTGCTTGTGAGTATCTCTCAAATAAAAATGGATTTTATAACACTTCAGGCAATTAATATTTATAACTGAATTTAAAAGTCATGGCCAGATAAAAAGTCAAATTAGGAAAAATGCTACATAAATGATATAAAGTGTGATATTATCATTTTGAAAGGAAAATTCTCAAGCAATCATGTCTGGTTTCTTTACAGCTATCCTATTCTTCTTAAGAAATCAGAGCATCCTACCCAGCGCCTCCTCCTCCTACCCCCTGCCTTGATAATTTCGCCCTTTTCACTACTGCCATTTGATTGAAACAACAATCAAGACAATTATAATAAAATTCCCTTAAAGGAATTAGGAAAAAATTTTCAACAATTTTCTAATGGACTATTAAAAACCTCATTCAATTATTTTATGCTTTCATTATAAATTCTCTGTAGTATTTCTAAATGGTAATATGTAATAACAGAATTCCACATAATATTAAAACTGTCTTTCTAATCATCTTTAGAATATTGTTTTCCCAACAGACAGCATTAAGAATCTATGCCATATTCTAATCTGTCATTCTGCAAGACAGACAAGACAGAATTTCTACACTCATCATAAGCAGTGCTGGAATCTCAGGGGACCCATGAATACACCACTTCCTGGAGAAGAGAAGGCTGGGTGATATGATACAACTGTCAAAACGCAGTGGCATAAATCAGCAGTATAAATTATGAAATGTAAGTATAGCTCTATTTTTCTGAGAAGGAAAATCACAAATTCTCCATCAAGATAAAACATAAAAACAAATGAAACAAAAAAATCAATGAGGACCATTTCATGGAGAACCCCTCGCCCCCATATATACTCATCTATGGGATACATTTGTCTTTTTTCCCCGCTAGCACACTTCTCACCATGGTAACGAAAAAAGATCAAACACCTGAGCTCGCTGGACCATGCAGCCTGAGATGTGGGCGCAACCACCTCAGCCCTGCCAGCTGGACACTGCCCAGGCTGGAACACTGGACCCGCTGTTACCAGGCTGGGGGAGCAGTGGTGGTTCCAGTGTTCTGTGGTGACCGGCTGCCAGGCAGCAGCTCTTTCCAAAGGCTGTTCCTCAGGTGCAACGTCAGCTCCGCTTCACTCGCCTGCCCTTCGTTTCTGTCCATTTCTAAGCTAAGCTCTCCAGGCTCGCCGTGGATTCAGAGAGTTGCATTCATGCCCAGTTTCACCCACAAGGTCACAGGCCCTGGACAGAGTAAAAGTGGCCCGAGCATCGGGTAAGAAGTGAGGGAGCTAAAACAACCTCTTACTTCATAGCAGAGGCAAACACTGCTGCTTAAAATCTTACTCTGAGACTATGTCAACCACTAAATATATGTGGTAAGATCTGTAACGTGACTTAAAACTCATTTCTACTTACGTGCTCCCCAAAAGCTCTTTTTACCTGCCTCATTGTTTATCCTTTTCCATTGGCCAGGAAGCCAACTCACATGTCTAGGAGTGAGACGTTTTGCTTTCCATTTCTGCTTTCCTACCACTCTGCTGTGGAAATGGCATCCGGAAAGGTGGCAACTCCTTTCCTCATGCTCAAGCCAGCTAGAAAGCTTTGGTTTTGGGTTTTTTCCCAGAGGCTGTTTTTTTTCTTGGCTACTAGGAAAAGATCTCTATGAAGTTATCTTGTAAATCATTTCTGTGGCGGGAAATGCCTGGCAAGTAAATGCTTTTGAACGAACCCTACTCAAGCCCTCAAGAAGCTGCCTTCTTTCTAACCTCATGGAAACACACCTTCTCTAGAGACAATTAATTATCTTGAATAAAGAAACCATCCCGTCAGCTTCTGTTTAATTACTGGAAACATTCCTGCAAGTACCAATTTAATGGCATGGATGACATTCTCAGTAAGCAATTGCAAGCGAACTTTTCCATAATAAGCCTCAGTTTAAACTGAGGTTTGACCCCAGATCCTGTCCTCTCACTTATTTGCATTATACAATTGAATAAGACTAAGTAGAAACTATGAGATTAATTCATTCAACATTTATTGCGCATTTGTACATGCTAAGACTGTGCTAATTGCCTTAAATGTTTTTCTCTAATAGGGTTTAATAGCAAATAGTAATGCTGCATTGTCCAGTACATCAAAAGAAAAGGAAGTCTCTGACACACTAAATGGAACCAAAAAAGCATTAAGCAGAGTCCTTTCTCTTACTCCCCTTTCCGACTTGACCATTTATATTAAAGTAAAATGGGAGCACGGATCAAGAGTTTGGAACATATCATGTTTTATACATTTGAATTTTTGATTTGAAGAAATGTTGAGTTTTTATTACCCTATTCACATAAATTCAAATCTTTAAAATATTCAACAATATCAAGAAAAGTCACAGAATATATTTTGAATCATATTGCCAACAACTAATAATTTCTTTTTTTTATTTTTTATTTTTTTGAGACAGGGTCTCGCTCTGTCACCCCAGGCTGAAGTGCAGTGGTGTGATCTCGGCTCACTGCAGCCTCTGCCTCCCCGGTTCAGGCAATTTCTTCTGCCTTAGCCTCCCGAGCAGCTGTGACTACAGGCACGCACCACCACACCTGGCTAATATTTGTATTTTTTGGTAGAGACAGGGTTCCACTATGTTGGCCAGGCTGGTCTCAAACTCCTGACCTCAAGTGATCCTCCCACCTTGGCCTCCCAAAGTGCTGGGATTACAAGGGTGAGCCACCGTGCTGGCCAATAAGTAATCATTTCTAAGGTGACGTAGGCGTTAAATGTTTTGCATACATCAGTTTTCTATGGATGTGCCTTACATTCCACTTAAAACTATTTTAATATTTAAAACAGTTGGCAAAACCAACTAATGGCAAAAACTGCAATTACTTTTGCATCAACTTAATAGAACATCTGTATTCCCAAGATCTACTGCCTGTTCTTTTTTTGTGAAAAATGCTTTATTGTCCTACACAGTTTTTAAAGTAATAGTTTAAGTATCAGGAATATCAAGATATTAATAATATAAAGCAACAGTTTAAAATCAATAACAAGAAAACATTTCTTCTTCTGTGTAGCTCAAATTCATTTCATGGTGGAAAACAACTGACAGCCCCAGCAGTCTCTATCCTTGAGCCTGCAGTGGCCTTCAATGAATGGTAGGTCATAACTTCACAGAATCCAAGTAGGAGGCTTTGTGTATTTTGTTCTTAGGGATGTTTGTTTTCTTGTTTGTTTAAAAGAATGAAAACATGGCAGCGTATCTCTCAAACTGATCCCTAAGTATTATAATCACTGTGGAATATAACAGGCTGCAATCACTGCTGAAGGATGTTTAGTAATAAAGACAGCAAAACTGCGAGTAAAACCTCAAGATTCTAGTGGTCTAGCTTCCCACATACTCCAAAGCTCAGCAAACTTTTGCCCAAGGGCCAAGATTGGCCAAATATTTTTGTTGAATAAAAGCCACGCCCATTTGTTAAAGTATCTTCTATGGCCGCTCTCTAAGATAGCAGAGTTGAGTGGTTGGAACAGAGATCACACGGCTTGCAAAGCCAAAAATATGTACTATATAGCCCCAAACTACAAAGCCCTTTAAATCTCTAAAATTGTGTAAAGACTGTTGGCTTATTTTCAGAGCTCTGTCAACTCTCTGTAAACGATAATAAAGTTAAAAAGAGTTGCTGCATAACTTCAATGGGCTAAGATATTTGGAGAGGGGTTTGCTGGGAAAAGGAGACATCTGGACATCTGCATTACAGCAGCTAAGGTCATAGCTGACACCTCCGCTAGGTAACTCGGAGGAAGGACATTGAACTTGTGGCAACTCTGGAATTTAGTTTAACTCTTTCGTTTAAAAATACAGAAGGGGTTAGCCTGGATGACCTTTAAGCTTTTGAAAATTCATGATCGTTTAAAATGACGTAACTAAAACCGTAAGCAAATTCAGAACTACATGACTGCGCAACATCATCATAAACGTCCCATAGCACCTGCCTAAGGAGCAGGAAAGTAATATATTTAAGAAAAATGGGAACTGAACTGGTTACACAAGTGTATGTGGAAGTTTCTTGTACTATTGAAACTTTTCAGTAAATCTGAAATAAAGAAAACGGTATGAAATAGTTAAAACAATTTAAATGTTAGCACTTAAAAGGGGAAACTTCAGTGAACCTTCTTCAACAAGCGAAGTTAACACAGCAGCAGCCATAAGGGATCTGTAAAACATAAACCACGTCGTGTGCTCGCTGAATGGAGCATGCCTGAGGCTGCAGACCTCCCTCATTCCCTCTCATAGTGCATCCTAAAGTTCCCCGTACAAATGTTACCTTTGAGTTTATCTTACTTGACGGAAACCAACCTAATATCTAAAGAGAGCAAAGAGAGTTAAAACACAAAAGAAGCCAGGAGTGGAGAGAGGGACAGGAGGGACAGGGGAGAGGGAAAAGGAGTGGTAAGAGAAGGAAAGGATGGAGGGGGAGGAATACAAATAGAAGAGCCTCGTTAATCAACAAACGAGATAAACGTGGTCCAAATGATTAGAAGTATAACTGTCTTTTGTGATCTTTTCTTTGGCAGAATAGGAAGCTGACTTAACCAAAAATACTTGACTCTCACACAATATATGTACATCCCATATATTTTACATATACACATATTCCAAAAAGAGAGGTTATTTTTATAAAATACAAACACTAAGCAAAAATTATGCTAACTGAAAAAGTGCCTAGAGAGCCACATACATCCACGTTGTTAAATATAGAAACTAACTGTAATGAGAATCATTATCTCCAGTTTCCAAGGATACCAGGATAAGCACTACTCCTAAATTGCAGTTCATTCAGCAAAGGGCACAGAATAATTTATATTCAGGGTCATCCCTAGCTGAGAGCAGATGTGGAAGGAGGACCAGGGTAAATCACCTTGTTTCTTCTATTCCATTTGCTACCTGATCCAGTTCCCAGCCCTCGACCCCCACACTCTGGTCCCAACCTTGGCCAATGTTTTATGGAAGAAATTTGGAAAATCTGCTTGTAAATGGCAACTTCCAAGAGAAAAAGAATCTTCAAAGGGCAGGGCAGTCTGAGATGTGATTAATACTGGGGGTAGGGTGGGGGCTGGTATTTCCATTTGCTTTGTCTGTGAAAAGGAAAGGAGTCTGGGAGTCTGGTTTTGTGTGTCAGTCACACTAGTCGCCATCTTTCCCAGTGCCTATAAGGAAATTTCAACTTCCCACTCGACCAAGGCTATGCAAAGCTTGCCACTCATAAACTGCCATGGTCTCTAGAATCAAATTCAGCTTCAACTTGTTCTTCCTTCTTAGACTCTAGAATCTAGATCTTTCATAACAATTACTTTTTGTTTCTACAGCAATAAAAATATAAAAGCTACTTTCTGAAAACCTAGGAGATAGTGCCTCTGAATCATTTATTTGTTTATTCAAGACCACTTACTGTTGTTTTCAATGTGGCAGGCATTGCGCCAGGCCAGGCAGACAGGCATTACGCCAGGCAGACAGGCATTGCGCCAGGCAGGCAGGGACAAGAAGTGATAGATAAGGTATCAATAACAGGCCACGCCACTTAGGCAGTTTAAAAAGAGGCATTCTTCCTCTTAGTCAAATCGTCACTTACTAAAATACTGATGCGGATTTTATGGATACTCTAGATTTGTCTTAAACTTACAGAAAGTACATATAAACATACGATTCAGATATAATACCAATTTTCCATTTAGTTCCTTCCCCATCACCTGTCTACCCAATACAATAATAAGATCTGCCATATAGCACCTCAGCTAGGAGCAGACATCCTTCTAACGGGCAGAAGAGCTCTCTCTGCCTTCAAATGCTTCCTCTTAATGGACAGGAGACACTGTACCAAGATAAGCGTCTTAGCTTAATGTGATAATACAGGAGAATAGGCTATTTTGATAATGAAGGCCTTCTAGGATGTCCCTTCTTTGCAGGTTATATTAATCGATACTGGTCACTGTTTTTAAGAGGACGAAGGAATGAAACACAACAAAGGTTCCCAACAGTTACGTAACATATACAGTCTATCTCAATAAGGCAAGCTATTTTAAGATTAACAGTTAATACAAAATTTACTACACGTCCTTTCCTATATATTTTAGATGACTTGACGACTGCATACCTAAATGCATCCTCATGATAATGCCTGTACAGCCTCATCTTTTCCCAACAACAGACTCAAGGTTTTTTTTTTGGACTATTAAGCTTGTTTCTAAATCCCTTCAAGTAATAACAGCAAATTTTAAAACTATATGAAATAAAAGTCTCGGTTCTCTTACAACTTACATCAGTGATTATTTTGATGTATTATTATGACACTTTCTCACAAGGCGCAACATTTTGAGGTAAGATGGCTTCAGACAAGATTTTATGTCTGAATCTTGAGGCTTTGAAAATGCTGAGCTTGTGAAGGCTCAATATAATAGGCCACTATTTCATCTTTTCCCTCGTCCCACCCAAAGCTAGCACTTGGTAGGGCAAAAACAGACACTTTGTTAGGTGGAGCACCAAACACAGAAAGCATTCACAAGTCACTGGCAGAAAGGTCATTTTCTGTTTTAACATCTTTTTCTGATAACCCAGATCAGTTTTCATAAAACCCCTGAAGGTAGAAACCAGCTTACATTAAGCGACATCATTGTACTCCCTACTTGTGCATAATAATCAACTTTTTAAAAAATTTTAATCTTCAGCATTAAAAGTATCCTACCCACCAATTCAGGAACCTCGAACTCGGACTGGAGCCACTTCGCTCTCTGGATGTAAAAACCTCAGACGATCACCTCTTTTTTTCTCTCCCTACTGTTCAAACACCTAAATTATGGTTTAGTGTGTTGCACATGTCCTCAAAAATACTTTCTAGTAGCTCACCTCCTCCACATCCTTTTAAACTAGAAAAGTGTCCAACTGGCAATCCTCAAATCATAAAGGCAGCAAAAACGCCCCTGAGCGCTGTCACAAATTTTTAACAAGTGCATTGACGCCAACCAGCAAGGGATCCAGCTCCGCCGCCAAGGCCAGCACCCCCGCGCGGGTCTGGCGCAGCTCGGGGCCGGGCCCAGCTCAGCCCTTCAGCCCCCGGCGCGCCTCGCCGGCCTCGGCCTCCCCTCTCCACAGCGGTCCCGGGGACCTTCCGCCCCTCTAGGGGGTGTGGCCGAGGCGGCGGCGGTGAGCGGAAGGCGGCGGGAGGCTCGGCGGCGAGTGCGGGGCGGAGGCGCCACCTTAACCCGAGAGTTGGGAGGGGAGGGCGAGGGGCGTGCGCGTGGAAGAAGCTGCCCCGAGGCTGCTTTTAGCGGCGGAGCCGGCGGGACGCGGCAGGTTGGCAGCGCCCGGGGCGCATCCGGGGGGCGAGAGCGGAGGAGCGGCTGAGCGTCCCGGGACAGTCGGGGTGGGCTGCGCTGCGCTGGGGGCGCCGCGGCGGGGGGCGCACTCACCTATGCACAGCTGGATGGCGTAGGCGTAGTAGGACCAGCCGAGCAGGAGGGTGATGAACACCACCGGGATCCAGTACAGCACCCGCCGGCACCGCCGCCTGGCGCTGCTGCCCGGGCCCGAGGGCGCCATCTTCCAGCCGCATCCACCTGCCCAGCTCCGCCGCCGCCCGCGGGCCTGGCTCCGGGGCGGGCTGGGCGGGCCCGGCACCCCTGGCTGGACGGGCTCCTGGGCGGCGGCGGGGTGCGCTGCGGCCACTGCCGCCGCCGTGGCGCTAACTCCCCATCCCGCAGCCCCGAGCCGGCGCGGCGGACTCCCGGCTCCTCAGCCCGGCGGAGGCGGAGGCGGCGGCTGCGAGCGGAGGCCGAGGAGGCGGAGGGGGGCGGTGAGGCGGCGGCGTCGGGAGGCTGCGCTCCGCCCCCGCCGTTCCCCGCCGCCCGGCCGCCTCCCCTGGCGTGGCAGGCTGCGCCCTCGGGCGGGCTCTGCGGGGATGCGGGGCCCTCGCTCGGGCCACCTCGCGGGCTCCCACCGTGGCCCCGCCGCCTCCGGCTCGGCCTCTGGATTCCGGGGAGGCGGGGGCTGCTGGGCGCAGGCCCCCGGGGCGGAGCGGGCGGTGGCGGCCCCTCCCTAGGCGCCCGGCACCCGGGGCAGTTAGGTCGCGAGCGCTTCCGCGCTTGGCGCAGGGCGGGGGTCGGAGGCGAGGCCGGCGGAGCAGCTGCTGCGCTCGGGACTCCGCGCCTGCCGCGACCCAGGCGCCCTGAGAAAGTCTGCAGCACCGAGGCCCGCGTCCCCGCAGCCCGCGTGGAACCCTCGCGCTTCAACTTGCGGGTCCCTGGGAGCCCGCGGGGGCCGCAAGGAGCCTCCCTTTACTACTCGGGCTTTCGGGGGAAGCAGAAATGCACAGCGAAGAGGGGGTGCCGAGCCGGCGTCTGGCATGGGAGGGGCTGTGGAGAGCGAGGAAGAAGCATTTTTGGCTGTGAATCCAGGCACCTCTGGAGTTAGAAACACAAGTTCTTTGCTCTGAGAATGTTGATGCTTTGGATAAATGATTGTGACAGGGGCCGTTCCCACTGTCCCCTCCCTCAAGTACGGTGGTTCCTTCCACCAACTATTTATTCTTTTCCTCAACCCGCTCCTCACTACGGTGTTTACTTTCGTGGTGGCAATTCCAAACTTAGCAGATAGCTGACTCCAAAGCGGTTCCCAAAAAACACCGTAAGGGAACCTAAAGGTAGTCAGCCCAAACCTCTGATTTTATGATTCACGAAATGGAAAATAAACAAATGCCTCCTTTGCTTTTCCTTCATCTGATTATGAACGCACCTGATCCACAGGGAAACATTTCAATCAATGAGTGTGTGTAAATTATGTGCATCACTACTATACATAATAGGCACAATTTTTCTTAACATTAGTGAATATGTGTATTTACACCACACAGCAACCACAGTGAATGAAATTACTTCTTATTCATGTGTAGAAGTAAAAAAAAAATACTGATTTACATGAATTCAGTCAAAGAAATTTAGCTCTGGTGTCTGCGATTATCTTTCTGTGACTGGATTACACAACAAGCTAATCTCTCCCGAAATAGCTACTATGTTACAGCCCCCCACCCCACATCTCTTTCCATTTCTCTTCAAAAATGCATAGAAAATGTCAGTCAAGTTTCTGTGGGACTTTAAATAATTGAAAAGAGAGACATATTATGTCCCAGTGAATCACTTGATTTTGCTGTAGCCTTTTATATTCTCTGTGGATATTCTGTATATTAATGTAAAAATAAAACTTCTCTGGATTCCTTAATGTTTTCCATGAATATTAATCCTGTGTTCCCCCCCAATCAGAAGAGAGTAAAAAACAGGAATTAAAACTTCCTCCTGGGACTGAAATACCCTCACAAAGAGAAGCAAATCAGTGACTGAAGGTCAATAGAGACCATCAAGGTATGAAAAGGAAGGAATCGGATTTTCCATACTGGAAACGGTGGAGAAAGTGCAAATAGTGCCTCTGTAGATCCTGGATGCGACGATGCCCTGTGCTCTTCCTCCTCTCACAGTCCTACAGGGTCTTGAAATCGGAAATGGAATAGCATTCTGCCCAGTTTTCACATCATCTACCCTTTTGGAAAAGTATGCAGGTGTCATATCTTTGAAGGAGCTACATTTTTATTACTCATCTAAGATGTTGTTTAATTGTTCCTATTTATAATAAATATTTGTGAAATATTTTCAACTTTTTTTTGTTATTGCCATTTTAAGGATACTACTATTACTGGGTTTTTCAAGTTCTCTTATCTTAAATACAGAAAAAGTCTGGATTAGGAAGAAGCATCTCCACAGCCACAAGATAACAGGATTGATCTCTGCGTAGTCTCTAATTAGGCATAAGCAGCACGCACAAATGTAAGCTCTTTGGTGAGTAGCCAATCTCTAGATACTAGTCTTTGATGAGAGTGGAAGGAGAGCTTTTATTTTGAGGTATAGAGAGCCTTTGATTTATTTTCTTTTTCTTTAGGACTACATAAACAGAAAAAATAATTTGAAGGTCATAGACAAGAAGAAACTTCACTAGAGACTTACTGTTTAGAAATACAGAAGATTCAACTCACGAATTTTAATTTAAATGTTCAATAAGCATAAGAAATTGTAGGTTTCATGTATAACTGTGATTAAACTGATATGACCACTTATGAAAAAGAAAGCCAGCCACAGCAAAGGAGGAAGAAGGCGACGCTAAGGAAGAGAAGAGACGAGCGGACAGCCAGGCAAGGAGGGGGGTGAGGGGAGTGACTGAGAACGGGAGAAAAGCCCCCTTGCTGGGTTCATCCAGTCCCTAATGACCATGACTCCATCCTCGCTAGGCCTCTGCCTGTATGCTCCTTGCACTCAGCGGTCTAGCAACATCATTCACCTCTCAAATTTTCACAACTCTTATTTTCAGTTCCTGCCCCATGAAGGAATCTCTCTTTTTTTGGGGGGGGGGGGCGGACAGAATTTCGCACTGTTGCCTGGGCTGGAGTGCAATGCCGCCATCTCGGCTCACTGCAACCTCCGCCTCCCGGGTTCAAGCGATTCTCCTGCCTCAGCTTCCCGAGTAGCTGGGATTACAGGTGCCCGCCACCGTGCCCGGCCAATTTTTTGTATTTGTAGTAGAGACAGGGTTTCAGTATGTTGGCCGAACTGGTCTCAAACTCCTGACCTGGTGATCCGCCCGCCTCGGTCTCCGGAAGTGTTGGAATTACAGGTGTGAGCCACCGTGCCCAGCCCAGGAACCTTAAACGTTCCTCCTCTCCCTCCAGCCCAGTCCCCCAAATTCTTGAGTTCCCAAACCTCAAGTCTGCCGTACTTTCATGATTAATACTGCTAATCTTCCTTCTGCCTGCAGATCCAGATTACCATTTTAACATAGTCCCTTGCATAGTATGAATCAAACATAGCATGCTAGCCAAACCCAGGAAGGCGTGGACGCACCTGCTGCTAGAGAACACAGATCCCCCTTAATGTTGCCTATGCCAACCTCATCTCAAGCTTTTCAGCCAAAACACCTACCAGAAACTATTAGGACACTTGCTTGATATTTACTCCTTCCTTTTGGAAGGGTTCTTAGAGGGCAACATTGCAACAAGATATGAGGTCAGTCGTATTAGTCTCATGTATATGAGACGTTGATTGTCTTGAGTTTGCTAAGAGGGTATGATACTTCACAAATACAAGGAGTTCTAAATCTTACAAGGATTGGAAGCAATGAAGCTGAGGTCTGGATCTATATCTTATTTACTAATGGCTCTCCCATCCTTACTAGAGTGGTCTGCATGAATACTGATAGATTCTCTTTCATTATTTTCTCAAACTTAATCTTATCACTCTTTTGGGGGAGAAGAGCTCTTTAGAAGGCAGCAGTCCATGACATCAGTGACTCCAGTGTCAATGTGCATGTTTATAATAGCGGTCAAAACATTCTCTGTGGGAGAAGAATAGCATGCCTAAACCACTTTTTGTTTCTGGAGATACATAAAATAAAAGAAAAGGAATCGCGCTTAGGGAATGTAGGAATGAAGTAATGCTTAGATATGTTTTGGCTGTCAGAGATTTATGTTTGCAATTCAGCTGTAATTATATTGAATAAAATGGGAGATAATTTCAAAAGCCTAAGGATGTCTCTGTATACAGTTGATTGGGTCGAAACACTGGGACAATGTAAAGTGGAGCAAACTGTCCCTGGCAAACCTGCCTTTCAGGCACACTAGGGCTTTCACGGTAGCATTAATGTGTCCTGCCACTAGATGGCAGGCACACACCAAGCAGTGCAGCAGTCTTCACCTTTTCTCCATAGATTTCAATAGTTATCAACTGTTAGCTTAAGCAAGGCAATTATAAATATGAATTATAACTTCATGAACAATTATATATCATTGTAACTAATTATAATTATGTTATAATTGGCCAGGCGCGGTGGCTTACGCCTGTAATCCCAGCACTTTGGGAGGCCAAGGCGGGCAGATCACCTGAGGTCAGGAGTTTGAGAGCTGCCTGGCCAACATGGCGAAACCCCATCTCTACTAAAAATACAAAAAATTAGCTGGGCGTGGTGGCGGGTGCCTGTAATCTCAGCTACTTGGAAGGCTGAGGCAGGAGAACTGCTTGAACCTGGGAGGTGGAGGCTGCAGTGAGCCAAGATCACGCCAATGCACTCCAGCCTGGGCAACAAGAGCAAAACTCCTTCTCAAAACAAAAAGTTATGTTATAATTATACAGTTTTTATATTATAATTTAATGGCTAACGATTAATAAAAACGACAACCCTATTCAAAAAATTTAAAAGACTTAAAGCATTTTTCTATATAGTAAATCGTTCTGATTCTGCGTGCACTTCTTTAGAATTCGCACTAAGGTCAATCTCTTTGGAAATAAAATAGGAAATTTTCATTGAAATAATATTTTTGCTTACACTGTTTCCCTTCTTTGCCCCTAAATGGGGAGGGGCACTGTCTATGAACCCAAAAGGTGAGCAGACATGTCCTTCCAGTGGACTGACACAGCTATACTATGGATCTCTAAGGGGTGATACAATGTCCGAAGTTCAACTGGAGATTATTAGAAGTGGCCGTTGTGGAGTTGAGAGCTGAACAGCCAGCAGAGAGTGACCAAGGGCAGCAGAATTCTGCAGTGTAGTGGCAAGTGTCCAGGGATATTAAGAGCAGCAATGGCATCCTAGGTTGACTGTTCTTGGTGGCAAGATCTTGGCCATGCACCAGCTTCCTTTGTTCCAGCTCAAGCTTGATTCTCCAGGCTTCCTTTTGATTTTGGAGGAGTGCCTATATAACTGCATAACATTTTTTATGTAAGTCAACTAGAGTTGACTTGTGTTTACAACCAAGAACTCTGAATGGCACGTAGTTTTAATTTCATTCTGCATCTCATTGCTTAAAGAGTTAGTTTCAGCTCATGGAGACCAAGGCACCTTGAGAAATAGGGATACAGGAATTTGGGGGTGAAGAAGCTTACTTGGTGCCATTCAAATCACACTCTCTTGACCTGCATTGTTCAATAAGTACCCACTAGTAACATTTGTTGCCACTATTCAAATTTGTTAAAATTAACATGAAATGAAATTGGAAATTCTTAGTTGCAATAGTCACATTTCAAATGCTCAATAGCCACATGTGGCTAGTGGCTACTGCATTGGATGCTGCAGATCTAGAACATTCCATCATTGAAGAAAGTTCTGTTGGACAGAACTGTTTAGACATTTTGTCTTGTCTGAATATTCAAAAGGCTTTATTCTTGTAAATGTAAGAAACAAAAAAGTCCCCTATGTAATAATCCCTTCACTGTTTTATAGAAACAAAAATTAGAGGTAACAGGAAGTTGAAAACAATTTTACGTTTTGGTACTAGGAAATTTCTTCCTTTGAAGAGGAATCCAAAGAGTAAAGAACCACCTTTTCGCTGTGTCTACTGTGAGAATGAAAACCATTCTCTGCAACCAGACTGTCCATATTCCAGAAAATGTAGATATCACTTTGAAGGGATACCCAGTAATTGCGAAAGGCCCTAGAGGAACCCTGTGGATGGACTTCAATCACATCAATGTAGACCTCAGTCTCCTTGGAAAGAAAAAAAATGAGGCTCCGGCACTGACAAAAAATGGTGGGGAAACAGAAAGGAACTGGCTGCCGTTTGCACTATTTGTAGTCATGCACAGGACATGGTCAAGGATGTTGTGCTGGGCTTCCGCTGCAAGATGAGCTCTGTGTGTACTCACTTCTCCATCAATGTCGTTATCCGGAAGAATAGGTCTCTGGTTGAGTTCTGAAATTTCCTCGGTGAAAAATAAATCCACAGGGTTTGGCAGTGGCCAGGTGTTGCTTGTTCAGTATCTCAAGCCCAGAAAGATGAATTAACCCTTGTAGGAAATGACATTGATCTTGTTGCAAATTCAGCTGCTTTGATTCAGCCAGCCACGACAATTAAATAAAAACAAGGATATCAGAAAATGTGTGGATGGTATTTACGTCTCTGAAAAAGGAACAGTTAAGCAGGCTGCTGAATAAGACCTAAGAGTAGTCCAGGTACAGAAACAAGATGCCGGATGATTCCTAAGACCTATTTGTGATATTTAAATGATGCAATAAAAGACCTATTGATTTGGGGGAGAAAAGAAGAGTAAGGTGCCAGTTGGATCATAGAACAGTATACATCGATTTCTTCAACCTAAGGCTTACATGTGTAAATGTAAAAAACAAAAAAGTCCCCTATGTAATAATCCCTTCACTGTTTTATAGAAACAAAAATGAGAAGTAACAGGAAGCTGAAAACAATTTTACGTTTTTGGTACTAGGAGATTTCTTCCTTTGAAGATGAATCTAAAGAGTAAAAAACCATCTTTTCGCTGTGTCTACTGTGAGAATGAAGACCATTGTCTGCAACCAGACTGTCCATGTTCCAGAAAATGTAGATATCTACATGATTACTTTAAAGGGTATGCACGGAGAAACTTAGATTGCTATGTCCGAATTCCTTTACATAAAGCTAAATATTAGATTTAGATTTTAAACCAACAGTGCTTGAAGATATAGCTTTATTCCTGGATAACTCCAGCCTTGAAACACAGAATGGTGTCTTTATCCCGTGGTCGTTAAGACCTTTTCTGTTCTGTTGGAAGAGCAGGTAATCACTGGGGGCACCTGAGGAATAACTGCTTATATTCAATTCTGTCTCTGTCAAATTGTAGGCTAGATTAATCATGTTGGGTTTTCTGTACAGCAGATATGAGTGGAGGTAAAGTCAACGTGTCTTGCCCCGTGGTCTGTGGAAACCCACATTGGCTCTGGTTCAAGACATGCTCCCCTGGAGGAAAAAAAAGAAAGAAAGACAGAAAGAAAGAAAAGAAAATACATCAAATAAGTTTTAATATTTAATTTTAATAAGTACGGACAAGTATTGTCAAAGACTTTACATGTAAGTTGGACATCAAGTTTACACCGCAATTTATAACTGTACAAGGAAAAAAGTCTAACCAGAGTTTTCTCTGGCCTTCAAAAAGAGCAGGCAAAATAAAGAATAAATATTTAATGATGACATTTAACAAAAAAGGCATGTTGGCTTCGGATTTGTAGGAGAAAAATTTTTATCATCAGGGATTCTTCCGTCAACTAGAATTTATCCAGTGTAATTACGTCCTATAGCTCAAAGACTTTGAATTATTATTTTCAAGTGATACTCAGGCACTGTGTATTCTGAATTTCTTGGGATTATTTCCATGGTTGATAAAACCTTTCTCTATTTGCTCAAATTTCAATCTTTTTGGTAATGGGTCATGTTATATGAAATGCTAGGTTGGTAGTGGAATATCGATAGCCTTTATATCTGGAGTACGAGACAGGATGTGTTTTTGTTTTTCAGACATTCAGTATAGATGTTGAGGGTTCTGAATCCAAATGATTAGAGATTTTGGATTTTATGTTTTAAGCCAAATAAGAGGTTTGGGTAATACATTTTTATTCTTTTAAGCTTTCTCTTGAATTCAATAAAATGTTAAAGATGACATTTTTTAACTTTCAGGAATCACAAAAGATTTGACAACGTGGCATAATCACTTTGTGAATTGTTGAAAGAATATGTTGATTTAATTATGATGTAGAAATTACACAGTTCTAAAATATTTTTTTATGAGGAGAAAAGGTAAATTGGACTATATATATGATGTGATACATATATATGTGTGTGTGTGTTTCCAGTAATAACAATAGTGACCTATTCCTAATTATAGACATTTATAATTACTCTTTAATGAGCAGCATTTTGGAATATGAATACACAAACCTGAATGCAAATTCCAAGGACTGAAACTAAAGTTAAAACATCAGTATTCCACTGTTTGGTGAAATATAGTAAGCACTGCAATGAATTATATACTGCAACCAACACTGGAATAAAATACCTAGCTCAGCTACAGTTATTAATTCATTTTCTTTATAAAGAGGTCAGTTATAACTGTTTTCATTATAAAATAGCTAAAGTATCTGATGTGTTTGCAAAATTTAAGAATCATAACCCTATTGAGGCTGCTTAAATATGACTAGAAATTTTTCAAAATTTTGTAGTGTATTATTTAACAAATATTTACTAATTACCTGCCATGTGCCCAGATATTGGTGATATTCAAATTTAAAAATTTAGGCCAGGTATGGTGGCTCACACTTGTAATCCCAGCACTTTGGGAGGCCGAGGCAGGTGGATCACGAGGTCAGGAGTTAGAGACCAACCTAACCAGCACAGTGAAATCCTGTCTCTACTAAAAATACAAAAAGTTAGCTGGGCCTGGTGGCGGACGCCTGTAATTCCAGCTACTTGGGAGACTGAGGCAAGAGACTCACTTGAACCCAGGAGGTGGAGGTTGCAGTGAGCCAAGATCGCGCCATTGCACTCCAGCCTGGGCGACAAGAGTGAAACTCTGTCTCTCTCTCTCACACACACACACACACACACACGCACAAACACACACACACAATAAATAAATAAATAAAAATTTAGTCTTTAGCTTCAAGGAGCTTCTGGGCTAGTGAGGAGATCAATGTGCAAACATTTTCTATAATAAGATAAATAACAAGTACATTGGCAGCAAAGGAGAAGTGACTCAATGTGCCTGGAATAGTCAGGAAAGCCTTGAGAGAAAAGTAGAATTTGTGCTAAAGCTTAAAAAACATGTAGGAGTTTGCATCATGGAGAAAGGAAGGGATGATTCCCTTGTGCAGGGAATGCCTTCTCTTCTGGAGAGGCCAATTTTGAGAACTAGAAGAAAATATCACACGAGGGATTTCAATGGGAGGAATTTAAAACAGGAAATGAAATTCAAAGATGTTGGAACAGTAGAATGAACAATTAGGATGAGGGGAAACAAACACAAAGATTACCAATTGTAGAAAGTCACTACCACCTCTAGGGCTGGAAGGACAAAGGGAAGGTGGTCTTACTGCAGCCCAAGATGAATGATGGGTCACCTGGTAGTTGTTGGGGACCGTGGAGGGGATTTAGCCACTACTAGAGACATAGCCTGAGACAGACACACAGAGAGAGAGAGAGAGAGAGAGAGACAGAGAGAAGAAACAAGAGAGAAAGAGGAGAGAGAGAGAGAGAACGCAAATTTACTTGAAAGCCAGATGGTATGAGAGCATGGGAAATGTAGTTTGCAGGGGTCAGTGCCCTGTATATAAAGTAAAGCAAAAGAAAAACAATCTAAGACCAAACAGGCAACCGACTAGAACAAGCAAGCTTAGAAACCCCCGCCTGGAACACCAGCACTTTGGCTTTGGGAGGCCGAGGCAGGCAGATCACTTGAGGTCAGGAATTCGAGACCAGCCTGGCCAACATGGTGAAACCCCGTCTCCACTAAAAATACAAAAATTAGCCAGGCGTGGTGGCGGGCACTGTTAGTCCCAGCTACTCAGGAGGCTGAGGGATGAGAATTGCTTAAACCTGGGAGGTGGAGGTTGCAGTGAGCCACTCCAATATGAGCACTCCACTCTGAGACAGAGGGAGACTCTGTCTCGATAAGAAAAAAAAAAAAAAAAAGAATAGAAAAAAATGAAATCTTGGACTGGGACAATGGCAAGAGGAATGGAGAGGAAGAAACAGATTCTAGGAAAGGCCCAGAGACCAGTTAGCTAACAGATGTGAAAGACAGGAAGAAGCAGGTGTTCTAGATTTTGGAAAGGAAAAATCTGCAGAAAGGAAATCCAGAGGAAAGGCTTTCAAGGTAAATGGGCCCATCACACTCCATGGGGCTCACCGTCAACTAAGGAGGAAAAAAGTCTTTGGCCACCACATCTACTATTAACTACAACCTTCACGAGACTGTGACCTCCAACTGAGACGCAGAAAAGAGACACAGAGTTGGGAAGTAGGAATGGTTATTTCTGCTTCAGCGGAGGCTACATATGCCCATCCCATTTGGGTGTTAACTGAGGTAACATCTCAAGTTTTCTTTGGGGATTTTATCCTTCCATCATTCCTTCAAGCGTTTAACAATAACTCTTTCGTTTGGCTCCGGTTTGCTTAGCTCTGCAGCTACTCAGAGAATGTTAGGGCTGCACCTTTGAAAAATTATTTCATTGTGTGCACCCTTTCTCATGCTACAGATGAGAAAACAGGAGCACGAAGAAATTAGACGCGTTGCCCAAGGTGACACTGCTATGTGGACAAGCCAGGAACCCGGGTCTCCTGACGCCCAGCCTGCTGTTCCTCTCACATCACCGCGAGCACAAGAGGATCAGCTTGTTTTCTCTTAGACTCCAAGCGTGGCAAGCTTAATCAAAGAAGCTAAGCCCGGGAATTTAAAATTCACAGGGGGAACCAAGTAAAATGTCATGGTTAGGTTTTCTTAAAAGAATATTAAGTATACCCAGGATAGTTGATATTCTTGGGTAAAAGATCTAACCTAGAAAAAGCAGAAGAATCACTGAGGGGCTACAATGCTATGGCATTGGGGGCATGACAGTTATTCAGTGTGTGGGGCTGTCCTAGCACTGCAGGCCATTCAGCACGTCTGGTTCCTTTGCACAACTAAATACAGGGCCACCCCCTTTCCTAGGCAGTATGACAAACAAAACCATCCTCCTACTGGGTGGGGATTGGGGGTGGGAAAGGGTTTGGAAAGAGTACCGGCTTCGAGACAACCGCTGATAGACTAAAAAAATGGTACAGAAGTTCCATCTTAAATAGGCATTGGTGGGTGGGGTTATTTTTACCATCATGTTCCCTCACACAGAAAAAGAATACTTTCATGTCAACTATATAATGAAACAGTCTCATTCGGAAGAACATTAAATTTGTTTCCAGAGACAGTGAAGAGAAGATAAAGTTTTATCATGTTTGCACTGCAGAGGGATAGTCATATTTCAGGCTAGATATTTGGAAGTATAACTGAAATACCAGTGTAAGAGTCTGATTTTCCTCGGAGGGTTGCAACGGAAACATCTGTGTTTGAATTATACTTCTGTCACCTGCTAGCTGCTTGATCTTAAGCAAGTTACTTAAATTTTCCAACGTTTCCTGAGACATTTCTTATTTCCTAAAGAAGAACACAGGGAAAGTAACATGTGACGGTCCTTTAACAGGTCCATCCATTCATCCATTCAACACATTTGGATGACTTCCTGTGTTCTAGGTATTGCGCTAGGCGATGGTTACATGACGTGCAAAAAAATAAGCCCAACCAAACCAAAAACAAGGAGCTTGCCTTCGTGAAGTTCATAGTACAGATAAAGAAAATGTCTGCTCCTACAGCTCTTATTTGAATGGGGATAATTTTATCAGGAGGTCCACTGGTGTGAGTGTCATTGAAAATGTCCTGCTGGTTTGTACACTGTCTCTGCTTAAATAACACTTGCTATGAAATGTGTATTAAGTTGGTGCAAAAGTAATTGCGGTTTTTGCCATTACTTTTAAAGTGGTGGCGCATGCCTGTAATCCCGGTACTTTTATTTTTTATTTTTGTTTTATTATTATTTTTTTTTCTGAGATGGAGTCTTGCTCTGTCGCCCAGGCTAGAGTGCAGTGGCGAGATCTCGGCTCACTGCAACCTCCACTTCCTGGGTTCAAGCGATTCTCCTGCCTCAGCCTCCCGAGTAGCTGGGATTACAGGCACATGCCACCACGACTGGATAATTTTTGTATTTTTCATAGAGACAGGGTTTCACCATCTTGGCCAGGCTGGTCTGGAACTGTTGACCTCATGATCCACCCGCCTTGGCCTCCCAAAGTGCGGGGATTACAGGCGTGAGCCACCACGCCCGGCCCATCCCAGTACTTTTAATGGCAAAAACCGTGATTACTTTTGCACCAACCTAATATATCCAGATACAAGAGTCAGTTTGAAATGCCATGACCTAAACTGCAGGCAGTCTGTGTCTAAAAGCTCAATTATCCATAATTAGTGGGTTACCTGGACATGTTTCTGTGAATGCTTTGATGCCAAAATATATATTCCTCAAATATTGCTGATGTAAATTTTTAGTATAAAGATACAGATTGTAAGTAAGAGTTTTGGAATCTTCTCATCAAAGCAGCACATGCTGCAGCTCCGTAACACAGTCCCTTTATTGGATATTTGCATTTGCGCCTCTAGACGCCTTCTCCACCCTTCTTTGTGTTATGGAAGGCTCACCCTTTAAGATCTAGGGCTCCTTTGTGTCTGGATTTTGGTTGGTTCAACCAGTGGGAGGTAGGCAGTGGCTCAAAGGCCAGACAAGAATATGAGGATGTTCGTTCCACCTCCCTCAGCCTGACACTGAAGATCACAGCTTCTGTGGGATACAGTACCTGTCTCTCCTTGTCCCTCAGGCCTGGGATGGGGGTGAGCACCCAACTCCCAAGGGTGCTCAACCACACTCTGTCGGTTTCCTTTAATTAAATTCTTCTCAGTTACCAAGTTTGAGTGCATCATCTCTTCCCTTACTAATATAACACCCCCGCAGCCTGTCTGTCAATCTCAGTACAGTCTATTTTTGCTGAATAGAAAAAAAATAACATAAAAAATAACATAAGGAAAAAAAACATAAAAGTTGGCCAGGCGTGGTGGCTCACGACTGTAATCCTACCACTTTGGGAGGCTGAGGCAGGCAGATCACTTGAGGTCAGCAGTTCCAGACCAGCCTGGCCAACAAGGTGAAACCCAGTCTCTACTAAAAATATAAAAATTAGCCGGGTGTGGTGGGAGGCACCTGTAGTCCCAGCTACTCAGGAGGCTGAGGCAGGAGAATCACTTGAACCCAGGAGGCGGAGGCTGCAGTGAGCCGAGATCACACTACTGTACTCCAGCCTGGAGTCAGAGCGAGACTCTGTCTCAAAAAAAAAAAAAAAAAAAAAAAGCCTACTGAATTCCTTATTTAGAAAGTCAATATTATCTTTAATTATCTCTTTTAAAATAAAAAATAACAAAATTATATATAGCAGAACAATACATCACAGTTATAGAGCAGAAACTCTGAAAACAGAGAAAGATAAAAACTTCCCATGATTTTACCAATTAGCACAACCATTGTTATTTTAGCTTGTTTCCATCTGGTCTTTTTGTGTGTTTTCTTTTTAGAGTTGAAATGATAGCCTACATACAATTTTGTGTTCTCATAAATATTTCATTACAAACATTTTTTTCATGCTGCTATACAGGCTTCAGAATTATTTTATTAAATTAAAAAAAAAGTTTTTTGAGACAGGATCTTGCTCTGTTATTCAGGCTGCAGTGCAGTGGCATGATCATAGCTCACTGCAGCCTCCAACTCCTGGGCTCAAGTGATCCTCCTGCCTCAGCCTCCCAAAGTGCTGGGATTACTACCATGCCCAGTCTAGAATAATTTTAAATATTTGCACAGTATTCTATTCTGTAGAAGTACTATAATTCATTAAACCATTCCTTTATTGTTAATTATGTAGGTGTTTTCTAATTTTTCACTGGCATAACATACCATAAATAACTTGGCTCATCTAACATTCCCCTTCTATTTAGTTGTTTTCTTTGGACAGGGCCCCAGAAGTAAAATTAAATCAAAGAGTCAGTTTGAAAAACTATGTAGCTGTGATGATTTTAAATATGTGCACAAATTCTTTGATACTTCGCCTTTCAAGAAGTGAAGGCTCATCCCCTACCCTTGAGTGCTGAGTGGACTTAGTGTCTTAGTCCATTCTGGCTGCTATAATAAAGTATCATAAACTAGGTAGCTTCTAAACAACAGAAATTTCTTTCTCACAGTTCTGGAGGCTGGGAAGTCTAGGATGAAGCCACTGGCAGATTTGATGTCTGGTGAAGGCCAGCTTTCTGGTTCCCTCAAAGATGATTTTTCTCTGTACTCTTACATAGTAGAAGTGGCCAACGCGCTTGCTGGGGCCTCTTTTATAAGGGTGCTAATTTCTTTCATGAGGGCTTCATCCTCAGGACCTAATCACTTCCCAAGGCTCTGATATGGTTCAGCTGTGTCCCCACCCAAATCTCATCTTGAATTATAGCTCCCATAATTCCCACGTGTTGTGGGAGGGGCCCAGTGGGAGATAATTGAATCATGGGGACGGTTTCCCCATACTGTTCTTGTGGTCATGAATAAGTCCCACGAGATCTGATGACTTTATAAGGGGAAACCCCTTTCACTTGGCTCTCACTCTCTCTTTGCCTGCTATCATGTAAGATGTGCCTTTTGCCTTCTGCTATGATTGTGAGGCCTCTCCAGCCACGTGGAACTGTGAGTCCATTAAATCTCTTTTTCTCTATAAATTATCCATCTTATGTATGTCTTTATCAGCAGCGTGAAAATGGACTAACACAGGCTCCACCCCTAAACGCTGCCATCACCTAGGGGTTAGGGTTCCCACATATGAATTTTGGCAGAACACAAACATTCAGACCATAGCACTTAGTGACTCACTTCTAATGAATAAAATAAAGCAGAATTAATAGTGGGAAATTTCAAAGACTGGTTCAAAAAAAGACACCACGGCTTCCTCCTCAGCCTCACATCACTTGAGCCGTGAGAAGTTAGCTGCCCTGTTGTCATGAGCAGCCCCATCGAGAGGGCCATGTAGCAGAGGATGGGGGTCGCCATGTGAGTGAGTGTTCTGGAAGTCAGTCCTCCAGCTGCAGTCATTCCTTCTGATGCCTGTAGTGCGAGCCAACAGCTTGACTGCACCCTCAGGAGAGACCTTGAGTTAGACTCACCCAGCAAAGCTGCTCCTGACTGACTCAGAAACTGTGGGAAATAATGTTTGTTTTCTTAGGCAGCTGCAATTTGGGGTAATTTGCAATGCCGCAATAGATAAATAATACAGCAACAACGGAACTATTGTTTTGGAACATTTGTTTAACTCGGTTCGAACATGAGGCACTTAATGAGCATCCCAACTCCAGTTAAACGCAACAAATTACTGCCATTTAAGGTACATGTAAAGAGCCAGTGAGGGACATAGGGAGGACGAAGAGGGAGAGAAAAGGGAGAAGAGAATAAGAGAGGAAGAAAGGAAAAAATAAGTTAGCAAGAGAGGGACATGGGAAAGATGACTACATGTCCTAGTTTAGCTTGGATAGTCCCAGTTTGGAGCACTGTCTTGATGTAATTCTGAATAGAGTCCCTTTTCACTTTCAAAAGTGTCCCGGTTTGGATGATAAATTATATGACCCTAGATATAGGCCAATAATACGCCTTCCCCCAATCCAGTTCTTCGCTTTAATATTCCGTCTTTTCCCGATACCTCGTGCCCATTCTGCTCCAGCTCCACAGCACTGCTCAAGAGTCCTAAATTTCCCACCAAACCATAGTCTCACTGGCACCTCTTCCATGGCTTAGAAGTCACCTCTGTTTACTTCCCAGTACTCTTGCATCACAGTAAGGAATTCATCATGGTGGTTAAGAGCTTGGCTCAGGAATTAGACAACCTGGGTCTGAGTCTTGGTTTTATCCTTATTGCTATATAACCCTAGGGAAATTACTTAACTTCTTTATGCCTCAGATATGAGCTGGGGCATATATTATCTACTCTCTCATAGGAATGTTGAGGATATTAATAACAGTATGTGCATAAAATGCTCAGCATAGTATCTGGCATTATATATGTATATATATGCTAAGCATTTTATATGCATAATATATGTGATGACTGTATGTTAGCTACTATCAGCATTTAGTACCCGAGAAAAAAATCCATCTCATGGAGATGCTTTTTTTATTGTTGTTTTTGAGACAGAGTCCTGTTCTGTCGCCCAGGCTGGAGTGCAGTGGCGTGATCTCGGCCCACTGCAACCTACACTTCGTGGGTTCAAGCGATTCTCCTGCCTCAGCCTCCTGAGTAGCTGGGACTACAGGCGCGTGCCACCACACCCGGCTAATTTTTTGTATTTTTAATGGAGACAGGGTTTCACCGTGTTAGCCAGGATGGTCTTGATCTCCTGACCTTGTGATCCACCCGCCTTGGCCTCCCAAAGTGCTGGGATTACAGGCGTGAGCCACTGAACCCGGCTGGAGTTGCTTTTTAGTTGCTGGGACATGCATCTTACTAGAAAACTCTCAAGTATGTCATTGTATTTTTGTTTTAATGTTAGGAGGTAGAAAAAGTTAGGAAATGTGTCAAGCAGTAAAGGAAAAGTCAAGCAGACTATATCTACCTTTCAGGCTTGATATGCCTTACTTTGCTTATTCATTCATTCATTCACTTATTTTTCAACAAATATATATTTGTTATCTATCAAATACCAGGCACTATGCTAAGCACAGGATTAAACAGCACTTTTCAAAAAATAAATACCTAGAGCTTTATTCCCATTTCTTAAAGGAAAATCTTACATTAAAAAAAGCTATTGTGTGGCACTACTAAATAAGTAGGGGTTTGAAGCCAAATTTAGAAATTATATATAGACACATATATGTTTTTCTGATGATCAAATCTTTCAAATTGGCTTTGAACAAACAGGAGCAATTTTCTGCTATAAAAAGGAATGTATTTTAGCTTTTGACCTAATGATTTAAAAAAAAAACTAAGAGTGGGAAAATGCAAATTACGTGAATATATAATTTGGCATCGGTGACATATCAGCAGAAGGAGCTGCTGACAGGAAGACAGTTTTTTTTTTCTTTTTAGCCGTAGGCATTCCTCATTTCTGTTTTTAGGAACAAGGAAAACTAGTAGACAGAAATATCCCTGGGTACATGGACTACATATTTCACATGCACAGCATAAAATATTTAATAAAACGAAGGAGGTGCCTGAAAAATCAAGACTTCAATAGATGAAGGTGGTCACAACAATTAAAATACATCCTTTCTTCCCCCTCATGGCACAGGATAATGAGGTATGGAAAAAACATGTAGGGTTGCTTTAAACTATTTGGCAATATTTGCCAGATGAAATTTTGAAAAAACATTTTCTTTTCAGCGTTTTCATTCCACTTGAATAATGAGTACCACATTATAGGTTTCGATAGCCCATGAATTTTTATCTTTATTTTAATCGTTAAGGTCAAGTTAGCATTGATTACTAATAAGTGATTCTAAATGAATAGTATTATTTTAGGAATAATAGGAACTAACGTTTATTAAATGTTTACTGTGTGCTCAGTTCAGTGCTTTAAAGGCGATTTCCCATTTAATTCTCACCACCACCCAAGGACACAGCTGCTATCATGATCTCATCTCACACATGAAAAAGCTGAGAGGTGGAAAGTGTTACGACCTTGTTTAATTACAAAGGAAGTTAGCAAAAGAGCCAAGATTGGAACTCAGAGAAGTCTGACTCCAGAGCCCATGCTTACCCGCCATGCTATTCTGAATGGAAGGGCTCATGTAGTTCACCTGTTTATTCATATTTTCTAATTTGTTCTTTTTGAAATAGTGATTCCTGTTCAGATTCCACTTTTAATCCTTGCCCATTTTCTCAATTCTATGAAAGGCTCATTTAACTTAATAGTTATGCAAGTCCACACCTGTCTGAATGATACACTGGCTCATTCATTTAGTTGAAAGGTAGACACCAAATTGATTTTTAAAAAGACATACGAACCTAATTGAAAAAAAATTCATGAATCACCTTAATGAGGAATTGGTACCAGGAAATGCAGTACAGAGAACCTCAGACAATTTGCTTTTGGAAAAGCGCTAATCAACCACATATTCATCTGGAATGAAAATGCCTCTCTAGCAAGACATTGTGTGATAATGAAGTACAGGAGGTGAGAGCCGTCTCAGTGACTTTTAATTATTTCTCATTCTTCTGTGTCTGAAGACGATGGTGCGTATATTACCGAAAAGTGAGGTGACCAGTATTCTTTCCAGCATTGGGTAAATTAAAGACAAAGTGGACATCATTTGCAAATTCTTGCATTTTTTTCTTTGCAGCTGTTGTTCATCATTTCCTTCCCTAATTTGTTCCAAGATTAGCTGACTTGTCACAGTCATTTCCTCGTGGTCCACCACCCTGCCATGACGGTTGAAGGTATGTTCTGTGTTCTTTAAACCTCTATTTCTTTTTTTCCGAAACAGCTTCTGCCTCATTCAAAATAAAAACATTATAACATCTTGCTATTATCTATTTTACATACATTTACATTCTGCTGGAGTTACACCCTTTTTAATGCAAACCTCTTTGGAATTTGGTTGTTGAGTCCCTCATTCTTATTGATGAAACTCAAGAAATCAGATCAGACATCATAACTCTTTAAACATCAAATTCTCTTAAGAGTTTATCACTATGTGGGTGACATCTTTGGTATCATGAGCATTTTTACCATCTTAATATTCCTTCCTCCATTATAATTCTGAGAAAATCAAAATCCACTTCCATGTAATAGAAAATATTACTCTTGGCTGGGCATGGTGGTTCATGCCTGTAATCCCAGCACTTTGGAAGGCTGAGGCAGGCGGATCACAAAGTCAAGAGATCAAGACCATCCCGGCCAATATGGTGAAACCCTGTCTCTACGAAAAATACAAAATTTAGCTGGGCGTGGTGGTGCGCACCTGTAGTCCCAGCTACTCAGGAGGCTGAGGCAGGAGAACTGCTTGAATCTGGGAATCGGAGGTTGCAGTGAGCCGAGATTGTGCCACTGCATTCCAGCCTGGCGACAGAGTGAGACTCTGTCTCAAAAAAAAAAAAAAAAAAAAAAAAAAAAAAGGAAAAGAAAATATTACTCTTTCCCTTGTCTGTTTCTTACCATCCTGTATTTATCCAAACTTAGACATACTTACACACTTGGATACTGGCCCAAATTTCCATATCCCAAGAAAAGATGGGCTACATAGTTTTTGAAGCCCAGTGTGAAATGAAAATACAGGGCCCCCTTTTTTTTTTTTTTTTTAAAAAAAAGCAGGAAATAGTGTGGTTTAAGGTATTAAATATAAAACTTTTTTCTTCCTTCCGTGGTCTGTCTCTCTCAACTTGTCGTAGTGTTTTTATGTGCTATTTAATATCATTCTAAGTAAATAAAATTTAAAAAAATTATTAATATGATGTTCTCACAGCCACTGGGAGAAAAAAAATTAGTATGATGTTTACTGCTTATATTGGGCAATGCCAGTTTTAAATGCAAATAGAACATTTAACTCCTATGTAGAATCACTGAAATTACATAATTCATACCTCATGGCACTGATAAGCCAAACTTAGATAGGGGTACATAGGCAACCCCAAGGATATTGCAACCTTTGGGCTAGAAGCCTTTACGTACTTGGATTGAAGATAAGTGAAAGAAAGGTTTGGACGGGAGTGGTGGCTCACGCCTGTAATCCCAGCACTTTGGGAGGCCGATCATGAGGTCAAGAGATGAAGACCATCCTGGCCAACATGGTGAAACCCCGTTTCTACTAAAAATACAAAAATTAGCTGGGCGTGGTGGCGTGCACCTGTAGTTCCAGCTACTTGGGAGGCTGAGGCAGGAGAATCACTTGAACCCAGGAGGTGGAGGTTGCAGTGAGCTGAGATCACGCCATTGCACTCCAGCCTGGCAACAGAGAGAGACTCCGTCTCAAAAAAAAAAAAAAAAGGTTTATCTCCCCTGAGTTGTGGTCCCCAGTTGGCTACAGCCTCTGCACCACGGCACTGCCAGCCTAGGGTAGAATGGCTTCCACCATGCTCTGCCTGAAGACTTTCTGGGTCACGTATGCCCTGCCCAACTCCTATCTATACCTGCACCCAGGCCGCTGTTGGGGGATGAAGACTGGCAGCAGTAGCTGGACAGGGTGGGGAGGGTGAGGCCCTTGGCAAGACAGAGGGTAGCCAAGAATCCTAGGAAGGTGGGGATGGAATGGGAAGCAGAGCCATGAGTGAGCAGAGGCTCTAATCCCCTCCACAAGCTCCATTTTCCCAGTGACTTAAAAATTGTTAAGAATTTCAAAAGGGTGACAGCGGAGGATTAAAACCCATATGTGGAGCCCTTCTGACATGGGTCTTTGTGCAACTGCGGTGGTCACAAGGCCATGAACCCAACCCAACTGTGCAAGGGACTTCGTATTTAACCCAAGGAGATAGGTATAAGCAAACAACATCGCTTTACAATAAAATAATGAAAAATAACTTTTTTATTGTTGCTGTCCGTGATTCATACATAGAAATCTAAAAATACCTACTTTATTTCCTTTAAAAATATATGAGAAATGTCCCTCTCATGAATATAAGAAAACTCTTAGGGAAATATAATTTTCCCTGCTGTAACCATATTCCAGCCTACTGGTTAATAACCATGATGATGATACTAGCTGAACATACCCTAGGAGTTGTGTTGGAGATTGTGCTAGGTATTTTCCATGAATTTACTTTATGTGAATTATCTCAACTATGTCCTATAACATGGAGTAAGTACAATTTTTAGCTCTACTTTATAGATGAAGAAGCTAACATAGAGAAGTCAACTTGTCCAAGATCAGAAAATGAAAAGAATGATCTATTTGAGTTTATTACACTAATGTAGAATAATTTAATATAGGAAGCCTATAAAAAGATATATTACATCTGGAGGTCAAGTTGGAAAAATGATATAACCGATTTATCAGTGACTACTGAAAGGCATTTGAGATGATTCAACACTCAATCCTTTTTCTTCCAAATTCAGGAAATAAAGGATACTTTCTTCTGATCAACAGCAAAATGTTAATTTGAACAATTACAGAGATCATCCTATTAAAATGGGAATTCGAAAGATTTCTGCTGCCTCTATTAGTATTTTACACTCTTCTGGAGGCTATGATCAATGCAATAATACAGAAGATAGAAATAGAAGCAATAATGTAGATAGGGCAAAGACACATTTGCCTTAGTTTGCATGTAATATGACTGCCCACCAGAAAACCTAAGAGAATCAATTGAAAAACTTTCAGTACTACCAAGAGTTCAGTTAAGTGCTGAACAAATAAAATCAGTTGCTTCTCTGTATACCAACAAAAATCAGATAGAAAATCTAACGGAAAAATGTCCATTTTTTTTTTTTTTGAGACAGTCTTGCTCTGCTGCCCAGGCTGGAGTGCAGTGGCGCAATCTCAGCTCACTACAAGTTCCACCTCCCAGGTTCAAGCAATTCTCCTGCCTCAGCCTCCCGAGTAGCGGGACTACTCCTGCCCACCATCACACCTGGCTAATTTTGGTATTTCTAGTAGGGATGGGGTTTCACCATCTTGGCCAGGCTGGTCTCAAACTCCTGACCTTGTGGTCCACCTGCCCTGGCCTTTCAAAGTGCTGGGATTACAGGCATGAGCCACTGCGCCTGGCCAAATGTCCATTCTTAAAAGCAACAATAGGTATGCATATTATAGGAAAGACCATAATTGTAAGAAGCAGGCATGACCTGGATAATGAAACCCATAAATCTTGACTTGTAAGTAGAATATACAACTGAACTCAAATAATTATCACTGAATGAAATGGTATAGTATAAAGGTGTTGTGATGGTTAACGTCATGTGTCAACCTGACTGGGCCATTTGGTGCCCAGATACTTGACAAATGTTATTCTGGGTGTGTCTGTGAGGGTGTTTTTGGAGGAGTTTAACATTTAAATCAGTAGACTAAAGCAGATTGCTATCCCTGATGTGGGCAGGCCACATCCAATCATTTGAAAGTCTGAAGAGAACAAAAAGGCTGACTTTCGGCCAGTGTGGTGGCTCACGCCTATGATCCCAGCAATTTGGGAGGCCAAGGCGGGCGGATCACGAGGTCAGGAGATTGAGACCATCCTGGCTAACATGGTGAAACCCCGTCTCTACTAAAAAATAAAAAAATTAGCCAGGTGTGGTGGTGGGCACCTGTAGTCCCACCTACTCGGGAGGCTGAGGCAGGAGAATGGTATGAACCTGGGAGGTGGAGCTTGCAGGGAGCAGAGATCATGCCACCGCACTCCAGCCTGAGTGACAGAGTGAGGCTCTGTCTCAAACAAACAAACAAACAAACAAACAAACAAAAGGCTGACTTTCTTCTGAGTAAGACAATTCCTTCTGCCCATCTGCTTTCAAGTTGAAACATGAGCTCTTCCTAGATCTTAAGCCTGCCAGCCTTTGGACTAGAATTACACCATTGGCTCTCCTGGTTCTCAGGCTTTAGGATTGAAATAAGAAATACAACGTCTGCTCACCTGAGTCTCCAGCTTGCCACCTCCCCCTGCAGATCTTGGGATTTGTCAGCCTCCATAATCACATGTGCCGATTTCTTACAATAAATCTCTTTATGTACATCCCATTGGTTCTGTTTCTCTGGAGAACCATAATACAATTGTCAATCAGTCCAAATTAATTTATAATTTTAAAGTGAGTAAATAAAAATCTCACTTGGAGAAGATAAAACAATTCTAATATTCATCTGAAAGGATAAGCCAGTATGAATAGTTTTTAAAAATTAAAAAGAGGAATTTACATGTGGCTATTGAAGATGGAGGCACGTTAGTCTTACAAAATAGTCTAACATATTATAAAGTAAGTAAAACAATGTAGTTACAAGAACAGCCAGATAGTCCAAATGAAGAGAATAGTTTATTTATTTACATCCCCACACAAGGAGTATGCTGAAATAGATTTAGGTATGTAAAAATCTTTTTAAATATTTAAAATATAATTTGCATTATATTAGGTGGCAAAAAGGAAGAATTATTCCATAAATAGTGCTGGATAAGTTGGTTAGATATTTGTGGGTCAAACAAACTAGGTCCTCATTTTTTACCAGGTAACAAAATTAGTCCCAGGTGGATTTTTTTAGTTATATGCAAAGAAAATAGAAACAATAAAATATATGACAGTTTATTAAATTGGAAGAGGTATTTCTAAGCTTAAAAGCAGTAAGGAAATGGCAACTAAAAAGATCACATCCAAATACATAAAAATGAAAATCTTTGAGATATATATATAAATAAAACTGAAATAATACACTGGAAGAATACGTGCAACTTATAGGACAGCCAAATGATCTATATATTTGATATACAAAGAAAGTGAATGAACAGATTTAAAAAAATATATGTGGCAAAAGACAGAAATAGATAACCCATAAATAACAAAAATCTTAATGGTTAGCAAAAAATGTCAATAACAAAGGGGTTTATTTCTAGCTTCTGTTAATAGTGGAGCAGTTTGATTGGACTAATCCTCCAATTAAAAACAAACAAACAACTAGATAGTGCACTTTCCCCATCATAACCAGAATACATGGGTTCAGGAATCAAAAGTAGGATGAAAGAATGGCTCCTCTATTATATTTGTCTTAGTCTGTTTCAGCTGCTATAACAAAATAGCTTATACTGGGTAATTCATAAACAACAGAAACTTATTTCTTACAGTTCTAGATGCTGGGAAGTCCCAGATCAAGCAGATTCAGTGCCTGGCGAGGGCTTGCTTTCTGCTTCCAATATGGCATCTTCTTGTGGCTCTTCACCTGGAGGAAGGGGTGAACAGTTCCCTTGCACCTCTTTTACCAAGGCACTAATCTCATTTATGAGGGTTCCACTCTCATGACTTAATCACTTCCTAAAGGCCCCATTTCTTAATACTATTACGTTTGTGATTAGATTTCAACAT